>NC_000007.14:63415869-63718900 GCF_000001405.40 Homo sapiens
GATTTTATGTGATCATCATGCCTTTTTGCTGGGGAGAATGCACCTGTGTCTTGTTAGAATTGTTGATACTATTTTAATTGCTAATAAGAAAATTAATGATACCAAATCCTAGTCATTCTCAACAGTACTACTCTTTTTTATCTTAATTTCCACTTTTATCACATGCAATAGAAACGTTTTTAGAAAAGTGTTTGTTTTCTAGGTAAATACATTATCTTTATTATGCGTTGTTAATTTTTAAAACCATAAAGTAAGACATACCAATATGTCCTCTATTATATTTTACTGGAATGTGTGAAAGATTTATAGATGCCCTGTAGGAGAGGTTAAGCAGATTTTTCTATTCCTAGATTTCTGGAGGCTTTATTGTTAATGAGTAATGGATTTTATCCAATGCTTTTGTGTGTCTACTGAAATAATTATGGTTTTGTCCTCTATTCTATTAATATGGTATATTACATTGACTGATATTTGCATTAGTGAGATAATTCCACTTGGTCATTTTGTCTAACATTTTATGTGTTGCTGAATTCAGTTTTCTAGAGTTTTTAAAGACTGCTAGGCTGGGTGCGGTGGCCCATGCCTGTAATCTCAGCACTTTGGGAGGCCAAGGCAGGCGGATCACCTGAGGTCAGGAGTTTGAGACCAGCCTGGCCAACATGGTGAAACCCCGTCTCTACTAAAAAAAATACCAAACATTAGCCGGGCATAGTAACGGGTGCCTGTAATCCCAGCTACTCAGGAGGCTGACAGGAGAATCACTTGAACCCAGGAGGCAGAGGGTACAGTGAGCTGAGATGGGGCCATGGCACTGCAGCCTAGGCAACAAGAGCAAAACTCCATCTCAAAAAAAAAATTCTGGGTCTATACTTATGAAGAATAATGGTCTCTCATTTTTTTTTTTTTATGCTTTCATGTGGTTTCGTTTACTGGGTAATACCGGCCTCAACAAATGAATTGTTTTCTTTTCCCTTTTACATTTTGCAAGTGTTTGTGTAGAATTGGTATTAATTATTCATTAAATGTTTAGTAGAATTTACCAGTGAAGCTATCTGAGCCTTTTTTCTGGGAAGGAATCTTGTCAATGTCTTTACCTGTTATAAGTATATTAATATATTCTCTTTCTTCTTGGATTAATTTTGAGAATTTGTGCTTTTCTGCAAATTTGTTTCTAATTTCTAGTACTTCATGCCTCTAGATTTTCATGGAGGTTAAGATGTAAGAATAAAAAGAATTGTTGAGAGAATACAGCTTTGGGTAATTCATGAATGATCCAATGTCTGATGATCTTCTTTTGTAAGATGGGGAAGATTATTCTTCATGCAGTACTTAAAATTCATATTTATATTATAAAACAAATATAATATTCTATCTAAAGTGAGCTAAGAAGATATGTTAGTTAACTTTGTGCTTAATCCGGATGGAAGTCTGAGTCTACCTTCTCTCTTCCATGAATATGTAGTCAAGTCAAGGCACAAACATAATTTGAATAAGGACAAACACAAAATGACGGTAAATGAAGAAGGGTATGACAGATTAAAATGTGATGAAACAGCCCTGAACACGTACATAGAATTCACGATGTGTTACGCACTATTCCAAGGCATTTGCACAGACAGTTTAAATAACACCTGTAAGACTAAAATAAACAACACAAACATTCATGTAAATGAGAAATTGAAACATTAAAAATAATATTAGGTGACATTAAACTGTCAAAAAATAAACTTTTTTTATATACAACAAATAAGTAAACATAAAGAGTGTTCATTAACATTTAAGACAGTTTGATTAGTTATTATATGAACAAATGGATAGCATTATTAAGTAGTATAAAGAGCATACATATTATTTTCAAATTCCATAGAAAAATATTTAAAATTTTAAAATTTTGGATGCAAAATTATGTCAGTAACTTCATGAAAGTAGACATTCAATAGGTCATATTTTTTAGACATTGTGAAATGACATCTGAAACTGTGAATTAGAGTGTAACCCATAAACAACATCCAGCCACAGACAAGTTAAAGACCAAGTTGAATAACTATTAACTGTATAATAACTACATAACATTTTCAGAGGGCTCTTCTTTCACTGCCTCAAGAAAACCCTTTACATGCTCAAATTGCCTGCTTGACTTTGCTGCAGGATTTACAACACATACTTTAACCTTTCCCAGGCCTTTCTCAGTCCCTCAAAGATGTAAACCTTACCACGTATTTGAAATGTTAACATCCAGGTAATTAGCAAAACAGCATTGCAGCTGAAATCAAATTGAAAAAAAAATTGAAGGTTTTTAGACTCACCCTCAAAATTTTATTTCTCGGTTAGTACCTCTAGCTTAGGCAAGAAACATTTATAATGATGAATTTATTTGTTTTCTATCATTTGTATGACTCTCGGACTTTTGGAGTACACATTTGGAACCTTTTCTACCCCATGGAAATTTTTTGTTCTTCTGTTTTACCGACCATTGCTTTCCATCTTCTGACTGGCCTTTGTGGGTTGATGGTAAACTGAGAAGTTGAGACACTAGAATATGTGGCCTGAAAATGTAGATTGCACCCCATTTGCAGGAAGCTGTTTTTAATAGGTGTTTTAATCATGGAAAAGCTACGCTTTTTGTGCTCTCTTTGGAGCTTTAGTTAAAGCCATGCATGACTTCTTGGATTTGGTCTCACACATGTTTATTTGTGTTGGTTTTGAGTCACTAGTTCAGGTACGCCTTTAATTTAAAATTTTGGTTCATATTTAGAGTGTGACAGAAATGTTTTGTTTTGTTTTTTTCATTTAACCTTCTCTCCTGACATAAATAAAACCATATACTGTGGTTTGGAAGATAGAAAACATTTACTAAAAATTTCCGAAGACAAACAGCTTTAAATAGTAATTACCCTAGACCTCCAGTAAACAGAAATGTCCCACCTCCAAAATTTCATCTTGATGTAAACTTTAGAAAGAAAAAAACAAGTAATGTTTGCTATTTACTTGGCTAAAATTTAATTTTAAAAAATTTAAGAGCTCTACAGTCAAAAGTCCACTTATAACTGATATTCAGGCTATTTATGTATATATTAATTTGAGGCCTGTGGGTTTTTTTATATAAGCTTCTCAGTCAACTCAATTCCTCTTTCCCTAAACTCATGCTAACTATGTGTGCTCCCTCTGTCTCTTCTCTTGCTCACATGATTTTTGCCAAGGATAATGTAAAACTTTACTGGCTTTTTGGAAACCTAAATCTTCTCAAACGGCCTTTTCTAGAATTAACTCTTCTGTTTACTTCTATCTATCTCATCTTCCTTTTGCGACCTTTTGGTACCATGTGAGAGAACCTAAAGGAAACTTCTAGCAGCCTTGGACCCCTTGAAGAACACAGATAAAGCACCACAGGCTTCTCCGTCTTTGGCAGGGTACCTCTATTTTTCCTCATGGAGCCCCAAGAGTTGTGGGTGGACAGGTTGCTCTCAGGTCTGAAGCTCTACTCTTTTACAATGAACTCCTGCATCTCTAGGGCTTTTAGATACATACATGTGTAAGCTATATTTTGTGTCTACATGTATGTATATGTCTATCTACGTGTTTGTATATTATCTACATGATATCAAATTAACTTAAATGAGGCCGAGGTGGGTGGATCACCTGAGGTCAGGAGTTCGAGAGCAGCCTAGCCAACATCGTGAAACCCCGTCTCTACTGAAAATACAAAAATTGCCCAGGTGTGGTGGTGGGAACCTGTAATCCCAGCTGCTCAGGAGGCTGAGGCAGGCAAGTCGCTTGAACCCGGGAGGTGGAGGTTGCAGTGAGCAGAGATAGTGCCACTGCACTCCATCCTGGGTGTCAGAGTGAGACTCCATCTCAAATTTATATATATAATCCGGGAGACGGAGGTTGCAGTGAGCCGAGATGGCGCACTGCACTCCATTCTGGGCGACAGAGTGAGAGTCTGTCTCTAAAAATAAAAAAAATAAAATAAAAAAGAGAGATAAACTAAGTGGATATAAAAATTTGGAGAAAGAGAAGAGAAAAAGAGTTATAAAAGGTTTATAGAAATCTTATCTTGTATGGTCAAAGTTGATTGAGATTAGATACACCTATTTATAAAGTTTTCTTAAAGGTTTATTTCACAAAAACAAAAGATATTTAGATCTGTAAGTAAATACATCCTGTTCCACGTTAAAAGATGTTTCCTGCTGGGCGCAGTGGCTCACGGCTATAATCCCAGCACTTTGAGAGGCCAAAGCAGGCAGATCACTTAAGGTCAGGAGTTCAAAACCAGCCTGGCAAACATGGTGAAACCCCATCTCTACTAAAAATACGAAAAATTAGTTGGGCATGGTGGCACTCGCCTGTGATCCCAGCTACTCGGGAGGCTGAGGTAGGAGAATCACTTCAGCCCAAGAGGTGGAGGTTGCAGTGAGCCGAGATTGCACCACTGCACTCGAGCCTGGGCAACAGAGCAAGACTCCATCTCAAAAAAAAAAAAAAAGATGTTTCCATTTAAAATCCTACGTTTCTAAAAAATCATAAAATATGTACTCATAAATTGTTAGTATATGACTAATAGTTAAAATTGCTTACTTCTTAGAATTTCACTATGAGTTAAAATTACTAAGAATTAAAATTCTGGTTAAGATATAACTAAAACTATTGTTAAGAAGAGAAACAATTCTACATAGAGTGTACAAAGAAAATAAGATGTGTTTCTTGGTGAAAAAATTTATTTTAAAAAGGAGACATGAGGATGTGATTTTTTCTTAAAAGGCAATTTTGGTGAGTTTAGAGTTTATTTAAAGGTTGCATAAAATTGAAAGAATAAAAGCCAAAGAAAATGAGATAAACTCGACAGGGCACAGTGGCTCATGCCTGTAATCCTAGCATTTTTGGAGGCAGAGGCAGGTGGATCATGAGGCCAGGAGTTTGAGACCAGCCTGGCCACTATGGTGAAACCCCTTTTCTACTAAAAAAAAAAAAAAAAAAAAAATTAGCCGGGCGTGGTGGCACACGCCTGTAGTCCCAAATACTCAGGGGGCTGAAGCAGAAGAATCGCTTGAATCCGGGAAGCAGAGGTTGCAGTGAGCTGAGATGGTGCACTGCACTCCATTCTGGATGACAGAGTGAGACTCTGTCTCAAAAAATAAAAAAGAGAGATAAACTAAATGGATATAAAAAGTTGGAGAAAGAGAATAAAAAAAGAGAAAAGAGTTAAAAGAGTTATAAAAGGTTTATAGAAGTCTTATATTGTCAAAGTTGATTGAGATTAGATACACCTATTTATAAGGTTTTTCTTAAAATTAGTTTTAATACTAATCATACAAAAATACAATCATAAAATTTGAGTTTTTCTTTTAAACCAGATTTCTATGAAGAAACAGATACCCTGCAAACCTGTTGGAAGGAACCATATTAGGTTTTCTTGGCCACTACCTGTGCTGCTAAGTTGAAGGGCAATGTCTTTTAGGATATTTGGTCACCCCTCTATTTATACACAGCTCCGAAGAAACCCAGCACTGGACAAATTCTCTCAAACTTTTCCCCAAGCTTGGCCACCAATCTGTTTTAGATGAAGACTCCATTTGGAGGAAATCTGCTAATTATCTGCCTGGCTTTCAGGAAAACAGCTTTATGCATTTTACTGGAAAAATGCTTTTGCCTTGGTGAGTTGTTCCCATGAACACATGACTTAAAATATTTTTATAACCTTGGAAAAAATTACAGATGCAACTGTTGTATTCATTGTAGCTCAACAAAAATGCTACTGATTCACTGGCTAAGCTTGTACTAGACAATCATATTGCTTTAGGTTATATGCTAGCTGAGCAAAGAGGTGTATGCATAGTGGCAAATACTTCTTTATCATATATATAAAAATATTCCCTATGAAGTAGAAATTCATCTAGAAAAAAATGAGTTACCAACTGTCACAAGTTCTCCACCCTGCACAAGAGTGTAACTGGCGTTTTCATGAATGTTTGTAATTCATGTGTTAATCTGTAAGTTTCTTGTAGAAATGTATTTATTTTTATGCAGGCATAAAGAGAGAGACATTTTCTCTATTTCTTTTCCAAGGTAGCATTCCCAAAACCAAGTCCTGCGACTCTGTCTGAAATCATGCTAAAACAGAACAGAACTCAGAATCTTACTACGCTCACTCTGCAAAATAAAAGCAGTACCTGAGAATTTTTAACCAATGGAATATGATTTTTTTCTCTCAAATCTACCTGTTTTTCTCTTAGAAAACATTTGTGTTTTTTTATCTTTCAAGCTCTAATGATGAAATACAGTATATGGTTAATGAAAGGCGGAAGTTGAAATAACTGAACAAATATATTCAAGGTGATGAACACCTGGAGAGGCGGTGCTGACTGGAACACAGACATTTTTTTTTTCATTATTATACTTTAAGTTCTAGGGTACATGTGCACAACATGAAGGTTTGTTACATAGGTATATATGTGCCATGTTGGTTTGCTGCACCCATCGACACATCATTTACATTAGGTATTTCTCCTAATGCTATCCCTCCCCCAGCCCCCCACCCCCTGACAGGCCCCAGTGTGTGATATTCCCTGCCCTGTGTCCCAGTGTTCTCATTGTTCAACTCCCACGTGTAAGTGAGAACATGTGGTGTTTGGTTTTCTGTCCTTGTGATAGTTTGCTGAGAATGATGGTTTCCAGCTTCATCCATGTCCCTGCAAAGGACATGAACTCACCCTTTTTTATGGCTGCCTAGTACTCCATGGTGTATATGTGCCACATTTTCTTTATCCAGTCTATCATTGATGGACATTTGGTCTGGTTTCAAGTCTTTGCTATTGTGAATAGTGCCACAATAAACATACGTGTGCATGTGTCTTTAGAGTAGCATGATTTATAATCCTTTGGGTGTATATCCAGTAATGGGATTGTTGGGTCAAATGGGATTTCTAGTTCTAGGTCCTTGAGGAATCACCACACTGGAACACAGACATATTGGATTCATGTATCAATCACTTGAGAGAATCTCCTCCCCACATCCTGCTCACTAAAGAACTTGATCACCACCTTCTCAGAAGACAATGCACTTGCTCCCTGTGTGTCTGATGTGTATTTGGCTTTGCAAGTTCATACACTACCTCAATAGGGTGGGTTTTACTTCTACTTAGGGATATTCTCCTTTCACAAGTGTGAGAGAAACAAGAGGGAAAGATGCATTTGCGCCTTTTCCCCTCAATACCAGCACCTGATTGGCTGACCACCAATATGTCTGCGAGGAATAAAAGCTGGGTCTGAGGGAAAAATTTTTTTAATGTTTAAGCAGTTAGCTTTTTAGAGGAATGGTATATCAGGAAACTGCTCTCAGCATGAGGACATCCAGCTGCTTCTCTGAGAGGCTCCACCCAATATCTCAGACTCTCCTCTGGAAGCTGACAGAAGGACTGATATTTACTAGACACTCCAAGAGACATGGCTCTTGTGGGTATCTTGGGTCATCCCCAGACGGTTGTAGTATTCAGAACCAGGAAAAAACAGGACAGTGGCTGAGGACACATCACCCTGCAAAGGTTCCAAAAAGAAACCTTCACCCAGAGATATTCTGGTAAGGTGTGTGTGCCTAGGGAAAATTAGACGCGCGAAGACTTGTCACAGCAGAGTGTCAGGTGATTACCCTTTGCTTCCCTGTCATGTGAAATGTTCACAAACAGACACATATTTTTAGAAGAGCCATCCACCACGCCGTGAAACAAAAATAAACAATTAAAATGCTGTGTCTGTTTTAAAACTAAATAAAAGACTAATAGTTGATAATGTTGTGATTTGGAGAAGAACGGTTGGCATTTGGGAATGTGGGAAAGGAATTGGAAAGTTAGAATTTTCCACAGGGCCTAGAACAGTTAGGCTGGGAGAACAGTCATGGATTTGAGACCCTGCTTGCCATACATTTGAAAAATGCGAGGAAAACCAGGCCCTCTGTGGAGGGTTAAAATAATTCAATAGCTGGCACTTACACTGAAGTGGCCATGCTGCCCTGGGATTCTTCCTAAGGAAACCTAACTACATCAAAGGAATTTATTGTAAATTACTAACTTTGAGAAAATAAAATTAGGCTTAACCAACCACAAGCTGCCAATAAAGCTCTCATTACACGACCAAGACATTTCCACCTGATGGGTGCAAATGCAATATATAACTGTAACCAATCAGATATTGAATTTGGTTTTCTTTCTGATGCCCTTTACAAAAACCTTTTTTACAAGACCCTCCTTGGAGCCTCCAAAGAAACCATAACTTGGTGCTCTCTGATTCATAAATTGCTGTTTGTGCAAATAAACTCTATTAATCCGTTCCTGAATTGCTATGAAGAAACACCTCAAACTCGGTAATTGATTAGAAAAGATGTTTAATTGGCTCACGGTTCTACAGGCTGTACAGAAAGCAAAACACCAGCATCTACCTCTGGGGAGGCCTCAGGAAGCTTAAAATCATGGTGGAAGGGGAAGCAGGAGCTTGTAAAGCAGGCAACGGGGGTGCTATACACTTTTAAATGACAAGATCTCCTGAGAACTCACTCACTATTGGGAGGACAGTACCAGGAGGGATGGTGCTAAACTATTCAGAAGAAATCCGCACCCACGATCCGATCACCTCCCCCCAGGCTCCACCACCAACATTGGGGATTACATTTCGATGTGAGATTTGGGCGGGGAAACTCATCCAAACTCTATCACTGCTTAACATTCTAAAGCTGTCTCAATTTAGGCCGGGTCGGTGGCTCAAACCTATAATCCCAGCACTTTGGGAGGCCGAGGTGGGTGGATAACTTGAGGTCAGGAGTTTGAGACCAGCCTGGCCAACATGGTGAAACCCCGTCTCTACTGAAAATACAAATATTAGTCTGGCGTGGTGGTGCACACCTGTAATCCCAGCTACTCAGGAGGCTGAGGCAGGAGAATCGCTTGAACCCGGGAGGCAGAGATTGCAGTGAGCTGCGATCACACCACTGCACTCCAGCCTGGGTGACAGAGCGAGACCCTGTCTCAAAAAAAAAAAAAAAAAGAAAGAAAGAAAGAAAAGAAAAGAAAAAGAAACTTATATTTCCCAAGTCCCCATCTCATCTCTGTCACATTTGTTCACGTGATGACACCACTTGTAGCTAGCTATCCTAAGACCTCAGAGTGATTACAGAGAGCTCACTTCAATTTCTACCCCAAATTTCAAATGCGTCTGCTATGTGTGTGTGTGTGTGTGTGTGTGTGTGTATATATAAATATATATATATAAATATATATATAAATATATATATAAATATATATAAATATATATATAAATACATATATAAATATATATATAAATATATATAAATATATATATAAATACATATATAAATATATATATAAATATATATATTAATACATATATAAATATATATATAAATATATATATATAAATATATATATATATAAATATATATATATAAATATATATATATATAAATATATATATATAAATATATATATAAATATATATATATAAATATATATATATATAAATATATATATATATATATATATATATGTACACACACATATATTTGGAATAGGCCTCATTTACCTCTCTAAGAAGGACACCATCATCATGTTTAATCTGTCTCCACATCTGCCACAGTGCTGACTGCCTGATCTGATGCTCTGGACTATTGCATTATTTTTCTCTCACCTCAATTAAGTGATCAGAATGTGGTATTTAAAACCTATAATTGGATCCTGTTTGTCAATTTTGGCTTTTGTTGCCATTGCTTTTGGTGTTTTAGACATGAAGGCTTTGCCAATGCCTATGTCCTGAATGGTAGCCAACCCAAATGTCCATCAATGATAGACTGGATAAAGAAAATGTGGCACATACACACCATGAAATACCATGCAGCCATAAAAAAGGATGAGTTCATGTTCTTTGCAGGGACATGGATGAAGAACGTGCAGGTTTGTTGCATAGGTATACCCGTGCCATGGTGGTTTGCTGCACCCATCAACCCGTCATCTACATTAGGTATTCCTCCTAATGCTATCCCTCCCCTAGCCCCCCCACCCGCCTGACAGGCCCCAGTGTGTGATGTTCCCCTCCCTATGTCCATGTGTTCTTATTGTTCAGCTCCCACTTATGAGTGAGAACATGCAATGTTTCGTTTTCTGTTCTTGTGTTAGTTTACTGAGAATGACGGTTTCCAACTTCATCCACGTCCCTGCAAAGGACATGAACTCATTCTTTTTTATGGCTGCATAGTATTCCATTGTGTATATATGCCACATTTTCTTCATCCAGTCTATCATTGATGGGCATTTGGGTTGGTTCCAAGTCTTTGCTATTGTGAACAGTGCCTCAATAAACATACATGTGCATGTGTCTTTATAGTAGAATGATTTATAATCCTTTGGGTATACACCCAGTAATGGGATTGCTGGGTCAAATGGTATTTCTAGTTCTAGATCCTTGAGGAATTGCCACATTGTCTTCCACAATGGTTGAACTAATTTACACTCCCACCAACAGTGTAAAAGCATTCCTATTTCTCCACGTCCTCTCCAGCATCTGCTGTTTCCTCACTTTTTAATGATCACCAGTCTAACTGGCATGAGATGGTATCTGATTGTGGTTTTGATTGCATTTATCTAATGGCCAGTAATGATGAGAAATTTTTCATATTTGTTGGCTGCATATATGACTTCTTTCAAGAAGTGTCTGTTCATATCCTTTGCCCACTTTTTGATGATAATTTTTTTTTTTTTTGGAGACAGAGTCGTGCTCTCTCACCCAGGCTGGAGTGCAGTGGTGTGATCTCGGCTCACTGCAAACTCTGCTGCGTGGGTTTAAGTGATTCTCCTTCCTCAGCCACCCAAGCAGCTGGGATTACAGGCACACCACCACGCCCAGCTAATATTTTTTATCTTTAGTAGAGACAGGGTTTCACCATCTTGGCCAGGATGGTCTTGAGCTCCTGACCTCGTGATCCACCCACCTCGGCCTCCCAAAGTGCTGGGATTACAGGCATGAGCCACTGAGCCCAGCCAACATTCAGTAAATTTTTATAAATAATAATTTAAAATTCAGAAATTATGGCTTCCAATCACATTCCTATATCTTTTTTTGTTTGTTTGTTTGTTTGTTTGTTTGTTTGTTTTTGAGACAGAGTCTCACTTTGTCACCCAGGCTGGAGTGCAGTGGCATTATCTTGGCTCACTATAACCTCCGTCTCCCGGGTTGAAGTGATTCTTCTGCCTCGGCATCCCAAGTAGCTGGGACTACAGGTGTGCACCACCATGCCTGGCTAATTTTTGTATTTTTAGTACAGACAGGGTTTCACCATATTGGCCAGGCAGGTCTCGAACTCCTGACCTCTTGATCCACCTGCTTCGGCCTCCCAAAGTGCTGGGATTACAGGTGTGAGCCACTGCACCTGGCCAACCACATTCCTATATGATCTTTATCATAACTGGCATAATCTTCCTGTAGTTACCAAAAGGTTAAAAAAAATGAAATAAAACTTTTGACAACAATAGTCACCAAATTATTTGTTTTAAGTTCTCTGAACAAATGATTACTAAATAAGTCATTTCACTGTGTTACTCAATAGTATATTGTTATCTTGATTAAAGAAAATAGTTTAACATTGGTGGCAGGATACCATTTCATTTATTGCACATCAGTGTCAAAACATTGAAAACCATTTAGTTTATTAATTAAAACTAAGTTCACACATAGTCTAAGTAAGGCATTCCAAAATCCACTATATTCTTCTTGGTGAAAATACAGTCACAAACACTGAATAAGCATTATTTTTTCTCTGATGTAATTATCTTAGATACTTCCTTTCTCCATTTTTAAAGACTAAGGTTAATTATTTAGGAAACATTGATTTAAAACACATTAAAATCCTCTCATGGAGGTGTTATCTTTACTTTTCTCTGGTATCTGTAATTTTTTAAAAAATTATCACACTGAATGATATTCAAGACTTTAAACTTTTACTATAATACACTGGTATTTTAATAGACTGGCCAGCTTTTTTATCCTTCAAGGAGAGATGATTGGTAAAATTATTTATTTCAGAAATTCAGGATTTTTCACTCTTGCTTTAATAGAGAAGAATAACTTCCAGAACACCTCCCTCATGCAGACTTTAAGTAAACCACAAAGAGGATCTCTCCTTAAATTTGTTTTTTCTTTCTTTTTTTTTTTTTTGAGACAGAGTTTCACTCCTGTTGCCCAGGCTGGAGTACAATGATGCAATCTCTGCTCACTGAAACTTCTGCCTCCTGGGTTCAAGCGATTCTCCTGACTCAGCCTCCCAAGTAGCTGGGATTACAGGTGCCTGCCACCACGTCTGGCTAATTTTTTGTATTTTTAGTAGAGATGAGGTTTCACTATGTTGGCCAGGCTAATCTTGAACTCCTGGCCTCAGGTGATCCACCTGACTCGGCCTTCCAAAGTTCTGGGATTACAGGCATGAGCCACAGTGCCTGGCAGTTTTATTTTTGTTTTTATTTCTTAATTTTACGTTTGCCATGAAGGTTCCATGGAGAAATTCATGTAGAATGGCCTCTCCCAGCTCTGATGCAGCAACAGTAGGTCACATGTTTTCATATAAACACTAGGAATGTAGGGACAGGGTCAACTGAATGGAAAGTTGAATTACATCAATAATAGTTGTTTCTAAAAAAAAAAAAAGCAAATAATGACAATACAAAACGAGTATCCATTGATATATAATTATACCTGTTCAAATACAAAGCCGTTGCTTCATTGAAACATACAAATAAATTATCTAATTGTTTTGACTTTAGATTAGTCTCTATATTAGATATTCTTGTTTAATGTAAAGTTTTAAAATTGTAGTGCCTTTGTACTTTCTCGTGGAAATTCTCCGATGTTTATTTAGACTTGATTTTTGAATACTTCCTCACATTTATTGCATCTGAAAAGTTTCCCTATGGAAGAATTCCGTATGAATTCTGGTTATTTCTAAGGTTTATATTTTAAATCAAACTCCTTCTACATCCATTACGTGTATAGTGTTTCTCTAGCATGAATTATCTGATGTTGAGTAAAGTGTGAACAATAAAGGCTTTGCCACGTTTTTTACACTGTATTTAAAATAGCGCATAGAAAGCAAATCTGTTTTATTCATCAAGACAAATTAATAATCTGTTTTCCATTTTAAAGAAAGTGTGACGGTCTTTTTTCCAGCTAGTCGCCATCAGTTATAGAGACAGATCAGGGTCCCTGAGTGCTGGAAAAGGGGTCCTGTGCCCATTCAGATATCTAAGAAGGTTCTGGTTGGGATTCATTCATTTAACATAGAAATATTAAGCACTTCATTTTGTGTGGTTGCTTTTCTAGAACCTTGGCATATTTCAATGACTACAGCATACAGATCTCTGGGCCGCAATTCTGTTCAAGGAGTTAGACACTCCTTGGGGGAAATACAAAGACCATGGTTGGGAAGAGGCAGAAAGAACCCTGGGCCTCATGCGTCTTATGATTCCCATGAGAAGGCTGGGGTCTGGGTGTTCTGCAGAATAAAAGGAGTCAAAGAGAGCTGCGGATGGGCCTCAGGCCCCCTGCCAAGGAGAGAGGAGGCTGGAGCTCCCAGCCAGCCCTCGACAGACCCATCTCCATTACAGTCACATCCCAGCTCTGCCTGTCCCCCTCTATCCCACGTCTAAGGGGCCCAGAACTGGAGTTATAATGAGCAGCCTGCTTCTCATAACCCTCCTTCTGCGGGTGCCATAGACGGGCCTGGGGGGCAGCATGCCTTCCGGTAGTGGAGGGCACCAGTTAAAGATGCTAAGATCCCCTCTCCGCCTTGGGCGTCTCAGCCTGCACCATTGTGCTCTGCCTGGCTGTGACCCCTGTGGCCAGCGCCTCCTCAAAGCTCCTGGAGAGCAGCAGGTGAAGAAAGACTCAGCCAGCACAAGGCAAAGGCCTGGGTTCAGCGGGTTGAGGCTTTGAGGAGGCGGAACGGGCGCCTGGGTGGAAAGTGGTTGCCAGGTGTGAGTGGCACTGTGGGGCCAGTGCCCGGTTTTGCTGCCCCCGCTTCCTGAAGATGGCGGCTGGAGCCACCTGGGTGCAGCAGTTGATGTGGCACCTGCAGGGGCAGAACCGACACCCAACCGTGGGGACACTGCAGGAAGCCGGCACGGAGACGTCTATCTCCTCTGTCCCCAGGCCCTAGTTTCTGGCCAGCTTTGGCCAAAGCAAGAGGTTGGACTTTGGAGGGTGAGTGTGAGTGTGTGAGCTCATGTCCAGCCCCCGCCAGTGCTCGGCACAACAAGGTGACACCCTCTAGTGTCACCACTGCCCCCACCCTGCTTTCCTACCTGGCGAGCTAATGGGTCTCCCCCCCAGGGGTGCTGAACGCAAGGAGGAGGGTAGCGGGCCAATGTCCCAGGGCTGTGGGGCCCCTGGCTGTCAAGGTCAGGTGGAATGTGGTGGGTCTTCGAGAAGGGTTTGTGGGGTCAGCCGGGGAAGGGTATGCAAACCCTAACCTGCAGGGGTACCATGGTACCCATAATGCAGTGCCCACAGTACGCGGCCGGGCTAAGCGCTCCGTGAGCCACCTGCTCCTCACATGCGCTCCAGGCTCCAGGCAGTAAGCAGAGAGAAGTGGCCTGGTGGGCAGCTGCCGGGCACCTGCACCCTGGGGACAGCCAATTCCTAGGGGGACCGAGGCATCCTCATCCCTAGCCTGGCAGCTTTGCAGGAAGGCTGTTGCCTGACAAGGGAAAGGGGAGGGTCTGGGGAGGGGCAGTGGCCCAGTCAACTTGAGTGATTTCCAAGTGAATGAACTGGGGTCCCGCTGCCTCTGGCTCAGGCTTGTGGCGGAATCTGCCTGGACCTCAGGGGCTCCAGGCTGCCAGCTGCCTGTCGAGGCTCTAGGCGCCTCCTCCAGACCTCAGATTCCTCAGCTGTCTGAGAGGACTGATAGGGCATCATATGGCAGGGGTGTTTCAGGATTGGGCCAGATGATCCCCTGTAATCTCTTATTACCCCCTCCCTCCCCTCCACTTTCCTTCACCCCGCCTCCTTTTTTTTTTTTTTTTTTTTTTTTGCCTATTCTGAGTTTGTCATGAGACTTTGTGGAATGTCTCTGGTGGGGAGGTAGGAAAGGTGGAAACCCTTACCCTTGGCTTCAGGATTCCTTCCAGGCACCCCCTCCTCTTAGGCTTTTTTAAAGCACAGACCTAGCACCATTTCCTGTACCTCAGAGAGCTGCAGAGAACTTCATGTGTTTCCAAAACCAGAACACTTTGATGCTGACTCCAGACCCTTATCTCACCCCAAAACCCAAATGCCTTGGGACAGCCAGCTTCAGACAGGAGTGAATTTGATGCTCATTCTCTGGGATTGACCCAAGGCTTATATAATGGAGCACATCTGCCCCCGTGTCTTGGGGGAGTCAACGGTAGTGACCCAGAACTGTGAACACCATTCCCCACACAGAGCACAGGGAACGCAGCCCTCTCCAGCAGGCTGGCCTGGCCGTGGCCTGATGCACATCAGTCCTGAGGCAAGAGACCCAAGGCAGGAAATGTCTCTTGTGCATCCCCTTTCACAATGCAGCCATTTAACTGGGGGTGGTGCCTCTGTGGGTCCTCCAGCCTTCAGAGTGGGATTGTTACCCTGGGCCACCAAGGGAAGCGGAAGCACAGGGCCAGTGGGTGGCAAAGTTAGAGACTCTGTGATTGGGAAATATCACCTTAGACCCAGCACGGCCCGTTCAGGACATAGCGCCTCTTGGGCTCCATCCATGGGCTGTTCTTTCCATGGGGCGCTTTGGTTGCAGTCAGCACCCTGTGGGGTGGGGGTGGAGCACCAGGAGGAGCAAGTGTTATGGGATCCACAGGGGGAAGGAGGGGATATTCCCCTTTTGCCCCACCCTGGGCACAAAAGCTTTGTTCTCTGATGTGTGTGGGCATCAGGGCCTGTGTGGGTATGGGTGGGGTTGCCTCTTTTCTTGACCAAGAAAGAACCATTTCTGGGTCTCCTGGGAGGCTTATGGGCACTACATGTACCTGGGAGCTGAGTGGAGTGTGTGAGGGCTCTGCAGGACTCTCCCCTGCTGCCTCCTCTCCAGTGGGAGCCAGGCCATGTGCTCTTAGTGCCGACTCACGCCCAGGCCCACGCTGCCCTTCACTCAGCAGGCCCCTCCCTGACTCCCCCAGCTCAGCTCCTTTTGGGTCTCCTGAGGACCTTGTGGGCCCTGGGATAGAATCACAGAAGTTGACAGCTCTGCTGCCTGCCTCTGCCTGAAGTCAGAGTCCCTCGTGGGCAGGGTGGGTGGGCAGGTCAGGGCTCAGCTTTTGGCTGAGTACAGGGTCCTTTTTTCATGCCACACTGATGGAAACACTGGGCAGGGCTGGCCTGGGGGCTGCTCTGTGGCTCCCCTGGTCTGTCACTGGACCAGGTTGAAGGCAGTATTTGTGCAGATGGCTTCACCTGTTGTCACCATCCAGACACTAGAACCAACTGGCTGTTGCTCTTGGGCCAGGGTCTTGGGCTGAGGCTGTCATGACCAGCATGTTCTCTGCCATGTGGGGGCCTCAGGCAGCTCCCAGTGCTGAGTGGTCCCCAAAAGACATGATAGCCAGTACTGGAAGGCTGGAAGTCAGGACAGGAGTACATCTGACTCTGGGGCTTCCAGAAAGCTGGCCCTGAGCTGTGGCCCCTGCAAAAGACAGGCTCCTCCGAGATCATACCACTGCACTCCAGCGTGGGTGACAGAGCAAGACTCCGTCTCGATAAATAGATAAATAAAAAAGACAGGCTCTTGTGGATATTTCAGGGGAAAAAAGTGAGTCCTTCTGGCTGGCAGGATTCTTGTGATCACTGGGCAGGTAGGGCTGGCTTAGGTAGGTCAGGCACAATTGGGCCTGGCAGAGGAGCCAGGGAATGGTGTGGCCAGAATGGACAGCTGGACCTTTGAATCTAGGCCATACATAGGCAGAATAACAAGTGATGGTGCAGCCAGCTCAGGCAGGTCTAGGTCAGGGCACCTGCCAGGTAGGAACATGCACCCCTGCCCCAGACTCCAATCCCAGACCACCTGCCTGCACTGGGCATTGTCTGGTCTCGGCAGAAAGGCCTGGGGGTGATGATCAGGTGGTGTGTCCCTGGGTCTCAGGCCTCAGTGGCTCCCTAGGAACTGGGCAGTCACTGGGCACCGGCAGGGGCCCAGGGACCACTTGTGTGCATCTGCCCATGGGTTGTGTTCCCACCCCAGCTTCTCAGCCCTCACTGGGAGAGGCCAGGGCTCCCTGCCTGCTCTGTTTCCAGCTCTGACCCCTCACCTGGTGACTCTGATGACTTCCTCACTCCAGCCTGGGTCCTCCTCTGTTAGACACGGGTCCCAGGCTTCCTGCAGACAGAAACCAACCACCAGCCACACCTTGTGGGCCCACCTGGACCTCGTTACCCCACTGACCAGTGAGACCCAACTGGCCAGTACTGGTGTCCTATTTGTATACTGCCCTTTTACCCGGTGTGTTTTCTGTAATGACTGCTGTGTGGAGCGTCCATATAAGTGCAGAATACAGCATGTCCTCTATCCCACAGAGCCCCCACCATGGTCCCCCTGGGGATGGTCATGCCTTGCTCAACTTGGTGTAAATGGCTGCTGTTGGCCGGGTGCAGTGGCTCACACCTGTAATCCTAGCACTTGGGAGGCCAAGGCGAGTGGATCACCTGTGGTCGGGAGTTCAAGACCAGCCTGGCCAACATGGCAAAACCTCATCTCTACTAAAAATATAAAAATTAGGCTGGGTGCAGTGGCTCATGCCTATAAACCCAGCACTTTGGGAGGCCAAAGCAGGCGGAGCACGAGGTCGGGAGCTTGAGACCAGTCTGGCCAATATGGTGAAACCCTGTCTCTCCTAAAATTACAAAATTAGCCAGGCATGGTGGTGCACCCCTGTAATCCCAGCTACTCAGGAGGCTGAGGCAGGAGAATTGCTTGAGCCCGGCAGGTGGAGGTTGCAATGAGCCGAGATCACCCCACTGCACTCCAGCCTGGGCGACAGAGCAAGACTCTGTCTCAAAAAATAAAAAATAAATAAAAAATAAAAAACAATGGCTGTGGTAGCATGCACTGTTGAGCGCCATCCATCCACATGGCTGCCCAACCCTGCATCTCCTTCCTTTTCGTTGCTGAGGTCTTTTCTGTTCCCCTGCTCTTCACCTGAACTGCTCTTGAAGCCAAGATGAGGGATAAGTAGGGTGGTGCTGGCAGGGACCCCTCCTGGGGTAAATCTCAGCTGTGAGGGGGCTGGGCTCACCCCCTCCTGTCATCTCCTCCTCTGAGCTTCATTTCTGCCAGAGGTCATCAAGGTGCAGCCTGTCCCTGCCTGCTTTCCTGTCTCCCATGAGCCAAGGATGAATTTTACATTTCCAAATGGTCGAACAAACCAAAAGAAGAATCATACTTGATGTTTTGAAATTGGAGTTTTCAGTGCCTGTAAGGAAAGTTCTATGAGATTGCAGCCATGCACCTTCATTCCCAGGTTGTCTGCGGGAGGCTGCTGTCACGCTGCAACTGCAGATTTGAGTCATTGCAATTGACATGGGTTGGCAAAGCTGCAAATACTGAACCCTAGCCATTTTGAGGAAGAGTTTTTAGACGCTGGTTTGAGAATTCTCTGGTGGGACTCCAGGCTCTGGGTCAGAGTCTTCCCCACTCAGGGCTGCTTTGACCTTCACTGGGGTGTCTGCCAAGTGGGGGTGCCATTTGCCTGTTGTGCAGGTGTTAAGCCCCAGAGCATCAAATATTGGGGTGCCTGCCTCATGCTCACCCACATCACCTGCAGAGGTCCTGGGATCTAATCCCAACCAGCAGGAGCAATTGGTCTTTGGTAACAGAGACACCATGGAGCTAAGTTGCCACCCACATCGAGGTTGTTCCCTGGGGCTCACTCTCTAGGTCAAGGATGGTACAGGGCTGATGTCCTGAATCACATTCTGGTGGAGCCTCAGACACTACAGGTGCTGGATGAGCTGCTGGCCTGCTGGGATAGGGGCGGCCGCTGGCAGAAATGGTTGTAGCTGCAGGACATTAAGGCAGCTGTGAGGCTACCAGGAGTCACACCTCAGGTCTCCCTCCCGGTACCTGCCCAGCTGGAATATTTGTGCCCCAGGGGTCACTATGCAACAGGACCTGACACTGGCCAGGGAGCTATGGCCACAGGCTCTCTGTAGCTGGCCACAAAAAAGTCTTTTCCTCCCCTCTGCTAATTTACTGGGTCCTCTTCTCTCATTCTCACTTAACCACTTCATTGTCTGAAAGCAGACCCAAAATTGCTCCTTGGGCTGAAAATAGTCATTTTTTCCAGCCACCTGGAGTGGCTACATCTCCTGGAGAACTTTGATTTTCTAGACACAGAGGGAAGGACAGGATACTCACAGGGCCTGGGTGGAAGATGCTCAAGGGGCCTTGTGGGGAAGGGAGGGAGCAGGGACCCAGCCTCTTGGGGCCTTTCTCTTAAGAGGCTCCTTCCTCTCCTCCAATCCCATGCCGCCCCAGTCTGTTCTCAGAGTTAGATACAAGCAGTCCTCCTCCAAAGATTGGTCCTTGATTTCCGTCCCCTATTCACACACTTTATGGAGATGGGTCTCCTCTTTCTCTGTGTGTCAAACCCTCCCAATATATCTAAAATGAAGAGAATGGAGCCAGGCAGTGTGCTGCCCAGGGAATCCTCTAACCCCTGGCCCGTGGATAAACCCCATCCCCACTCCCTCTCATGCTGCACTACCACCAGCGCCACCAGGGTCAGGTGTTGGTATCAGGATGATGCAGGCCTCACTAAATGAGTTAGGGAGGAGTCCCTCTTTGTCAATTGTTTGGAATACTTTCAGAAGAGAAATGGTACCAGCTCCTCTTTGTACCTCTGGTAGAATTAGGCTGTGAAAACATCTGGTCCTGGGTTTTTCTGGTTAGCAGGCTATTTATTACTGCCTCAATTTTAGAACTTGTCATTGGCTTATTCAAAGGTTCAACTTCTTTCAAAAAAAAGTTCAACAACAACAGATAAATCTAGAATTTAATAACAGATGTACCATAGTTCTTAAAGTATAATTTTTTACTCTCCCCAGTCTGCCATTTTACTAAAGACAAATCATGGTATGACCAAGTTGCTTTATTATACTTGGCCTGATTATTTGTACGAAGTGCAGCAAGAATAATTATTTTTACATAGGTTTTAAAAATTGGATTTGATGAAACTGTTCCATAAAATGAATCTCAGATAAGACTTTTTAAAGCTGAGCCAGCCATGAGTCTATACCCTCAAATATGAGTTGCATAAATTTCTTTTTTGATACCACGGGATAACTTGGGGCTCATGAACCTGTCAAAAAGTGACATTATTTACTTACCCCAGGTTAGGAACCCTGTATAGGGACTGTGTAGACAAGGCATAAAGCCAGTTTTCCCAAGGGGCTTTTATTGGCTCTATAAGTCAAGTTTGATTCCTTAAAGGAAAGCACGTCATTCCAGCCAAAGCCTTGGCAAAATAACTAATTTCTCCAACAGTGTCCTGTTGCAGAAGAAAACATTATTTTGCACTTATACAAATTATATTGCCATAAGTTAAGAATACTCACAAATAGTTTCCAAATTCTGGAGAAAACAGATAGAAACAAATGTGCTCCAAATTTTGTTTACAGAAATATATTTTACTCAATTGCTAAAAGCTGTAAATAGCTCAAAATAAAAGTTTCCAGGACTCTGAAAAACAAAACAATGGATCACCAATATTTTAAGCAAAGTCAAAAAGATTACTTTAGTCTTACATTAGTTCACTCCACGCAGTTATCTCCTGTTCTGCTTGATACTGATGAACATTTCAGCTCTCCATGAGAGTTCTGAAAGTTTTTTCTTTATTCTATTGCCAAAATTTCCAAAGTTATCAGAAACCTGCATTTAAGAGCACCTGTCAATGTCCTAAACCTGATTATAAATCACCTTTCAAAGAGCGTTAAAACAAGACAACAATTGTCTGTGGATGACAAAGAAGTCTTAGGACAGCCACTATTAAAGCTACAATTGACAGATTTTGGTTACTTCTGTTGCATACAATGATTTTACATAACAATTATTACTATTAATAACATACACTAAGTTATATTGGAATTATGGGAGTTTTCCCTTTTTTTGAATCACATACCAATAACATATTTATACAAATACAGCCCAAGGAAAACCAAACACCATTTCATATTTGACAATATTTTCTTTCTTTCCTTTTTTTTTTTTTTTTTGAGATAGAGTATCACTCTTGTTGCCCAGACTGGAGTGCAATGCTGCAATCTCTGCTTACTGCAACCTCCGTCTCCTGGGTTCAAGTGATTCTCCTGCCTCAGCCTCCCGAGTAGCTGGGATTACAGGTGCATGCCACCACGCCTGGCTAATTTTTTTGTATTTTTAGTAGAGACAGGGTTTCACCATGTTGTCCAGGCTGGTCTCTAACTCCTGATCTCAGGTGATCCACCCTCCTTGACCTCCCAAAGTGCTCGGATTACAGGTGTGAGCCACTGCACCCGGCCTGACAATGCTTTCTGACATTTCCTCCTGTTTGATTTTTATACGAAATAAGCCAAATGTCATTTTTGTATTTTAGAGGACCTAATATCTAAAAGATATTTAGGTAAGAAAAATACATAATTTATAATTTGATTTTTTAAAGGTTTGTCAAATATCAAATCCCAGGTTATCATAAGTCACTCACTAACCAAAATGATAACTCAAAAATTTTAAAAAGACAAAAACCTTTACTCACTAATAGAGGGAAGACTTCACTTTCCACACAATCTTTTTTTCCTTTCCTTTTGCTCCAGTTTATTCAAAAGGGCAGACAAAAATATGTCATTTTTAAAATATTACATGAAAATCTTGTTCATGAAGAAAAGCTAAATCTCACCCTTGCATTAATGTACTATTGATGTCAAACCTAATTCTTAATAAAACCTTATAGACAAATCTATCTAGTCTTAATCAGTTTGACAATAAGGTAAGATTCCTATAACCCTTTTATAATACTTTACAATTTTTGTGAAAGAGCAGAGTAGTGCTCTAAGGAAAACCAGTTGTACTTTTATTCCAGTGTTCAATTTATAAAAAACTGAATACCCCTTTAACTTTAGCCAATATGTTAACACACAGAATTTCTTTTACCAGATGTAAATTTTTACGAACTTTTCACAACTTGGTTAATCCTTCAGCTCTGTTTTATCTAATTTAAAACAATCCTTTGACCCTTTAATTTAGGACAAAAGTAATCTACATTCCCATGACTTCTTGTAATCTTTTACTGAAAACACATTTGACTTTTTTTACATACCTAGCATGTAAAACTGTTTTTATTTCCCAATGATTACTAAAGTGATGTAAACTAAAATACACCATGGTTTCTATTTTTCTGATAAAATATTTGATTTGAGCTCTTATTATTTTTAAACCAATTAATCAAATCTCCTTCATATTACACACACAACACATATAAATACACAGCTGGAAGAAGATCAAGTACCTGTAAGATTTTTCATTTGTCAGTTTCTCAATTGGATTACCACCCTGGCTTTAAGATGGATCCATAGGATAAATAGGACCAGGAAAGCAAAAACTAAGCAATTTCAACAGCTTAATAAGTAGGCACAGCTGGAAGGCAAAACAGATTTGCGCCCCCCCCCCCCCACCCCGCAAATTAAGACTCCTATTTTCATACTAGAACCTGGATCCCAAAAAGAGGGAATCAGCCCATCTCCCATTGGCATCTTACCTGTCAGTGGGGGGCGGGGACATTTCCATGCCTTCTAGGTGGCCAAGAGCACACTTCTCTGATTCAAATATGCAAAAAGCCAAGTATCCCCCCATAGCTGCCATTAGCCATCCCTGAATGTATATTTCCTACCTACTTATTACATATCTAAATTTTTTCGTAACGTGAAGTAATTTCTGATACCCCAGAAAGTAAAAACCATCAGATAATGCAAAGCAAAAATGGAACAGAGCCTTAGACTTTGAGAGGGATCTATCCACTTCCAATTCCTGGAGTTTCATGAAGAAAACAGATGTTTTTCCCAAAATGCCTATCGTGGCACCTCCTCTGTTTTTTCTAAGGACTTCTAGCTGTTGGAGCTTGAATATCTGCAATTAATTAAGCTGACTTTTGGGCCAGGTGTTGTGGCTCATGCCTGTAATCCCAGCACTTTGTGAGACCAAGGCAGGCAGATCAATTGAGGTCAGGAATTCAAGACCAGCCTGGCCAACATGGTGAAACCCCGTCTCTACTAAAAGTACAAAAATTAGCCGTGTGTGGTGGTGGGTGTCTGTAATCCCTGCTACTCAGGAGGCTGAGGCAGGGGAATTGCTTGATTCCCGGGAGGTGGAGGTTGCAGTGAGCCAAGATTGCACCATTGCACTCCAGCCTGAGTGACAGACCAAGACTCCATCTCAAAATAAATAAATAAAATAATAATAATAATTAAGCCAGCTTTTAACCATGATGCTCTTTCTGAAAACATGTATTTAATTCTCTCATTGCTTGACTTTAGCCATGCCAAATTGCCAATATTTCTGGCTTTTGAACTTTACTAACATAATGTCACAGGTGAAACAAATAAGCCTTTTTTTGTTTTGTTTGTTTTGTTTTGTTTTGTTTTGTGATGGAGTCTCCCACTGTCGCCCAGGCTGGAGTGCAGTGACCAAACTTGGCTCACTGAAACCTCCACCTCCTGAAACCAATAAGCTTTAACTAAGGTTAAGAACCTAACCACAAGTGTACAAGGTATTTTCAAAAAGGTGGCAAAGCAGTTTTTACAAAATCTAGAATCTTCAAAGGTAGCTCAGAGAAAGGAAAATCCAAAATGTTTCATGGAGGGGAAGAGAATCAACAAATGTTCACACAGATATCAAATCAGAAAGGACTCATCTCCTAAGCTAGAAATTGAACCCTGAACCCAGGCTGCCACTGTGAGACAGCAAAGCCCAACTACTGAGCTACAGCACTGAGCAGTCTCCGTTGGAGTCTCCCAGAAGAAGCCTCCAGCAGCCAATTTTGAGCTTGCAAAGGTTTTTAACTGCTCAAGATCATTTTTAGAGTTAAGTATAACATAAATTTCAAAATTTATGTATGCTGGATGGTAGAAACCAAGAGAAAATACTGCCACATGGCTACAAGGTCAAGCTCCCAAGAACATAAAACAAGAGGGAAACTTCATCCATTGTTTTGTTGTTGTTGTTGTTTGTTTCAGGGACTTCTTTTTTGTTTCTTTGGGAGTATTTTTTTTGAGACTGAGTCTTGCTCTGTGTCCCAGGCTGGAGTGCAGTAGCATGAACTCAGCTCACTGCAACCTCTGCCTCCCAGGTTCAAGCAATTCTCCCTGCCTCAGCCCACTGAGTAGCTGAAACTGCAAGTGTCTGCCACCACCCTGGCTAATTTTTGTATTTTTTGTAGAGACGAGGTTTTGCCATGTTGGCCAGGCTGGTCTTCAACTCATGACCTCAGGTGATCCGCCCACCTCGGCCTCCCAAAGTGCTGAGATTACAGGCGTGAGTCACCATGCCTGGCCTGTTTCAGGGACTTCTGACCAGAAGTTTCAACATGTGATCTCTGCGCAAGATGGTGGCCTAGAGTAACAGAAAAGATAGGAAAGGAAAGAGAGACAGAGAGAGAGAGAGAGAGAGAGATTGCCTATGGCAGGGCAGGAAAGGTGAGGAGCTGAGGAAAGCCAGAGAAAGACCCAAGCATTGCACCGAATCAAAAGTTTAGGTGGCCGCTTGTTGGTTGTGAAAGAATCTTTTTTGCAGTCCCATCTGCTCTCAAGTTTCCCACTTTAGGGAGGAAAAATCTCCACATGTTCCATGATTCTGTACTCACCTAATTCTGTCAGCCACAGCCATTAGCAAAAAGTGCAAGGCAACTTAATACAAAGATAAGGCCTGGTTCGGTGGCTCATGCCTGTAATCCCAGCACTTTGGGAGGCTGAGGCAGGTGGATCAGCTGAGGTCAGGAGTTCGAGACCAGCCTGGCCAACATGGTGAAACCCTGTCTCTACTAAAAATACAAAAATTAGCCAGGTGTGGTGGTGGGCGCCTGTAATCCCAGCTATTTGGGAGGCTGAGGAAGGAGAATCACTTGAACCTGGGAGGTGGAGGTTGCAGTGAGCCAAGATCTCACCACTGCACTCCAGCCTGAGTGACAAGAGTGAGACTCTGTCTCAAAACAAACAAAAAAACAAACAAACACAAAGACAGCAATGGTTAATATTCCATAATGCCAAATCTAATCTTAACTGAGAGGGACTTTACTGAGAGGGGCCTCTAACCCCCTAAATCTTAGGAAAGACTCTAACCTTTCTAAGTTGCACCTCAAACACAAGTTTTTCAAGTGTTCTTGCCTTTTATTAAAAGGGACCTTTTATCTTATCTGTCTTAGGAGACACTCTAACTCCACTAAATTGGGCTACTAACCCGATTCCATTCTTTACCCGGGTATGCCACCACTTACAAAAAGTTAGCCAATTGGTAATTCAGTCTATTTCCTTTGAGCTGCGGGTTTCCTTAGTATCATCCTTTTGTAATTCACTGAAAAGAAGCTTCCAGAAATGGCCCCAGTTCAGAAATGAAGATTGGGTTCTTGGATCTCGTACAAGAAATAATTTAGAACCAGGGGTAGTGGCTTATGCCTGTAATCCCGGCAATTTGGGAGGCAGAGGCGGGAGGATCACTTGAGGTCAGGAGTTCGAGACCAGCCTTGCAACATGGTGAAACCCAATCTCTACTAAAAATAAAAAAATTAGCCAGGCATGGTGGCGCATGCCTGTAATCCCAGCTACTCCAGAGGCTGAGGCAGGAGAATCTCTTGAACTCAGGAGGCAGATGTTGTAGTGAGCCGAGATGGCGCCACTGCACTCCAGCCTGGGTGACAGAGCAGGATGCTGTCTCAAAGACAAAAAAAAAAAAAAAGATAGAAGAAAGAGTTTTGGGTGAGTCTGCAGTACAAAGCAAAAGCAAATTTATTGGGAAAGTAGAGGAATAAAAGAATAGCTACTCTCCAGGCAGAGCAGCAATGTGGGCTGCTCAACTAAGGATACTTAACAGTTACTTCTTGAGTATATGCTAACCAAGGGGTGGATTATTCATGAGTTTTACAAGAAAGACGTGGGCAATTCCCAGAACTGAGTGTTTCTCTTCTTTTTAGACCATGTAAGGTAACTTTCTGATGTTGCCATGGCATTCGTTAACTGTCACGGCGCTGGTGGGAATGTCTTTCACATGCTAATGCATTATAATTAGCGTGTAGTGATTCCTGAGGACAACCAGAGGTCCCTTTCATTCCCACCTTGGTTTCGGTAGATTTTTGTGGCTTCTTTACTGCAAACTGTTTTATCAGCAAGGTCTTTGTAAAATGGATCTTGTTCCAATCTTCTATTTATCCTGTGACTTAGAAAGCCGGGCCTCATGGAAATGCAGTCCTGTAGGTCTCAGCCCCATTTTACCCAGCACCTATTCCAGATGCAGTTTCTCTGCTTCAGACGCCTCTGACATAGCTACAGGGTGCTGGAATGTGGCTAGTGTGAACTTCAGTGTGCTAGAAAGGTAAAATACAAGATTACATTCAGAGATTTAGCTTCAAAAATGTATGTGCTTTATTAACCATTACATAGTAATCACATATTAAAATAATAATATTTTGGATATATTGGGCTGATTAAGTTGTTGCAATCAATTCCACCTGTTATTCCACCTGTTTCTTTCTTTTTTATTTTGAGACAGAGTTTCTCTGTCGCCAGGCTGGGGTGCTGTGGTGTGATCTCGGCTCACTGCAACCTCTGCCTCTTGGGTTCAAGCGATTCTCCTGTCTCAGCCTCCCTAGTAGCTGGGATCACAAATGCCTGTCACCACGCCCAGCTAATTTTTCTACTTTTGGTAGAGCAGGGGTTTCATCATGTAAGCCAGGCTGGTCTCGAACTCCTGACTTCAGGTGGTTCCCCACCTCGGCCTCTCAAAGTGCTGGGATTACAGGCGTGAGCCACTGCGCCCGGCCCCACCTTTTTTTTTTTTTTATTTTTAACATTTGGCTACTAGAAAATTAAAAATTTACATGTGGCTCATATTTTACTGCAGAGGATTGCCTCCCTTCTGAAATCTCAGGCTGTCCGCATGTATTAGTCCATTTTCACACTGCTACAGACAAATAGCTCAAACCGCGTAATTTTTTTTTTAAAGTAAATTGAATCATAGCCCTACATGGCTGCAGAATCCTTGGGAAACTTAAATTCATGACCATGACAGAAGGTGAAGGGAAAGCAAGGCACATCTTACATGGTGGAAAAAGAGAGAGAACCGGGGAGGACGTGCCACATTTTTAAACCGTCAGGTGTCTTGAGAGCTCCCTTACTACTACCAGAACAGCATGAGGATAATCCACACCAATGATCCAATCACCTCCTGCCCGGTCCCTGCCCTGACAAATGGGAATTACAATTTTTTTTTTCTTTCAGAGGAAGTCTCTCTGTGTCACCCAGGCTGCAGTGCAATGGCGCCATCTCGGCTCACTGCAACCTCCACCCCCTGGGTTCAAGCAATTCTCCTGCCTCAGTCTCCCGAGTAGCCGGGACTAACAGGCACGCTGCCACGCCTGGCTAATTTTTGTATTTTTAGTATTGACGGGGTTTCACCGTATTTGCCAGGCCTGTCTCGAACTCCTGAACTAGTGACCTGCCCGCCTCGGCCTCCCAAAGTGCTGGGATTATAGGTGTGAGCCACCGCACATGGACGGGAATTACAATTTGAGATTAGATTTGGGTGGAGCCAGAAAGTCACACCATATCACTGCAAAGGATCCGCAGCAAGGAAGGGCATAAAATCCTAAATTTTAAAATAATTGTCATTATTTCAATTTATGAATAAATATTATATATCATTTATAAATGCATATCACATTATACACAAGGTTAAATGCAAATATCCTCTGAAGTTGGCCTGGCTCAGATCAAGGAAGAAGCCCTGCCTGTGAAGGCTGCAGCCTAGGCTGTTATTTTTGCTTCGCTCAGCCCAGTGTCTGATCAAATATTCCCTCACTCAGGGCATGAAGGCTGGGGCCTGAAACCTTATCCAATCAGGAGCCGTGGTCTAGAAACTGTCCAATCAGGCATGCAGCTGGAAAGAACAGGCTACTTCCGTAATTTTGCGGGTCCTTTGTGTTTTTCTGCGTCCAGAGCTGCAGTTCTTCTCTTCACTGCTCTGTGTCCTCTGCTCCTAGAGGCCAAGCCTATGTGTCCTTGTGTCCTGCAGGTATCTGCAGATTTATGGCTAAAAGACCGGGACCCCCTGGAAGCCGGGAAATGGTGAGTGCTGGGTCTGTCATCGTGAGAGAGGGGTGGGGGCTGGTTGGAACCGGCAGAAAGTGGCTGTAGCAGGTCCCAGACTTTCTCGCAGTCAGCTCCAGAGCCTGACGACCCAAATCGTCTTTGGCCCAGCTCGGCTCTCGTCCCCTCCAGCCGCAAGATGGTGCCTGGGCCAGCGCCTGGGACCCTGGGATTTCTGTCTTTTTCCTCTGCAGTGGCTTTACCCTGGACTGGAGGCCTCTCTGGTTTGCTCTGCACTCCCAGCGCCTCATCTCACCCAGATTGTACAGGGATGGGAAAGTCATCAGGGGAGAATCCTGACTCAGGGTGCAAGATTCATGAGTGGAAAGAGCTGTGGTCCTGGGGTCCTTAGTTCCTCATTTTTCCTTTTAGAGATGTACGGGAGTCACTCTAAAAATGAGAATCTGATCAAAGTGTGATTCAAGAATCATAGAGTGCCCAGCTATGGTTTGTGGGTTGTGATCCATGGGAGAGACTTGAAGAAAAGTCTGTTATAAGTTTCATGACGAAGCAAACCAGATTCAATAATTGGTTTGGTACAGTTATGTAGTTTATTTGTGAGATCCAGGTAAAAATTTCTTGGTTATGTCATCAGAGATTAATTGGCAGGCTGTGGTTGCCTAGGCTTGAATATTTTCTTCAAGATAGTAATTTCCAAGAAATGCTTTTTTTTTTTTTTTTTTTTGAGAGGGAGTCTCGCTCTGTCCTCCAGGCTGGAGTGCAGTGGTGCGATCTCACCTCATTACAACCTCCGCCTCCCAGGTTCAAGTAATTGTCCTGCCTTAGCCTCCCGAGTGGCTGGAATTACAGGTGTGTGCCACCAGGCCCAACTAATTTTTGTATTTGTAGTAGAGACGGGATTTCACCATGTTGGCCAGGTTGGTCTCCAACTTTTGGCCTCAGGTGATCTGCCTGCCTCAGCCTCCCAATGGGCTGGGGTTACAGGTGTGAGCCACCGCACCCAGCCGATTTTTTTTTTTTTTTACCTTTTATTTTAGGTTCAGGGGTACATGTGCAGGTTTGTTGTATAGGTAAAATCATATCATGAAGTTTTTGTGTACAGATTATTTTATCACTCAGGTACTAAGCATAGTACCCAACAGATTTGTTTTCTGATTTTCTTCATCCTCTGATCCTCTACCCTGAACTGAGCCTCAGTGTCTGTTGTTCTCTTATTTGTGTCCACGTGTTCTCATTATTTTGCTCCCACTTATAAGTGACAACATACAGTTTTTTATTTTCTGTTCCTGCACTAGTTTTCTAAAAATAACGGTCTCTAGTTCCATCGACGTTGCTGCAAAGTACATGATGTTGTTCTTTCTTATAGTTGCATCCTATTTCATGGTGTTTACATACCACATTTTCCTTATCCAGTCTACCATTGAAGACATACAGGATTATTTCTTGTTTTTGCTATTGTGAATCGTGCTGTAATAAACATACGCGTGCATGTGTGTTCATGGTAGAAAAACTTACATTCACTGGGTATATTCCCAATTGCGGGATTGGGAATGGTAATTCTGTTTTCAGGTTTTTGAAAAAATGCCAAGCTGCTTTTCTCAATGGTTAAATAAATTTATACTTTCACCAGCAGCATATAAGCATTCAATTTCTCCACAACCTCACAAGCATCTGTTTTTGTTTTTGTTTTTACTTTTTATTCTAATTGTTTTTATTTGAATTATTTCTTTTTTTCCCATCAGTCTAGTGTTTTATCTATCTTATTATGTTTACATTGAATCAACTTCTGGTTCCTTTGAATTTTTTTTTTAAGACAGAGTTTCACTCTTACACGCAGGCTGGAGTGCAGTGGTGCGGTCTCAGCTCACTGCAACCTCTGCCTTCCAGTTTCAAGCAATTCTCCTGCCTCAGCCTCCCGAGTAGCTGGGATTACAGGCATGTGCCACCACGGCCAGCTAATTTTTGTGTTTTTAGTAGAGATGGGCTTTCACCATGTTGGCTAGGCTGGTCTCAAACTCCTGAACTCGTGATCTTCCCGCCCTGGCCTCCCAAAGTGCTGGGATTACAGGAGCGAGCCACAGCACATGCGTGGCCCATTGAACTTTTTATAGTTATTTATGTCTCAAACTTCTTCATTTTGGCTCTGATTTTGGTTATTTCTTGACTTTTGTGAGCTGTGAAGTTGGTTTGCTCTTACTTTTGAAATTCTTTTAATTGTAACATTAGATTTTTAAATTGAGATCTTTCTAACTTTTTGATATGGATGTTTAGTGATATGCATTTTATTCTTAACACTGCCTTAGCTCTAACCCTGAGATTCTGGTATGTTGTATTTCGGTTGTAATTAGTTTCAAAAATTTTATTTCTGCCTTAATTTCATTATTTCCAAAATAGCCATTTGGAAGCTGATTATTCCATTTTTATGTAAATGCATCCTTTCACATGTTTTTTTTGTATTGAATTATTCTATACATTTTCTTTTTAAAATTAATGAGAAAGATAAGAAGAAATAAAAATGCTGTGCTCTTAATCTAAATGCTAAAAATTATTCAGCACTTAGTACCAACTCCCAGGGTGCTATGAAAATTAAATCACAAAATGTGTTATTCCCAGCGCAGTGTTCTGTGACATGCTCCTGAGCACACAGTACCTGCTTAGTAAACGTTTTATTAGTACATGTGTACAGGTTTCCCAGGTGCAGATTCACTCAGACGTTGCTGTCTTCTGTTGTCCCTGTAAACTTAAAAAAGCCAACAAAAATATAGCATTTCAGGGTGGAAATTGGTTGTTTTTATTTGTAGCAGAAGTATTAGTATTGTGACAAATGTGGTGTGTGTAAGGGACTCTGCTGTGCCTGCTTTCTCTTGCTAATGCTAATAATGTGTCTGGGAAAGCACAATCAGCATTTACAGGGGACTTGTTGTAAAAGCCCATTCCTGGACCCTTTTGGATCCTGCAGAATCACGTTGCATAGAGCGGGGCCAAGATTACCAAGTGATTTATAAACTTGAGGGGTTCAAGATACATTCAGGAGAGTTTAGTTCAACCTTTGCCTCAAAGGAAGGCTGCACTGCCTGCCCTGTTTCAGTTTGGTAGGAAGAGGTCAGTGCGGTTCATGTTCCCATTACTCTAAAGAAAATTGCTGGTTTCTGATAGGGGAGGGCAGAGACAAAGAAACTTATATTTTAATAGCTGTGGAGAAGCTCATTGTTCTCTCATTGCTCTTAAATCTTTTCAGTTATAAACAACAAAAATGGGTGAATGTTTTCTGCAAGTCTCGGTCTTCCGCCCGTGGGTGTGTGTGGTGGTAGCAGGTGAATAGGTTGCACTTTAAAGTCATATTCTCAAGATGCAGGTTTGATATGTCCAGAGCATCTTATCTGAAAATACATTTCAGAGAAAGAGGAGGAAAAGAAACAAATCACTTTTTCTCAGGTGAGCATGTCTCAGATCAAGCGCAGTGTCCACTCTGCCTTTTGGAATGCCTTGTGTTCAGAACTTGCAAAGTTTTACTTCTCTACTCGTGCTGTTGATCCCTAATGAGTTTGTTTCAACTATTTTTTGTGATTTTTATGATAGTCAAGGGGTTCTGAAAAAAATATTTGTTTTCTCTATGCCATAGCATTCTATACATTTCTCTTCATCTTGGATTCTTGTATATCATGCAGAATTCTTACCACAAATTTATGACCTACGATATATAAAATGTTCCCATTGTAGCTGTTGAACATTAGAAGGTGTGGATACTCAAGATTTCTATTGGGGAAACACCGTTGTCTTTGGAGATTAGTGAAAAGTGAAACATGTTATATTGAGGTTTCATCTGTGTGCTCTATTAGTTCCATGCAGAACAGCGTTTAGAAAATGCTCATTTAAACAGGGTGGCATTTATTATACAGAAAGTTCTGAAAAAACTGTTAGGAGATACTTGCTTTCCAGGGTGCTAAGGAAAGACTCCTTAAAATTACTAATAAAAATTGCAGAACAGGGAAGTTATCTGCACCTTCAACTTTGCATAAAACTGATGTTTCTTTATGATTAAATTTAGGCCAGGCGCAATGGCTTTGGCTTGTAATGCCAGCACATTGGGAGGCCGAGGCAGGCGGATCACGTGAGGTCAGGAGTTCAAGGCCAGCCTGACCAACATGGTGGAACACCATCTCTACTAAAAAAAAAAAAAATTAGCCAGGCATGGTGCATGCACCTGTAATCCCAGCTACTTGGGAGGTTGAGGCAGGAGAATTGCTTGAACTCAGGAAGTTGAGGTTGCAGTGAGATGAGATGGCACCACTGCACTCCAGCCTGGGTGACACAGCGAGACTCTGTCTCAAAAAAAAAAAAAAAAAAAAAAAAAAAAAAAAAATATATATATATATATATATATATATATATATATATATATATAAATAATAAAATTAAATGTAGATTATAATTTACTTTTCTGAGAGGAGAGAAATGCCACAGCAGTGATGCTGTGTTGTGTGTGCATCAGCACATAATAAAAATGTGTCCTAATAAAGTTGATAACAATTTTATTCACTTGGTTCAAGATCTCTATGACATTTTTTTCCACTCTAGAGTTAATTCTTATTCTCTTAATTATTAAGGACACTTAGGAGATTTACTAGCTGAAGTGCATAAACCGTTGCATTTAATCTGGAAGCTGTCCTTTCCTTTTAGATGACTTTTGCTTATATTTGTCTTTTAAAAATGAAGGCTCTTATCTTTATTTACAGGTGAGAGAAACTGGGAAAAACCCAAACTCTGCCATTTACTGGATATTTGACAAAATATTCTTACTAGGCTAGAAACATTGGTGAGCTTGCTAAAAATTCAGAAATTCAGACTTCCTCCGAAATCTCCTGAAACAAAATCTCACAAGATCTTTAGTTATTGCACATACTAAGACTTGAGAGGTATCTTCCAATTCATCATGACTCTTCTATCTGAGAAATATACACAACTTATTCTATATGATGTAAATATAGCACTCAAAAATGGACATGTCCGGCCAGGTGCAGTGGCTCATGCCTACCATTCCAGCACTTTGGGAGGCTGAGGTGGGTGGATCACCTGAGGTGAGGAGTGCAAGACCTGCCAGGTCCACATGGAGAAACCCCGTCTCTACTAAAAATACAAAAATTAGCCAGTCATGGTGGCTCATGCCTGTAGTCCCAGCTACTCAGGGGGCTGAGGCAGGAGAATCGATTGAACCCGGGAGGTGGAGGTTGCACTGAGCCAAGATCATACCACTGCACTCCAGCTTGGGCAACAGAGTGAGACTCGGTCTCAAACAAAAAGAAGAAAAGAAAAAGACATGTCCATGTTGATGCCCTTAATTTTATAATGTATCATCCAGAAAAGTATCAAATCTACAGTGGTATTGTGGATCTTATGCTATCCTCTTTTCTCAGAGTTAGAGAATACTTCAGTGTTAAAAATTATCTTATTGAATAATTTTAGTCACTCTTGTAAGTGAGAACCACTTCTTTTTACTCTCTTTTTTAACTTGAGTCAAATAAAAATCTCTGCCTATGGCCATGTGGTAAGTGCTTGTGTGTTCATGAGTGGTTTTGTTTGTTTGTTTGTTTTCCAGGGACTGTTGACATTCAGAGACATAGCTATAGAATTCTCTCTGGAGGAATGGCAATGCCTGGATTGTGCTCAGCGGAATTTATATAGAGATGTGATGTTAGAGAACTACAGAAACTTGGTCTCCCTGGGTGAGGATAACTTCAATACATAATTCCTAATATATTGCTTTTCTCTTTTCTAAGATGTTTTTGGTAATTTCTGCTTTGCATGAATGAATTCTAGATCTCCAATTTTAAGAAAATCTTGGGGATTCATTGCTGTAGAACAAATTCTTCAAGATGTTTTATCTTGACCAGAACTTTTGCCTTTCCTGAGCTTATGTATCTTTTGCTCTAGGTTAGTGGGAATTCCAAAAATGCCATGGCATAAAAGATCGTTGCCCACACATTAGAATTCAGTTGCTGCCACCAATTTTTGATTCAGTAGTACTGAGTAGTGAAATTAAGGACCTACAAATTTAAAATATTTTCTGAATATTTAGAAAGTTCTATTATGAATCAATATTAATTTTCTAGAATTTTCTATTATATCCTCTAAGCATAATACTAATTTGGTAATTAAAGAATTCAGCATGATCTATGTTACTTTTTTTTCTTAATAAAACAGGTATTGCTGTCTCTAAGCCAGACTTGATCACCTGTCTGGAGCAAAATAAAGAGTCCCAGAATATAAAGAGAAATGAGATGGTAGCCAAACGCCCAGGTAGGTGAGAGCAAATGAAGCAGATGAGACAGATGAGAGGTACACAAATCAAGGAGGCAGCCAGTCCTTAAAATGTGGTCTGGGGAGCTGTCCTTTGATGAAAAGAGTTTCTGAGAAGCTCAAGTCATTTTTTCCTTTTGCTCTCACATAGGGACACCTCCTGCCTCATGCTGTTAAAGTCTCTAAGGATTCCACTTCTGCTTCAATAATCTTTCTTCAGGTTCACAGTGTGAGCCAAAGTTTTCTTTAAAGGTTATCAGGGACTGCGCAAACTGACTGCTTTGCCATTGCTTTTGGGGACACACTAATATCTGCATATTTTTGGAAAACTCTAAACCATTAAAATTTTTTTTTTGCATCATGTCTAAGATGTGTGAGAATAGTAGTTTCTCTTTCATTGGTGGTCATCCATTTTTCTGCACATGCCATTCTGTTTTTATTACTATAGCCTTGAAATATATTTTAAAGTTTTTACAAATTTTTTACAAATTGTTTAATTTTTTATATGTATTTATTTATTTAGAGGCTTGGTTATCCCCCCACTTGCTGTGGGGGGATATGCAAGCAGGGTACCTTTTATGCCTTCATTTTACTGTGTTGCATATTTTAGATATAGACTCATAAATGGTATTGCTGTATTATATAATAATTTCATTTTAGATTATTTAAAGAATGCTTATGATGTTTTTATGATGGCTGTATCTTTTTTCTCATAAAAAACAACTTACATAGGTTTCAATTTCTTTACATCGTCAACAGTTGGTGTTTTAAAAAAATTTATAGTGGCCATCCTAATTGATGTAAGGTGATTTTGTTTTGTGATTATGTTTTGCATTTTTCTATAAATTATTAATTTTGTGCAACCTTTCAAATGCTTCTTCCCCTTTGTATATCTTTTTTATTAAAATTTAGTTTAATCATTTTTCCATTTCTTTCTTTTTTGAGACGGAGTTTCACTCTTGTTTCCTAGGCAACAAGAGCAATGGCACGATTTCAGCTCACAGCAACCTCTGCCTCCTGGATTCAAATGTTTCTCCTGCCTCAGCCCCCTGAGTAGCTGGGATCAGGGATGTGCCACCACACCCAGCTAATTTTGTATTTATAGTAGGGATGGGTTTCGCCATGTTGGTCAGGCTGGTCTCGAATTCCTGACCTCAGGTGATCTGCCCACCTCAGCCTCCCAAAGTTCTGGGATCACACGTGTGAGCCACCGCACCTGGCTCATTTGTCCATTTCTAAATCAAGTAATTCAATTATTGTTGTCTAGTTCTAGGAGTAGTTTATGTATTCTCAATATTAAGTCTTATCACATGTGATTTTCAAATATTGTCACCGATTTCTTGGGAGACACTGTCACTCTATTAAATGTTTTATTTGATTGCAGAAATTTTGAAGTTTAGCCCAATTAAATTTTTCTGTTCTCCTCTTTGTTGCGCATGCATTTGATGGCATATCTAAGAAAATGTGCCAAGACCAATGTCATGTCTTTGCACTATACTTTTTTTCTAAGAGTTTCATTAGGTTTTTCTTAGTCTAAGTACTTTGTTTAAAATATTTTTTGTATGTGATGCAATTAAACCATTCAACTTCATTTTTTTCAATGTAGATGTCCAGTTTTCAACATCATCTGTTGAAGGGATTATATTTTCTCCATTGTCTGCTCATGGCAACCTTGAGGCAGATTATTTGGTCATACACAGAAGAGTTCATTGCTGGGCTTTCTATTTTGTTCTATCATGTCTTTATCTGTCTTTTTGTGAATACCACATAGTTATTGTTATTGCAGCTTTTTATTATGTTTTGAAATTATGAAGTATAGTGCCTCTGTGTTTTTCATGTGTGTTTCTCTAGATTTGGTTCATAATAAAATTTAAAAATTTTAAACAATATTTCAGGAATAAATATACTTTTGGAATTTTGATACAGATTATATTAAATTTGTTCACCACTGTGGGTCTTAACAAATTAAGTCATCACTTAAATATGTTGGCCCTTGAGAAAAAATATTAAATTAATTTAAATTATTTGACCCTGTGCAAGAATACAGTGAAGAGTGTGTTTATTTCCATGTATTTTTGATTTGCCAGTATTACTTTTTTTCTTTTTAGTTTTATTCAGTTTGGGTTAGAAAACATATACTGTATGATTTTGCTCTTCTTATTTTTTTTTTGACTCAGAGTTTCTCACTCTGTTTCCCAGACTGTAGTGCAGTAGCACAATCTTGGCTCACTGCAGCCTCAACCTCTTGAACTCAAGTAATCCTTTCACCTTGGCCTACTGAGCGGCTGGCATTGGAGGCATACCCCACAATGCTCAGCTAATTTTGAATTATTTGTAGAGACAGGGTCTCACTGTGTTCCCAAGGCTAGTATCAAACTTCTTGCCCCAAGTGATTCTTCCACCTTGGCCTCCCAAACTGCTGGGATTACACCTGTGAGCCACTGCACCTGGCTGATCTTTTGAAATTTACCAAGACTTATGTGTTCTAACAGAATGCACCAGGTGCAAATAAGAATATTGTGTATCTACTTGCTTTTGACTGGAGAGTTCTGTACATGTCTGTTTAGCCTATTTGGTTTGTGATATGGTGTAGATGCCCTCCAAATGGCATGTTGAAATGTAATCTCCACTGTTGGATGTGGGGCCTAATGAGAGCTGTTTGCATCATGGAGACAAATCCCTCATGAATGACTTGGCACAATCATAGAGTTCTCACGCTATTAATTCACATGAGAGCTGGTTGCTTAAAGGAACCTGGCTCCTGCACCTCACACTCACATCGTCTTTCACCATGTGACATGTTTGGTTCTTCTTTGCCTTCCACTATAATTGTAAGCTTCCTCATATCCTCACCAGAAGCAGATGCTGGCATATACTTCTTGTGCAGTCTACTGAACTGTGAATCAAAAAATCTTTTTCTTTATGAATTACCCAGTCTGAGGTTATTTTCTATAGCAATGCAAAATAAATTCATACACAATATAATATTCTTCAGGTTTTCAGTTTTTTTAATTGATCTTTTATTTAAATTTTTTATTTATTATTGAAAAGGAGGTCTTAATGTTTATAATTTTGTGTTGCTATTTTATTTCTTGCTTCATTTCTGTCAATATTTGCTTTATATGTTTTGAAGCCCTGATGTTATATATGCATATACATGTAGATAGACATAATAATTATAGATTCCTAGTAAATGGACTCATTTTACCATTATATAATATCAATCTTTGTCTCATGCTAGTAATTGACTCATTTGCTTTCGTGTGTCTATAAAGATTTTTTCTTTGTGCTACATTGGAGATTCTGTAAAACATCTTAAATGTTACAACAGTATATTTTAAACTGGTAAAAAAAAATGACTTCAGTTGCATAGAAAAATTTGTCCTCATTATATCTACCCTATACTTCTTATTGATGTTGCTAATTATATCTTTTTATGTTTTATGTTTTTTATGCTTATATTTTTCAAATTTTAAAGAATAACTAAAAGTATTTTCTGCACCACCACAATAATGCCACAGAATTTTACTTTTTGTATATGCATATGTTTTTCAGAAAGTTATGTATTTTCATATGATTACATATATTTTTCATCATGTTGTTTTAAGTGGAAAGACCTCTTTTCAGCATTTTATGTAGGGCACATACAATGATTATGTGCTTTTCCAGCATTTATTCATTCTGGAAGAGTTTTATTTTTCTTTATGTTGTAGTACATTTTTCTGGTTTTATTATTCTCACCATGAAAATTTTTTTCAGCCTTTGACCATTTTACACAGTTCTTTTCTGACCTGCAAGGTTTCTGTTTACAAATTCACTGGTTGTCTCAGAGGACTATGCTTATAAATAATACTTCACTTTTATCTTGCAGCTCCCAAGATTATCTTCTGGTTTGTGACTTTTGAAACTTTGCTTAAATTTGTGTTGCGGATCTTTTTGTGTATATCCTAGTTTGTTTGTTTAGCTTCTTCATTTTTTACGTACTTTTTTCTTACTTTTAAATTTTTTCAGTTATTCTTTTTTACCTCCACCTTGTTTATTTTTATTATTGCAAGTTTTGTTGGTATTCTTATTTTTCTTATTTTATTTAGGTGTCTGGTTTTCCATTTTTCTCATTGAGCATAATATGGATTATCTTAAATTTTAAAAATCAAGATGTACATCTTTATTTTTATAGTTGCTTTTTCAAAATTTTTGATTTTTTTGATTGGACCATGTTGTCCTCATGTTTTATATACATTGTAATCTTTGTTGGAGATTTAGACACTAACATAAAACTACCTTTCATGATCTTTATAATGCAGCTCCTTCCTCTCATAGCATGACACCAATTGTCTTTGGTAGAGATTCTGGGATTCTCACAAACATGTTCTCAGGATGTGTTTTGTCTGCAATTTGTATTTATTTTTCAATTAAAAGACTTCTTCATATTTCTTCTTAGTGGTCAGTAACTACGTTCTACACCTATCTTCTACCCATCATACTGCAGTCTTTCTGCGGTTGTAACATTCACTTTTGAGCTCAGAAGACTTAAAGCTGTTATTAAAGGCACTATGTTCTTCTACTGGGCATGAGGAAGGGCTGTGTTGGGTAAATGTAGCAGACCTTTCTTTTCTCTCTATATGGCTCTGGACATCGTGCTCACATGGTGCACACACTTACTTTATTTATAAATTTCCAACAAAGGTATTTTGATCACTATGATTTTGTTACATTTATACATCTATGAAGGAATTATGGCCTGTGGTATTTTGATATGGCATTTTGCTAATGTACCTTGTGTAATTTTATATATTTCATGTGTAGAATACATTTATATGAGTCCAGAAAGTGGAGTAACTTGTGCTTTTTGTGTCTTTCAGTTACGCGTTCCCATTTCACCCAAGACCTTCAGCCAGAGCAGGGCATCAAAGATTCACTCCAAAAAGTAATACCAAGAACATATGGAAAATGTGGACATGAGAAATTACAATTTAAAAAATGCTGTAAAAGTGTGGGTGAATGTGAGGTGCCCAAAGAGGTTATAGTGAAGTTAACCAATGTTTGTCAACTACCCAAAACAAAATATTTCAGACTCATAAATATGTCAAAGTCTTTGGTAAATTTTCAAATTCCAATAGAGATAAAACAAGATATACTGGAAAGAAACATTTCAAATGTAACAAATATGGCAAATCATTTTGCATGCTTTCACACCTAAATCAACATCAGGTAATTCATACTAGGGAGAAGTCCTACAAATGCAAAGAATGTGGCAAATCCTTTAACTGCTCCTCAAACCATACTACACATAAAATAATTCATACTGGAGAGAAACCATATAGATGTGAGGAATGTGGCAAAGCCTTTAGCTGGTCCGCAAACCTCACTAGACATAAGAGAACTCATACTGGAGAGAAACCCTACACATGTGAAGAATGTGGCCAAGCCTTTAGGCGCTCCTCAGCACTTACTAACCACAAGAGAATTCATACTGGAGGGAGACCCTACAAATGTGAAGAATGTGGCAAAGCCTTTAGCGTATCCTCAACCCTCACTGACCACAAGAGAATTCATACTGGAGAGAAACCCTGCAGGTGTGAGGAATGTGGCAAAGCCTTTAGCTGGTCCTCAAACCTTAGTAGACATAAGAGAATTCATACTAGAGAGAAACCCTATGCCTGTGAAGAATGTGGCCAAGCCTTTAGCTTATCCTCGAACCTTACTAGACATAAGAGAATTCATACTGGAGAGAAACCCTACACATGTGAAGAATGTGGCCAAGACTTTAGGCGCTCCTCAGCACTTACTATCCACAAGAGAATTCATACTGGAGAGAGACCCTACAAATGTGAAGAGTGTGGCAAAGTCTTTAGCTTATCCTCAACCCTCACTGACCACAAGAGAATTCATACTGGAGAGAGACCCTACAAATGTGAAGAATGTGGCAAAGCCTTTAGCTTATCCTCAACCCTCACTGACCACAAGAGAATTCACACTGGAGAGAGACCCTACACATGTGAAGAATGTGGCAAAGCCTTTAATTGCTCCTCAACCCTTATGCAACATAAGAGAATTCATACTGGAGAGAAACCCTACAAATGTGAAGAATGTGACCAAGCTTATAAGTGGCATTCAAGTCTTGCTAAACATAAGATAATTCACACTGGAGAGAAACCCTACAAATGTGAATAATGTGGCAAAGTCCACCCTCAGGCCTTATAATACATAAAATAATTTACACTGGAAAAAAACACTGCAAATGTAGAGAATGTGGCCAAGCCTTTAACCAGTTCCAAACCTTAATTGAACGTAAGAGAATTCATATTGGACAGAAATTTTATAAATGTGAAAAAATGTAACAAAGCCTTTAACCAACCCTCAAACCTTAATAAACCTAAGAGAATTTATTTTAAAAAAATTTTTTTGAGTTGGAGCCTCCCTGTGTCACCCAGGCTGGAGTGCAGTGGCATGATCTCAGCTCACTGTAACCTCTGCCTTCCGGGTTCAAGCGATTCTCCTGCCTCAGCCTCCTGAGTAGCTGGGATTACAGGCGTGTGCCACCACACTGGCTGATTTGTGTATTTTTAGTAGAGATAGAGTTTCACCATGTTGGCCAGGCTGGTCTTGAACTCCTGACCTCAGGTGATCCACCTTTGTCAGCCTCCCAAAGCCTAAGAGAACTTATATTACAGAGACCCTAGAAACAAAAAAAAAGTGACAAAACCTTTAAGCACATCTCAGGCCTTACATAATATCTGATCATTCATTCTAGAGAGAAACTCTACAAAAGCAAAGAATGTGGTAAAGCTGTTAACTAGTCTTGAACCCTTATTATACATAAGAGAATTAATACTGAAGAGAAACCCTGCAATAAGCAATATGGTAATGTCTTTAAAAAGTCCTCAAACCTGAATAAATGTAAGATAATTGATATTGGAGAGAAACGCTGCAATTGTAGAAAAAAATGTGGCAAACCCTTTAACTGGTTCTCCATGCTTATTCACTGAAAAATTTTATACTGGAGAGAAATTCTGCTTACATAAAACTGTGACAGAGCATTTAAGCACACCTCAAACTTTTCTAAAAAAGAGAAATCATACTGGTGAGAGACTCTAGAAATGTGTTAAAGGTGGCAAGGACTTTAAATGGTAGTCACACGTTATGGTAGGTAAGATAGTTTATACTGAAGAAGACTCCTACAAATATGAAGAATGTGGCAAAACTTTTAACAAATTCTCACACCTTACGGTACAGGAAAGCATTTATACTAGAGAAAAATTGTACAAATACAAAGAATGTGAAAAGCCATTAATATCAGGTCACATCTTACTCAATATCAGAAAGTTTATACTTAATAAAGGGATTATAGGTCAGGTGTGTTGGCTCATGCCTATAATTCCAGCACTTTGGGAGGCCAAGGTCGGTGGATCATGAGGTCAGGAGTTCAAGACCAGCCTGGCCAACATGGTGAAACCCCATCTCTACTAAAAATACAAAAAATTAGCTGGGCGTGGTGGTACGTGCCTGTATTCCCAGTGACTAGGGAGGCTGGGGCAGGAGAATCGCTTGGTCCTGGGAGGCAGAGGTTGCAGTGAGCCAAGGTGGCAGACAGGCAGAGGTTGCAGTGAGCCAAGGTGGAAGACCTGCACTCCAGCCAGGATGACAGAACAAGACACCATTAAAAAAAAAAAGTATATATATATATACACATATATATGTGAAAGTTATGTAGCAAGTGAGTGTGTTTGTGTGTGAGTTTGTATGCATTTTCAGAACAGAAGAACAATATTGAAACAAAATATTATTTTAATAAGGTGGATAATTAAAGAGAAACCTGGAAACCTCAGAGATTCTCAAAAAAATCTATATTCTGTGACTTGTATTGAATTCGTTACTGTAAAATTTTATCCCACCCAAATCTTATCTCAAATTGTAATCCCCATGTTTCAAGGGAGGGACTTGGTGGGAGGTGATTGGAATATGGGGGTAATTTTCCCCCATGCTGTTCTCATGATAGTAAGTGAGTTCTCAAAGGATCTGGTGGTTGTATAAGTGGTATTTATTTCTGCTCTGCCTCTCTCTTGCTGCCTAGTAAAGAAGGTACTTGCTTCTTCTTTGCCTTCCACCATAACTGTAGGTTTCCTGAGACCTCCCCAGCAATGCAGAATTGTGAGTAAATTAAACTTCCTTTCTGTATAAATTACCCATTCTCTGGTAGTAACTTTATAGTAGTGTGAAAACAAACTAATACAGAAAATTAATACAGGTAGTTTGGGGCACTGCTATAAAGATAGTTGAAAATGTGGAAGTGACTTTGGAACTGGGTAATAGGCAGAGGTTGAAACAGTTTAGAGAACTCAGAAAAAAATAGAAAAATATGGGAAAGTTTGGAACTTCCTAGAGACTTGTTGAATGCTTTTGACCCAAATGCTAATAGTGATGTAGATGATAAAGTCCAGGCTGAGGTTGTCTCAGATGGAGATGAGAAACTTATTTTTAAAATGGAAGCAGAACATAAAAGTTTGGAAACTTTGCACCTGACCATGAGGTAGAATATAAAACCCCATTTTTTAGAAAGAAAATCAAGCCACTGCAGAAATTTACAAAAGTAAAGAGAAGCTGAATGTTAATAGCCAAGACAATGGGGAAAATGTCTTCAGGTCATGTCAAAGATCTGAGACAGGTTCTTCTATCACAGGCCAGGAACCCTAGGAGGAAAAAATGGTTTCATGGTCGAGGCCCAGGGAGGGCCCCACTGCTTTATGAAGCCTTGGGGCTGGGTGCCCTGCATCCCAGCTGCTCCAGATCCAACTGTGGCTAAAAGGGGCCAAAGTACAGCTTGGGTTGTTTCTTCAGAAAGTGGAATCCTCAAGCCTTGGTGGCTTCCATGTGGTACTGGCCATGCATGTGCACAGAAGACAAGAGTTGAGCTCTAGAAACCTCTGCCTAGATTTCAGAGGATGTATAAAAATGCCTGGATATTCAGGCAGAAGTCTTCCACAGGGTCAGAGCCCTCATGGATAACCTGTGCTAGGGCAATGCAGAAGGGAAATGTGGGGTTGGAGCCCTCATGCAGAGTCCCCACTGAAGCTGCCTACTGGAGTTGTGAGAAGGCCACTATACTCCAGACCCCTAAATAACAGATTCACCATGAGCTTGCACCGTGCACCTAGAAAAGCCACAGGCACACAATCCAGTCCATAAAGGAGCTTCCCAAGGCCAGGAGGGCCCACCCATTGCATCAGCATGGCCCACATGTGAGACATGGAGTCAAATGAGAACATCTCAGAGCTTTAAGACTTAATGACTGCCCCATTGGAATTCAAACTTGCATGGGGCCTGTAGCTCTTTGGTTTTGGCCAATTTCTCCCATTTGTAGTGGGAGAATTTATCTAATGCCTGTACCTCCATTGTATCTTGGAAGTTACTAACTTGCTTTTGATTTACAGGCTCATAGGTAGCAGGGATTTGCCTTGTCTCAGATGAGACTTTGGACTTAGACTTTTGGGTTAATGCTAACTTAAGACTTGGGGGACTGTTGGGAAAGCATGTTTGGTTTTGAAATATAAAAAGGGCATGAGATTTGGAAGAGGCCAGAGGCAGAATGATACTCATGCTGTTCTTGTGATAGTGAGTGAGTTCTCATGAGTTTGGATGGTTTTATAAGTGGTAATTTTTCCTGCTCTCCGTCACCTAGTGAAAAGGATACCTGCTTCTCCTTCACCTTCTCCCATTATCGTAAGGTTCTTGAGGCCTCCCAAGCCATGCTGAACTGTGAGTCAAATAAACCTCTTTCCTTTATAATTTACCTAGTCTTTGGTGTGTTCTTCAGCAGTGTGAGAATGCACTAATAGACAAAGTAACTTAATAACAAAGGTGTCACTATTATCCTCAATTTACAAAAAAAAAAAAAGAAAAGAGCCAGAGAGAGAAATAACTTGCTCACAATAGCAGAGCCAGTATTAAAACAGTATCAACTTTAACTCCAGAGATAATACTCTTGAATAAAACAATAAAAACACTTTCAAACAGAAAAGAAATTACTTTTAACATCCATTCTTAAAAATTTAACAAAAATGAAAATGGATACATTTGTATTGCTATATATTTGTATATATGTGAATGTATATTACAAATAAGAAATACTTCATATAAGCCAGAAAAAGATAATTATTTTAATGAATACAATGGAAAAGCAGTTCAATTAATTATTATTTGCAGATGATATCTTTGTTTACTTAGAAAGACAGCAAAAGCAACTGAAAGGTGATTTTAGAAATCTATTCAGGTGGGTAGGGAAAATTCTCAGATGACCCTCAGGTTCCCACTTCAGTGCACACCTGCTGTGTAATCCTTTTCTCTTGAGCATCACAAAATGTGTGTGACTGTGGCAAAACAGTATTCACGTATTTATATTACTAATGTATTGGCTTCCTTTTTATCATACAAGTGATTATCTTGATTAGGCTAAACTTAATCAGAGGTGCTTTAAGAGAAAGAGCACATCATAGAAAAATATCCCTGCTTCCCTGAAATTAATCAAACTTCTTGGTAAGCAATGTCGTAAAGTGTTTATGGTGGCCAGATGGCAAGGTATATATTTGTATATTGTCTACATTTCTGCGTTCAACATATTACTTTCAGTAAGGAGAATAGGAGGATCTCATTGCAGAGGAAAAAGAAGGGATCTCATTTATGCAAGAAATAATCACCCCTCATCTGGGACAGCTTAAGAAAAACAGAGAACAGATCATGACCTCATCAATGGGAAATAAAGGCAACTTGGTTGAAAGGGCTCCCTGGCGTTATGAAGCAATGTCTACACAGCTGAAGTAAATGATCAGCCTCTGGGATACCAATAGTCTACCAACAAGGCCGTATTCATTTTCATTCTGATTGCATTAGCACTTCTGCACTATTCTGGTAACTCGGATTTACATATTTCATGACAAAGATAGCTGCAGGGTGCGGTGGCTCATGCCTATTATCCTAGAACTTTGGGAGGGTGAGGTGGGTGGATCACCTGAGATTGTGAGTTCAAGACCAGCCTGATCAACATGGAGAAACCCCATCTCTACTAAAAATATAAAATTAGCCGGGCATGGTGCTGCATGCCTGTAATCCCAGCTACTCAAGAGGCTGAGGCAGGAGACTGGCTTGAACCCTGGAGGCGAAGGTTTCAGTGAGCCAAGATCATGCCATTGCACTCCAGCCTGGGCAACAGGAGCAAAACTCCATCCCCTCCTGCCAAAAAAAAGGAAAAAAATACCATGCAGACCAGTGAGTACTATCCTAGAATTGAACTTATCATGAAAAAGCCTTGCCAATTCTTCAATTTCAACATTGGAAAATGTTGAAAAAAATAATGAATTTATTAATAATAATCTGACTTTCTAACTTTAGACTATTCTACTATTCTATACTACAATATTGAACTTTGATCATCGTAACATGAACATTTCGTGAATGCATAAGTTGTTATGTAGATAGGTTCTCTTTTAGATTAACACAATAAGACAATTAGAGCAAACAATTAGAAAAAGCATTTGAAATCAAATAAAAGTCATCAGATCCACATCTTTCAATGGCTTGGCATAATTGCCATGTTCTTTGAAAGAAGCAAAGACAAGATTTTGGCTTAGCCCAATTATTAAGTCCTTGACCTTTTGAAATCTAATATCCTGGCTAAAAAAAACAGTAGGGAATATTTTTTGGGTGGCTGTCTAAAGTGTCCAAGGCAATATGAGAAGAATTTTAATAGTTAAGTAAGAAAATGCATACCACATACACACATTACTCTTCTCTACTTTGCTCTAACATTGAAAGATTAGAAATTGCAAATCTAGTCCCTTAATTTCGGGTAAATTAGCAAAAGATTCATATTTCAGCTGAGCAAATTGTTGTATGAAACTTATAGGTAACAGATGCCATTATCTGCAAAACACAAAATAGTATGACTAGATCCAGTAACTATCTAGCCATGCAAATGATAGACCAATTAGATTAAGATCCTAACAGGTGCAGGTAGAAAGCATTTATGTGCAATGTTGTGACCCTTCCCCAAAGACGTTTTTCTGACTCCTTACAGAGATACCAATTTTTCTGAATGACTCAGAGTGAATACTGGGAACTGAGAATGCTCAGTGTTCAGAGTTGATTACTGGGAACATATTTAACACATTTCTTCGATATTATGAAGAAATTTTATGAATCTTAAGAGAAAGGCTTTTTTTTTTTTTTTTTTTTTTTTTTTTTGAGACGGAGTTTCACTCTTGTTGCCCAGGCTGGAGTGCAACGGCGTGATCTTGGCTCAACTCAACCTCTGCCTCTCGGGTTCAAGTCAGTCTTCTGCCTTAGCCTTCTGAGTAGCTGGGATTACAGGCATGTGCCAGCATGCCTGGCTAATTTTCTATTTTTAGTAGAGACGGGGTTTCTCCACGTTGGTCAGGCTGGTCTCGAACTGCTGACCTCAGTTGATCCGCCCGCCTCGGCCTCCCAAAGTACTGGGATTACAGGAATGAGCCACTACACCCAACCCAGAAAGGTTTTTAATAAAAGACTGTTCATGTATAACACTCTATTTGGATTCATAGAAATTTTCAATATGCCATTTAAGTCAAAGACACTGAAATGTCAACCAAATTTCACAAAATGTATTTGAATGAGATCAAGTCTTCCTTAGCTGAGAATTGTATTTCATCAGTAAATTTAGAAGAAAATAATAAATGTGTTTACTTTAGACCATATAACAGTGTTTGCCACATGGGACCAATTCAAACAAGGGCTCTTCATCATTACTCTTAAAGTAGCAATAGCACCACATCCATTTCCTGGTACCAGCCAGCCTGTTTTTCACTGATATGAAGTGCAGAAGGCATTGAAACAGTGAAGAAGGGTGATATAAATGGAATACTTATATGAAGTACAATTGTTAATAAAAAGTAGCATTTGATATTATACGACTATAGGTAAGATGATTAGTATGAGATAAAAATATTTTTACTTTAATTGACAGAATATCTTAATCCACATTATTTCTATTTCAAATAATTTTTTTGCTCTATATTTGCTGCCTTTTTATTTGCTATTACCTGAGCTCAATAAGAATCAACAAAATGAATCTTTATTTTACCACAAGAATTTTATTCATGCATATGCTTAATTTGCTGAAAACATGTTAGCTTTCCATGAAAGATTTATACTTTTATTGTGTCATTCTTTGCCAAGAAGTGGCTGTCCTGGCAGAAAACTGCTATTTCTGAGCTCTGCTCACTTTGACTCTGCTCAGCATAGTGACTGGAAGTGATGTGTGGATAAAAAGCAAATGTGTCTTCTTTGCATCTTTTTTGATCTATTGGCTTTAGAAACAGGAGAATGTGGATAGAAAATTTAGAAAAAAATCTAATCTCCAAATAATCATGAAGAAGTTTTTTTAACCAGAAGTAAACCAAAGGGGAAGGTGGTGTGTGCATAAAATGTATTATTTTGCTAAGCCTTTGAAATTGTAGGGTTTATTAGTATGACAACCTGCATTGCTTTAACAAACATATTAGTCTTTTAGTTTTAATTCTTCTGGATATGATTCAATTTCCTGATGAATCTGAACTGAGAGGAGAATAACTTACTTGTTAAAATTAAAGACACAGGAAAAATTATGTTGACTAAAATAAGATAGCCAAAAAAAGACAGACAAAACAGAAAGTAAAATGATGTTCTTCAGACGCGGAAAAGAGAGAAGGAGAAGACAGTTTATTGAACATTAGATTGTACTTTTCAAAGATAAAATTATCTAGAGATTTGTTTCATATAATATAAATATACTTAAAAGTACTAAACATATAGCTTAAGTATATAACTTTAAAATGTTTAAGATGGTAATTTTATGTTTTTAATCACAAATATTTACAACTCTCAAAAAATAGTTGTATTTTTCAAAAATTACTTCAAATATCAAGTGTTTTTCTCACACAATAACATAGATTCAAACAACAAATAGACAGTAATTTTAGACTGCCTTTCTGACTACTCATCCAGACAATAGAACACTGACAACCACCTGAGAAAAGAAATAAACAAGATAATTAATAAAGAAAATGGATCAATATTTATACACGCAAATATCACATAAATAACTTTTATAGGCAATAGAAATGTCTGACTTACGGGGCTGGGCGTGGTGGTTCATGCCTGTAATCCCAGCACTTTGGGAGACTGAGCCAGGTGGATCATGAGGTCAGGAGTTCAAGACCTGCCTGGCCAGCATGGTGAAATGCCATCTCTACTAAAAATACAAAAAATTAGCCAGGCATGGTGGTGCGCACCTGTAGTCCCAGCTACTCAGGAGGCTGAGGCAGGAGAATTGCTTGAACCTGGAGGCAGAGGTGGCAGTAAGCCTGGATCCTGCCACTGCACTCCATCCTGGGTGACAGAGCGAGACTCCGTATCCAAACAAACAAACAAAAATAAGAAATATCTGACTTATGCTTGTTTTTTAAAATTTGCTCCAAGTGAAACCCAGGGATTTATATTTGAGTTAAACACCACATTTTTTTTTCTTAAGACGGAGATTCACTCTTGTTGCCCAGGCTGGAGTGCAATGGCATGATCTTGGCTCACTGCAACCTCCACCTCCCAGGTTCAAGCAATTCTCCTGCCTCAGCCTCCCAAGGAGCTGGGATTACAGGCATGCACCACCACACCCAGCTAATTTTGTATTTTTAGTAGAGACGGGGTTTCTGCATGTTGGTCAGGCTGGTCTCAAACACCCAACCTCAGGTGATCTGCCTGCCTCAGCCTCCCAAAGTGCTGGGGTTACAGGTGTGAGCCACCATGCCTGGCCCTGTTAAACACCGCATTTTTATAAATAATACAGAGTGAAAATTACTTTCCACATCATAAATGTAACGTTAAAAACAAAAACACAATTTAATCATCAAAAGAAACCTGTACGAAAAAATTGCAGTATAATGGACTTAAAAACAAAAATAAAACATGTTGACCTATAAAATATGGAATATTAGCGTAGATGTATGAGAAAATAATTTTTTAAATAACTACAGTTTTCAAATATGACTATGAACTTATGAAAATCTGGCATTTTTAATTATTGGCATGCAATGTATAGTAGTAAATTTCCACAAAAAAATACATTAGAAGAATTAGTAAAAAGTCTAATGAAAATGGAACCTTTTAAAGTATTTAAAAGATACTAGGTAAAGTTATTTATGTTATTAATATATTATTGCTATTACACAAAATGTAAGATCTACAATACAACCATATGAACACAAGAAAATAATATTCCAAAGTAAAAACAATATAATTTTTTAGAATACTGTGAGATTATATATAAAATAAATATTGGAATTAAATTATATCATTATTTAGGTATAGGTGGAGAAAAATGAATAAAATACTAATGACACCTGTAATGGTGGTGCATGAATTACTTTTAACTTAGGGATAAAAGCTACAAGACAAAAGTATTCAAAATACATATAGCTTAAATAATTTATTATGAGATACACAATATAAAAAATGTAAAGTGTGACATAAATCATGTATTGAAGAGAGTAAACCTGTTGAGTCTTTCTATGCATCGAAGTAGAATTGTTATTATCGTAAGCTAGAGTATTATATCTATGAGATGTGTTATGTAAATCTCTTGGTAACTAAATGAAAATTTGTACTATACACACAAAAGAAAAAGGAATCAAGCGGCCGGGCGCAGTGGCTTATTCCTGTAATCCCAGCACTTTGGGAGGCGGAGATGGACAGATCACCTGAGGCCGGGAGTTCGAGACCAGCCTGACCAACATGGAGAAAATCCATCTCTAGTAAAATACAAAATTAGTCAGATGTGGTGGCAAGTGCCTGTAATCCCAGCTATTCGGGAGGCTGAGGAAGGAGAATTGCTTGAACTTGGGAGATGGAGGTTGAGTTGGTGCCATTGCATTCTAGCCTGGAAAACGAGAGTGAAACTCTATCTCAAAAAAAAGAAAAAAGAAAACAAAAGAAAGAACAGAAATGGGAATCAAAGCATATAACAACAAAAGCAAAAAAAAAAAAAAAAAAAAAAACAAGAAAACACAAGAAAAGAGAGCATGAAAAGAAAACCAAAGACATTATTTTGTTGGTGCAAAAGTAATTGCGGTTTTTGCCATTAAAAGTCATGGCAAATCAATAATTTTTTAAATATCAAATAATTTAATTATCTAATAAAAACACATCACTATGGTTTGAATGCCCCCTTCAAAATTCATGTTCAAATTTAACTGCCATCGTTATAAAATTATAAATTAGACCTTTAAGAAGATACTAGGTTCTGAGGGATCTACTCTCATGAATGAATTAATGTCATTGTTTCCAGAGTGGGTTAGCTGGCAGGAAATTGGGTCTATTATAAAAGTAAGCTCTCTTATGTTCACCTTCTCTCATCCTCATGCCTTTGGCCATTTTGTGATGTGGAAATCTGATTCTCATCAGATGTCAATGGCATGCTCTTGGACTTCCATAATCTAAAACTGTGAGCTATGTAAACTTCTATTCTTTATAAAATACCAATTCTAAGGCCGAGCGCTGTGGATCACACTTGAATCCCAGCACTTTGGGAGGCTGAGGCGGCTGGATCACCTGAGATCAGGAATTCGAGACCAGCCTGGCCAACATGGTGAAACCCCTTCTCTACTAAAAATACAAAATTTAGCTGGGTGTCATGGCAGGTGCCTATAATCCCAGCTAATCAAGAGGCTGAGGTGGGAGAATAGCTTGAACCCGGGAGGGGGAGGTTTCAGTGAACTGAGATGGTGCCACTGCACTCCCGCCTGGGCAACAAGAGCAAAACTCTATCTCAAGAAAAAAACAATTTACCTCTACGTGATGAGCCACATCTCTACTCAGTGTGTGAAAAATACATTCTTTTTTTTTTTTCTGCCACCCCAGACTTCTGGGAAAGGAGCCTGGAGCTGTGCCCAAGCATCCCAGCCTTTGCCCTCAATTGCAAACAGAGTGGAGTGTCTCTTAGCTCAGGAGTTTGTGCTACTCAAGAGTTTGCACAAACACAAAGCTGAGAAATACTGCTTGCTGAAAGGGGTGTAAAAGGAAAAGGACAAACTGGTTGTCCTCTGAAGTGGAGACACTTCTATTCTATGTTGGGCTACGATCTTGGAGAATGCAGGCAGGGAACGAGTTTTGCCCATTTTCCAATGAGAGACCTCTTGTGGTAAGACAGGCTCTTCTCTCTCTACCTGGTGAGTTACTTCATCTCTTTGGTACCCAATTTCCTCATGTTTGAAATTAGGGAGTGAAACCACACATCCCCTAAGATTCTTTCCTCTTAGCGGTTCTATGAGTTAATTAATGAGATTTGTTTTCCCATTAGCATACATCCAAAAAGGTACTCAAGGTAGATTTTCCATGTTTCCTGGAATCATGTAACTGCCCAAGATGAAGTGGTAGTGTTTGGAGGAGAAGCCCTTCCTTGCTTCCTTTATTTCCATTTTAGAGACAAAATCTCTCCCTGTCACCCATGCTGGGGAGCAGTGGTGCAATCCTGTCTCACTGCAACCTCAAACTTCTGGCCTCAAGCGATCCTCCCATCCCAGCCTCTAGAGTAGCTGGGACAACAGGCATACAACACCATGCCCAGCTAATTTTAAAAATTATTTTGGGCTGGGGGCGGTGGCTCATGCCTGTAATCCCAGTACTTTGGGAGGCCGAGGCAGGCAGATCACCTGAGATCAGGAGTTCGAAACCACCCTGGCTAACATGGTGAAACCCAGCTCTACTAAAAATACAAAAAATTAGCCAGGTGTGGTGGTGCACGCCTGTAATCCCAGCTGCTTTGCAGGCCTGAGGCAGGAGAATCACTTGAACCCAGGAGGTGGAGGTTTCAGTGAGCTAAGATCACACCACTGCACTCCAGCCTGGGCAACAAGAGTGAAACTCCATCTCAACAAAACAAAACAAATAAACAAAAACCAAAAATAAAAATAAAATAAAATTATTTTGTAGAGACAGGGTCTTACTATGTAGATAAAACCACAAAGATGGGGAAAAAAACAGAACAGAAAAACTGGAAACTCTAAAAACCAGAGCTCCTCTCCTCCTCCAAAGGAACGCAGTTCCTCACCAGCAACGGAACAAAGCTGGATGGAGAATGACTTTGAGGAGCTGAGAGAAGAAGGCTTCAGACGATCAAATTACTCTGAGCTACGGGAGGACATTCAAACCAAAGGCAAAGAAGTTGAAAACTTTGAAAAAAATTTAGAAGAATGTATAACTAGAATAACCAATACACAGAAGTGCTTAAAGGAGCTGATGGAGCTGAAAACCAAGGCTCGAGAACTACGTGAAGAATGCAGAAGCCTCAGGAGCCGATGCGATCAACTGGAAGAAAGGGTATCAGCGATGGAAGATGAAATGAATGAAATGAAGCGAGAAGGGAAGTTTAGAGAAAAAAGAATACAAAGAAATGAACAAAGCCTCCAAGAAATATGGGACTATGTGAAAAGACCAAATCTACGTCTGATTGGTGTACCTGAAAGTGATGGGGAGAATGGAACCAAGTTGGAAAACACTCTGCAGGATACTATCCAGGAGAACTTCCCCAATCTAGCAAGGCAGGCCAACGTTCAGATTCAGGAAATACAGAGAACGCCACAAAGATACTCCTAGATACACAATCATGTCGTCTGCAAACAGGGACAATTTGACTTCCTCTTTTCCTAATTGAACACCCTTTATTTCCTTCTCCTGCCTAACTGCCCTGGCCAGCACTTCCAACACTATGTTGAATAGGAGTGGTGAGAGAGGGCATCCCTGTCTTGTGCCAGTTTTCAAAGGGAATGCTTCCAGTTTTTGCCCATTCAGTATGATATTGGCTGTGGGTTTGTCATAGATAACTCTTATTATTTTGAGATATGTCCCATCAATACCTAATTTATTGAGAGTTTTTAGCATGAAGGGTTGCTCTTCTCGAGGAGTTGTTGAATTTTGTCAAAGGCTTTTTCTGCATCTATTGAGATAATCATGTGGTTTTTGTCTTTGGCTCTGTTTATATGCTGGATTACATTTATTGATTTGCGTATATTGAACCAGCCTTGCATCCCAGGGATGAAGCCCACTTGAAGAATCTAATAGATGCAATAAAAAATGATAAAGGGGATATCACCACCGATCCCACAGAAATACAAACTACCATCAGAGAATACTACAAACACCTCTATGCAAATAAACTAGAAAATCTAGAAGAAACGGATAAATTCCTCGACACATACACTCTCCCAAGACTAAACCAGGAAGAAGTTGAATCTCTGAATAGACCAATAACAGGATCTGAAATTGTGGCAATAATCAATAGCTTACCAACCAAAAAGAGTCCAGGACCAGATGGATTCACAGCTGAATTCTACCAGAGGTACAAGGAGGAACTGGTACCATTCCTTCTGAAACTATTCCAATTAATAGAAAAAGAGGAAATCCTCTCTAACTCATTTTATGAGGCTAGCATCATTCTGATACCAAAGCCAGGCAGAGACATAACAAAAAAAAGAGAATTTTAGACCAATATCCTTGATGAACTTTGATGCAAAAATTCTCAATAAAATACTGGCAAAACGAATCCAGCAGCACATCAAAAAGCTTATCCACCATGATCAAGTGGGCTTCATCCCTGGGATGCAAGGCTGGTTCAATATACATAAATCAATAAATGTAATCCAGCATATAAACAGAGCCAAAGACAAAAACCACATGATTATCTCAATAGATGCAGAAAAAGCCTTTGACAAAATTCAACAACCCTTCATGCTAAAAACTCTCAGTAAATTAGGTATTGATGGGACATATCTCAAAATAATAAGAGCTATCTATGACAAACCCACAGCCAATATCATACTGAATGGGCAAAAACTGGAAGCATTCCCTTTGAAAACTGGCACAAGACAGGGATGCCCTCTCTCACCACTCCTATTCAACATAGTGTTGGAAGTGCTGGCCAGGGCAATTAGGCAGAAGGAAATAAAGATATTCAATTAGGAAAAGAAGAAGTCAAATTGTCCCTGTTTGCAGATGACATGATTGTATATCTAGAAAACCCCATTGTCTCAGCCCAAAATCTCCTTAAGCTGATAAGCAACTTCAGCAAAGTCTCAGGATACAAAATCAATGTACAAAAATCACAAGCATTCTTATACACCAGCAACAGACAAACAGAGAGCCAAATCATGAGTGAACTCCCATTCACAATTGCTTCAAAGAGAATAAAATACCTAGGAATCCAACTTACAAGGGATGTGAAGGACCTCTTCAAGGAGAACTACAAACCACCGCTCAAGGAAATAAAAGAGGATACAAACAAATGGAAGAACATTCCATGCTCATGGGTAGGAAGAATCAATATCATGAAAATGGCCATACTGCCCAAGGTAATTTACAGATTCAATGCCATCCCCATTAAGCTACCAATGCCTTTCTTCACAGAATTGGAAAAAACTACTTTAAAGTTCATATGGAACCAAAAAAGAGCCCGCATCGCCAAGTCAATCCTAAGCCAAAAGAACAAAGCTGGAGGCATCACACTACCTGACTTCAAACTATACTACAAGGCTACAGTAACCAAAACAGCATGGTACTGGTACCAAAACAGAGATATAGATCAATGGAACAGAACAGAGCTCTCAGAAATAACGCCGCATATCTACAACTATCTGATCTTTGACAAACCTGAGAAAAACAAGAAATGGGGAAAGGATTCCCTATTTAATAAATGGTGCTGGGAAAACTGGCTAGCCATATGTAGAAAGCTGAAACTGGATCCCTTCCTTACACCTTATACAAAAATCAATTCAAGATGGATTAAAGACTTAAACGTTAGACCTAAAACCATAAAAACCCTAGAAGAAAACCTAGGCATTACCATTCAGGACATAGGCATGGGCAAGGACTTCATGTCTAAAACACCAAAAGCAATGGCAACAAAAGCCAAAATTGACAAATGGGATCTAATTAAACTAAAGAGCTTCTGCACAGCAAAAGAAACTACCATCAGAGTGAACAGGCAACCTACAAAATGGGAGAAAATTTTCGCAACCTACTCATCTGACAAAGGGCTAATATCCAGAATCTACAATGAACTCAAACAAATTTACAAGAAAAAGACAAACAACCCCATCAAGTGGGCGAAGGACATGAACAGACACTTCTCAAAAGAAGACATTTATGCAGCCAAAAAACACATGAAAAAATGCTCATCATCACTGGCCATCAGAGAAATGCAAATCAAAACCACAATGAGATACCATCTCATGCCAGTTAGAATGGCAATCATTAAAAAGTCAGGAAACAGGTGCTGGAGAGGATGTGCAGAAACAGGAACACTTTTACACTGTTGGTGGGACTGTAAACTAGTTCAACCATTGTGGAAGTCAGTGTGACGATTCCTCAGGGATCTAGAACTAGAAATACCATTTGACCCAGCCATCCCATTACTGGGTATATACCCAAAGGACTATAAATCATGCTGCTATAAAGACACATGCACACGTATGTTTATTGCGGCATTATTCACAATAGCAAAGACTTGGAACCAAGCCAAATGTCCAACAATGATAGACTGGATTAAGAAAATGTGGCACATATACACCATGGAATACTATGCAGACACAAAAAATGATGAGTTCATGTCTTTTGTAGGGACATGGATGAAATTGGAAAACATCATTCTCAGTAAACTATCGCAAAAACAAAAAACCAAACACCGCATATTCTCACTCATAGGTGGGAATTGAACAATGAGATCACATGGACACAGGAAGGGGAATATCACACTCTGGGTACTGTTGTGGGGTGGGGGGAGGGGGGAAGGATAGCATTGGGAGATATACCTAATGCTAGATGATGAGTTAGTGGGTGCAGTGCACCAGCATGGCACATGTATACATATGTAACTTACCTGCACAATGTGCACATGTACCCTAAAACTTAAAGTATAATAAAAAAAAAAGACCAGGCACGGTGGCTCACACCTGTAATCCCAGCACTTTGGGAGGCCGAGGCAGGCAGATCATGAGGTCAGGAGATCGAAACCATCCTGGCTAACACGGTGAAACCCTGTCTCTACTAAAACTACAAAAAAATTAGCTGGGTGGTGGTCGGCTCCTGTAGTCCCAGCTACTCAGGAGGCTGAGGCAGGAGAATGGCAAGAACCTGGGAGGCGGAGCTTGCAGTGAGCCAAGATTGTGCCACTGCACTCCAGCCTGGGGGACAGAGAAAGACTCCCTCTCAAAAAAAAAAAAAAAAAAGTGTTATTTTTTGTGGTTCTGAGAGTTGATGGGTTCAGGTAGGTGATGGTCAGTAGGGGTCTCTCATGCTGTTGCAGTGGCTGGAGCTGGAGTCTTCGCAAAGCCTTCTTGAGTCCCATGTCTGGCAACTGATGTTGGCTGTCATCTGAAACCTGCGCTGGGACTGTTGATTGGAACATCAAAATGTGGCCTCTCCCTGTGATCTGGGCTTCCTCACAGCATGGTGGCTGGGTTCAAAGAGCAAGCATCCCAGGAGGACCACGGAGAAATGGTGTCCCCTTTCATGACCTACCTTGAATCACTTCTGCCAGTCACAGACCTTCTTGAATTCAAGGGGAGGGAGCACAGACCTGACCTCACCATGGGAGCAATGTTAAGGTCATGCTGCAGAACAGCACGTGCTATTATTATTATTATTATTATTATTATTATTATTATTATTATTATTAGGGAGTCTTGCTCTGTCACGCAGGCTGGAGTGCAGTGATGCAATCTCGACTCACTGCAACTTCCGCCTCCTGGGTTCAAGCCATTCTTCTGCCTCAGCCTCCTGAGTAGCTGGGATTACAGGCGCCGGATACCACACCCAGCTAAATTTTGTACTTTTAGTAGAGACGGAGTTTCACCATGTTGGCCAGGCTGGTCTCAAACTCCCGACCTCAAGTGATCCACCTGCCTCGGCCTCCCAAACTGCAGGGATTACAGGTGTGAGCCACCACACGCAGCACATGCTATTAGTAAAAAGTCAGAAAACAGTCAGGTGTGGTGATTTGCACCTATAATTCTGCACTTTGGGAGGCCGAGGTGGGCAGATCACTTGAGGTCAGGAGTTCGAGACCCACCTAGGCAAAATCAGACCCGCATATCTATAAAAATAAAAAATAAATATAAAATTAAAAGTCAGAAAACCGCAGATATTGGTGAGGATGCAGAGAAAAGGGAATGCTTATACACTGTTGGTGGGAATGTAAATTATTACAACCATTACAGAAAACATTATGGAGATTTCTCAAAGAAATAAAAACAGAACTGCCGTTCAAATAGCAATCTCACTACTGGATATCTTCCCAAAGGTGGCTCACGCCTGTAATCCCAGCACTTTGGGAGGCTGAGTTGGGCAGATCATGAGGTCAGGAGTTCGAGACCAGCCTGGCCAACATAGTGAAACCCCATTTCTACGAAAAATACAAAAAAATTAGCTGGGCGTGATGGTGGTAGGTGCCTGTAATCCCAGCTACTCGGGAGGCTGAGGTGGGAGACTCTGTTGAACCTGGGAAGCAAAGGTTGCAGGTGAGCCGAGATCGCACCATTGCACTCCAGTCTGGGCAACAAGAGTAAAACTCCATCTCAAAAAAAAAAATTGAGTAAATGGGTTATTTCCCCAAGATTGCCTTTTTAAAGAAAACCAGTTTTATAAACCTGTTTTCTAGAAAATCAGTTCTGTAAACCAACATTCATCAGGCTTATCATATGGCTTTTTAGATTTTGCATTATTTTTGTGAGGATTTTTATTAGTATGTTTCCTAATAATGGGCCATGTTTAAATTTTTTTTGTTATATTTTTGAAGTATGCCTTACTAGATCATGTTGTGATATAATTATAACATATGCTGCTTTCTCTTTGCTTGGATTTTAAAATTTTGCAGTTAAAATTATTTTCTTTTTTGTGTGCTTTGTCAGATTTTCACATCAGTGTTACACTAGTATTTTAATGGCCTATTTTATTCTATTCTTTTATTTTCAAATTTTCTATATCCTTAAGCTTAAAAATGCCTCTTTTAAACAGTGTAAAATTGAGGTTTTTTTATTATTAGGTTTTATAATTTTTGTATTTTAATTGGAGCATTTAGTTTGTATAATATAGTTAATATACTCTTTGCTTTCTATTTTCATCAAAAATTTGAATAGAACAAAAGGCCTACCTCCCCCAAGCAAGAGGGAATTCTCTGGCAGATTGCCTTTGGACTTGAATTGCAACTCTTTCCTGAATCTCCAGCCTGCCAGCCTCTTCTATTACCAGTCAATTCCTTAAAATAAATCTGTATGATATACATTTAATATAATTAATATATAATGTGGCTGCTACCTAGTAGAATTAATATATACTTAATAAGACATACAGTATAATTACAGTAGTACCTCCTTATCTGGGGGAGGGATTATGTTCCAAGACCCTCAGTGGATGCCTGAAACCACAGATGTATTTTTCTCTATACATACATAGCTGTGAAAAAGTTTAATATATAAATTAGGCACAGTAAAAAATTAACAGAAATAGCGAATAATACAATAATTATAATAATATGCCAGCATGTTCCTTTTTCTGTTTTTTCTTGCTTTTTGGATTGATGGACTTTTTTACTATCCTGGCTTTTTCCTCTCTTGCCAAGTTATAGATCCTATTCTTTTAATGGTTACCCTACAGATTACAACACATAGCTTTCATGTATTTTGGGTGTTAAAACAGCTGGTGATCCCAGAAGGTGGAAGAACTTGGAGATAATTGGGACACGAAATGATCTACAGCAGTTGGTATTCTAATCTCTCTTCTCTTCATAGTTCTTCTTTCCTTGCTTCCATTTTTCACATCTTGAATTTTTCTCTTCAAGGAAATGATATATTTCTTTTCAGTGCAAACCCAGTGTTTGCTCTTGATTTTGAGCTTTCTTTTGTCTCTCAAGACGTACAAAGCAGCTGCCAACTATTCCATGGTTTCCCAGCTGGAGGAGCCCTGCCCTGCACCCTTGCAGCAGCCCTGAAGCAGACACCCCAAGGAGCACCCGCTGGGGCACCCCCGGCTGGTACCAGCATACAAAGTGGTCAGAAATGTGCTGTTAGCCCTCAATGGGGCTGCTTAATAAATCACAGTTATACTTCCCTCTTTGGTCCAAAAGTTTTGAGAGACAGAGAGAGAGAGAGAGAGAGAGAGAGAGAGCACGAGCATACATGTATGTCCTTCACAGGGCACCATAAGAAAGTAAAAAGACAACCCATAAAATGGGAGAAAATATTTGCAAATTACATTTCTGATAAGACATATCTGTTAAACTCTTACAAGTTAATAATTTTATTTAAAAAATGACCCAAGTAAAACAGTTAGCAAAGGGTCTGAATGAACATTTTGCCAAGGCAGATAAACATACGGCCAATAAGCACATGAAACGATGCTCAGCACCATTTGCCATCAGGGACATGAAAATCAAAACCACAATGAGATACCATGCCACACCTACCAGAGTGGCTGAAATTTAAAAAGACAGCCAGAACAAGTGTTGGCAAAGATGTGGAAAAATCTTTGGTGATGATGGAAAAGAGATTTATTTTGCTGGTAGAAACTGCTAATGGAAAAGGTTAAGCATAGAGTTACAATTTTTTTTTGGGGCGGGGGGGCACAGGGCCTGGCTGTGTCACCTAGGCTGGAGCACAGTGGCACGATCTCAGCTCACAGCAACCTCTGCCACCCACACTCAAACAATCCTCCCACCAGAGCCTTCTACCTCACCGTTACCCTTGCAATGGAAAGAAAAAGCCTTATCAGATATGCCTTATCAGATACATAATTTGCAAATATTTTCTAGAGTAGCTATTTCTAGAGTGGCTGGGACTATAGGTGCCACCATGCCCAGCTAATTTTTGTATTTTTTTTAGAGACACTGTCTCACCTTATTGCACAGGCTGGTCTGGGAATCCTGAGCTGAAACAATCTACCTGCCTCGGCCTCACAAAGTGCTAGGATTACAGATGTGAGCCACCTTACCCAGAGAAGTAAGGATAGTCATGCTTGTCAGACCTACAGAAATTTTTCTCTTGGTTTTGAATATACTCAAGATTGATTGGATAGGTGTACTGAAGTAAAAATGATATCACATTAGTTAATTTTAATTAGCTAGATGTTGGGACAGAAATGTGAAGGCCACATAGTCTGTCAACATTAAATTTTAAAAGAACTGAGCACTGAATAGAAGACAAGGACATCAAGGGAATACATGTCAATGCAACTTCTTTACGGGTGGAAATGTAATTCTCACATAGGAGACTCATTTATTATGTAGTTTTCATCTTGGCAAGGAAGACTGCTCTTTCTTTATCCACAATGGGTAATTTCTAAATCTTTCCTAGCCTAGGGCATGGAGGCCAAATACTACTGTGGATCAAGTGGGTCCATCTTTTTCTTAGGTGACTGTATCACATATGCCTGAAATATAATTTTAAATATGAGATAATAATATCACCTCCTGCCTAGCTATGACTACAGGCAGTCTAGCACCAAAGGAGGTCAGAAGTTCCCTCTTTATATTTAGTCCATCTTTCTGTTCAACGCATTTGTAGATTGAGTGGTTTTTGTATTACGAATCAGGTTTATTCTCTCCCAAGGCAGGAATTTTTCAATTATTACATTTTTTTATACACAGCAGGTGGATTTTGTCTGAAAGATAGTTTTATGCCAGGATATCGTTATTTGTTTCACTATTGAGCTACAGAACCTTAGAATTATTTTAAAGATTGGGAAGGTATAACCTGTCTCCCATGAAAGACCTTTGTAGTGGTAAATTTGCCAACCTTGATAATTTTACTCAAACTTTTTTCTTTTTTTTTTTTTTTGAGATGGAGTCTCACTCTTGTCACCCAGGTTGGAGTGCAATGGCATGATCTCAGCTCACTGCAACCTCCACCTCCCAGGTTCAAGCAATTCTCCTGCCTCAGCCTCCCAAGTAGCTGGGATTACAGGCGCCCATCACCATGCCCGGCTAATTTTTGTATTTTTAGTAGAGACAGGGTTTCACCACATTGGCCAGGCTGCTCTCGAACTCCTGACCTCAGGTGATCCACCTGCTTCGGCCTCCCAAAGTGCTGGGATTACAGGCATGAGCCACCGTGCCTGGCCGAATCTCTTTCCTTTTCTCAACAAATATTTACCTAGCCTTTTTTTTTTTTTTGAGATGGAGTCTCAGTTTGTTGCCCAGGCTAGAGGGCAATGGCATGATCTCGGCTCACTGCAACCTCCGCCCCCCTAGGTTCAAGCGATTCTCCTGCCTCAGTCTCTCAAGTAGCTGGGACTACAGGCGTGCACCACCACAACAGGCTAATTTTTGTATTTATAGTAGAGACAGGGTTTCGCCATGTTGGCCAGGCTGATCTTGAACTCCTGACTTCAAGTGATCCGCCCACTTTGGCTGGGATTACAGGCATGAGCCATCGCTCCGAGCCTTACCTAGTCTTTTCTAAGCCAAACACTGCACTTTGATTACAAAAAAGTAAAAGAAGGCCAGGCTCATTCATGTATGTAATTCCAGCACTTTGGAAGGCCCAGGCAGGAGGATTGCTTGAGCCTAGGAGTTCGAGATGAGCCTTGGCAACAGAGTGAGACCCCATTTCTAAAAAAATATTAAAAATAAAAATAAAACACTTTGGGAGGCCGAGGCAGGCAGATCACGAGGTCAGGAGATGGAGACTATCCTGGCTAACACAGTAAAACCCCATCTCTACTAAAATTACAAAAAAATTTGCCGGGCGTGGTGGCGGGCACCTGCAGTCCCAGCTACTCGAGAGGTTGAGGCAGGAGAATGGCGTGAACCCGACAGGCGGAGCTTGCATTGAGCAGAGATCCGCCGCTGCACTCCAGCCTGGGTGACAGAGCGAGACTCCGTCTCATAAATAAATAAATAAATAAATAAATAAATAAATAAATAAGAGCTGTGGTAGGGTTCCCTAAGAACCTGTGGGTGTGGGAAGGTGGTAGAGTGGAGATACTTACACAGGAATGCTAGCAGTGCACTATGAGTGACTACCCCTGCCTCACAGAGGGCTTGAGATAATTGTGTATATGAATGTACTTAGTATATATATTACATATGTAAAATACCTAGTAAATCTGTAAATTGTATAAATGTTAATTTTAAACATATTTTCATTTGTGCATTTTCATGACTTAGTTTTAAGATCCAAAACAAGGAATGAAGAAAAGGGAAAGCAGGGATGGTAGTCAATGATGTACAATTAATAAGCTAAATATTTCATTAATCCTTACTTTGGACTTCTGTTTTGGTTGAACTCTTTTGGTTACAAACATTTGGGGCAAATGTGTGCTCTTTGTAATTCAGTACAGATTGCTGGGCAAAGCTCTTTTCTGCTGAGAGTCAGATTTAAAAGATGGTTGATAACTTATTCTTTTCCTTTTTTAAACATGGTTTAGATGTGTAGCTTGGGTTCTTAAATTCTGTGCAGGTAAATATTGTGCTCAAGTTTTTTATGTCACATGACTATTTAGTCTGAAGGGTGCACTTGCTTTGTAGTTGCTGAATATTAATGCTACTCCTTGCAAACCTTTTGAGTATATTGCTTTCCCTTGACTGTGTCAGGTATTTAATATCAGTGATAGAAAGAATCTTAGGGATTGCTTCTATTAAAAGTTAATAAACTTTAAAAAAAGTTTTAGTTTGAAATTTTGAGCCTGATTCTTTATATGTGGATGTTTGCCTTTGTTGTTGAATCAACATGAATTATATATTTGTTTGAAATGTAGTTGGATATTTAGATAACTCCTGTTTTTTGATGTAACAGATATTCAGATATATGGCTTGAAATTTTCTTCCTATAAAAACTAGGACTTGTTACAAAATGTTTTTTGATTGGAAAAGTAATATGAGGCCAGGCACGGTGGTTCATGCCTGTAATCCCAGCACTTTGGGAGGCCGAGGCGGGTGGATCACGAGGTCAGGAGATCGAGACCATCCTGGCTAACACGGTGAAACCCCGTCTCTACTAAAAATACAAAAAATTAGCCAGGCGAAGTGGCAGGCGCCTGTAGTCCCAGCTACTCGGGAGGCTGAGGCAGCAGAATGGCGTGAACCCCGGGGGGCAGAGCCTGCAGTAAGCCAAGATCGCACCACTGCACTCCAGACTGGGCGACAGCGAGACTCTGTCTCAAAAAAAAAAAAAGGAATATGAAGGAGTATATGGCATTTTAAAAGGACATCGCCATCGTTAAATTTTGTTATATTTTCTGCATCTTAGGCATAGTTGTAATAGCATATTCCTTTTGTATACTTTCTTCATCTAATGCTATGGCAAGCATTTCTGTGTGTCAGAACTTTAAAAACTAATTTTCAATGGCTGAATAATATTTTTATAGGTGTATCATAATAAGCTTAGCCTACCTCCCATTGTTGCACCTGGAAAGTCTCCCCCTGCCACCACACACACACTTCTTTATTGTTAAAATATTACTGCAGTGTTTTTCTCTGTGTGTTTCATTCCTAGAAGGAGATGGCATGGTAAAGGATGTTAACTGAAAATGTCATACCAACTAATACAGTTTCTATAGTGTGTGAATGCTCATACGTATATCATCCTTGCCAGTATTGAGTGGAAATCTCTTTTATTTTCCTGGAGAAGTTGGTTCTTTAGGAGGAGAGAAGCATTGGGGAGTATCTTCAGGGTGGCTGAACTTTGCAACCTCTTCAATAAATAACTTCCCACTCTGTAATTTGCCCACCTGTATTACCCCACCCCCAAGCCTCAGACTTTAGGAAATGGCATCAGGCCCATATGTCTGGAGGGTTCAGATTTCTTTGAGGTAAAGCATTCCTTCCAATGGGACCTAGAATTCCTTGAGTTGCAGAATTTTACTGACTAGACCCAGGAGGTCTCAGGAGTCCAGAGTTGACTGGAGCTTGGCTCAGAATTCCAAGGGGGCCCATAACTCCATGAGGCCCAGATTTCCTGGCTCAGGAAAATTGGGAGGCCTGGGATACTGTGGCTTAGACCCAAGCCGAAAGATGAACACAGATCTTTATGGCTTGAAGGTGTATGAAATTATGTCACTACATTAGAGCAGCACCTCTACTCACCTATGGGAATCTGCAGTTGAGCTGTGACACATAGAAGCTGGCCATGTCCAGATTGGTGGTTCTGAAATGGGCAGCCATGTGCACATAATTGTACAATGTGAAGCTCACTTGTTGATACTCCATGGCCAGCATGCTGTGGAGGTAACGTTCCCAAAGGGCAGCTCGAGCCCACTGCTCCTGGGATTCCTGCGATTCTTAAGCTATGGGACACTCTTGGATTTCAGGAACCTCTGGCTTCAACTGCCCCAGCATCCATCGGGGCAAAGCCAAGGCTGAGGCCATCAGGGCCCCAGGGTAACTGGAGCACGGGCACAGGAACAGTCAGTGGAGTCTGCATTGTCTTGGCGAGGTCCACAGCTGCTCGGAAATCTCTTTTAAATGTCAAATTTGGTATTTACTAATTCGGTATTAGACAAAGATTTTACATCTTAATTTATGTGCCTTTGATTATTTATTTGAAATTTTTAAAAAAGTACTGTTCTTTATTCTGAAATTTTGTACTTGCAACTTTTTTAGTGTCAGAAGTCTTCTTTTCAAAACTTTTTTTTTGCCTAGCTTTTTATTAAGTATAGTCACAACACTAATGACAGTTTCATTGTTATATTTCTTGTGAATGTTGTAACTTAAAAATAAATGAGTGCCATACTCATTTATTTTTAAAGAAATATTAGTGAGATGCTACCTGACTTCAAACTATACTACAAGGCTACAGTAAACAAAACAGCATGGTACTGGTACCAAAACAGAGATATAGACCAATGGAACAGAACAGAGCCCTCAGAAATAATGCTGCATATCTACAACCCTCTGATCTTTGACAAACCTGACAAAAACAAGAAATGGGAAAGGATTCCCTATTTAGTAAATGGCGCAGGGAAAACTGGCTGGCCATATGTAGAAAGCTGAAACTGGATCCCTTCCTTACACCTTATACAAAAATTAATTCAAGATGGATTAAAGACTTAAATGTTAGACCTAAAACCATAAAAACCCTAGAAGAAAACCTAGGCAATACCATTCAGGCATGGGCAAAGACTTCATGTCTAAAACACCAAAAGCAATGGCAACAAAAGCCAAAATTGACAAATGGGATCTAATTAAACTAAAGAGCTTCTGCACAGCAAAAGAAACTACCATCAGAGTGAACAGGCAACCTACAGAATGGGAGAAAACTTTTGCAACCTACTCATCTGACAAAGGGCTAATATCCAGAATCTACAATGAACTCAAACAAATTTACAAGAAAAAGACAAACAACCCCATCAAGTGGGCGAAGGACATGAACAGGCAGTTCTCAAAAGAAGACATTTATGCAGCCAAAAAACACATGAAAAAATGCTCATCATCACTGGCCATCAGAGAAATGCAAATCAAAAGCACAATGAGATACCATCTCACACCAGTTAGAATGGCAATCATTAAAAAGTCAGGAAACAGGTGCTGGAGAGGATGTGCAGAAACAGGAACACTTCACTGTTGGTGGGACTGTAAACTAGTTCAACCATTGTGGAAGTCAGTGTGGTGATTCCTCAGGGATCTAGAACTAGAAATACCATTTGACCCCGCCATCCCATTACTGGGTATATACCCAAAGGATTATAAATCATGCTGCTATAAAGACACATGCACATGTATGGTTATTGTGGCACTATTCACAATAACAAAGACTTGGAACCAAGCCAAATGTCCAACAATGATAGAGAGGATTAAGAAAATGTGACACATATACACCATGGAATATTATGCAGCCATAAAAAATGATGAGTTCATGCCCTTTGTAGGGACATGTATGAAGCTGGAAACCATCATTCTCAGCAAACTATGGCAAGGACAAAAAACCAAACACTGCATGTTCTCACTCATAGGTGGGAATTGAACCATGAGAATACATGGACACAGGAAGGGGAACATCACACACCAGGGCCTGTTGTGGGGTCGGGGGAGGGGGGAGGGATAGCTTTAGGAGATATACCTAATGTTAAATGACAAGTTAATGGGTGCAGCACACCAACATGGCACATGTATACATATGTAACTAACCTGCACGTTGTGCACATGTACCCTAAAACTTAAAGTATAATTAAAGAAAAAGAAATATCAGTGAGATATAATTCACATAATCACTGGCATGATTCATATAGTTCACCCCTGGTCCTTAGGGGATACATTTTGTTATATGAGATTTATAGAAAGTAAGAACTTAAAAGAATCTATAGGTTATCTAATTCAAACAGTTAAAACCTACCCACTTCTGCTTTGAAAGCCACTTCTTAGAACCACTCTATAGAACATGCTACCTGATCAAGAATAAATCAACACCTTGCTTCCCCTCTTCTATCCATTAGATATCCAGGTAAAATAATATCTCTTTTCCTGATATTTCTCCTTTACTTACGCTCTAGCATGCCCTATGGCCAGCTGTAAGTTGCCCTCTACTTTTATAGAGCCCTTTGCTATGTTTCTGCAAAATCTACTTTTTCTGATTCATGTAATTCAAAAGTAGCCCTATTTTCTTCCAAATTAAAACTCTTTCTTTCTTAATTAATGCTGGCCCAAAATAGAAATTAGAGGGAAAGTCTTATTCCAGGATCTGAAAGACTAACAGTATTCACAAAAATACTTGATTTTTAAGGGGGAATGTGTATTGAATGATCAATTAGAATTTCAGGTAATGGGAAGAATTTCGAGGAACATTGAGGGACAGCTCAGAGACAGTATCTAAACTGTCAATTTGAACTCTCTTCAGTTTAGCAAAAGAACTTACAGAAACTTGGTATATATCTTATGAAACGCTGCAGACCCTAACCTAGGTCAGGCAATACCTTTTACTACAAAATTGGGATAATCATTTTCTAAATCATGAAGAAAATGTTCTGAGTAGGCTGCAAGGATTTCTCTGGTAACATGATGATTTAAAAATGAAGCTGTCCACTTGAACTGGGTTGTATAAAGTATGCTTTTATTTCTGAGTATAGCAAGAAAGATCATAACATACCTCTTAGTGCCTTCCAGCCTCCGACATGTAGCAAGTGAAAGCTGTTTGAATTGGCAAATGAGGTAGTTATTGAGTAGCTGGTTGGAATGTTTGCTACTAGCTACAGAGCAGAATTGTTACTTAGTTCTTAGTACTGGTGCAATTACAGTAATTAGAATAAGTAAACTTCTTTTAAGATAATTGCAGGGCCAGGTTATATAGAGCCTATTTAGCTTGCCTTTTAGTGTTAGCATGTATATCAGTGTGTATGTTAAAGGATATACTAATAGATTTTGAGGAGATGAAATTGTCTTATAGCAAATTCCAGATCAATATATGTATGGGATGCCTTGAAAATGATTGGTATCTAATGTAGTCCAGACCAGCGGCTCCCAGTTTTTTGGCACCAGGGACTGGTTTTATGGAAGACAATTTTTCTGCCAGGGTGTGTGTAGGTGTGTGTGGGGGGGCAGGGGATGGGTGATGGATGGTTTCAGGATGAAACTGATCATGAGGCATTAGATTCTTATAAGGAGGACGCAACCTAGATCCCTCACATGCGCAGTGCACAATAGGGTTTGCATTCCTTTGAGAATCTGATGCTGCTGCTAATCTGACAGGAGGCGGAGCTCCAGCAGTAAAGCTCACCACCACTCACCTCCTACTGTGTGGCCCGGTTCCTAACAGGCCACGGACTGGGGGTTGGGGACGCCTGATCTGGATTGTTCTTCACAGATTAAATCTTCACCAGATTAAGCTGATGAAAAAGTAAAACAAAGAATAGCGCCCTCCCTTGGCAAAACATTTTGGTGTGATATCTTTTCTTCATTTTACAGCCAGATATAAAGAAAAAATAAACTTCTACTTTTAAATTTCCCATCCAGCACTTAATTTCTCACCATTTGGCTTCTCCCCTTAATGCAAAACTACTTTTATTAAAGGTCAGTAAAAGGCATTCTGATTGTATTTTTCTTTAACTTATTTGGCATTATTGACTATTTTTCCTTGAAACTCTTCCTCACTTTTTGTGCTGTTGCCTCCTGATTTACCTGGTTGTGTTGAAGCTGCTTTATTAGGATCCTTTCCTATGGGCCACCTTTAAATGTTGATGTAATCTGGCATATTGCCCTATGTCATCCTTTATTTACTAGAATTTCTTAATTTTCTTTTTATGGAGAGGACAACATGAACATAAGAATTTCTTAATTTCATCTACCTTTCAAATCATTTTGGGAAGCTTCTTCAAAGTAGTCCTGGAAACACTTGCCTAGATATTCTGGGCTTTGGGTCAAGGATGGAATATTCATCTATTTTGAAACAGCTACTGGGATGACACTAATATGTATTTTAGTTAAGAACTGTAGTTTGTTACTGTCTCATCTCTTAATAATAGGTTTCATTTGAGGTGCTTTTTAAAATGTCAAGCCCAGTGCATTTAATTAATAGAGTAAGTATCTTGATCAAGGTCACATACTTGTATGTGATTGAACTAGGATTTGAATTTGAACAAAATTGATTTCAAAACCCAGGAGAAAAACGAAGGAAGGAGTTAGAGGAACAAGATAGAAAAGCTCCACAATGTTATCACCAGCTCCTCTGAGGCTTTCCTCTTGCCTCAACTCTAACATGGTAAAACATTCTGAAAGGACTTAAAGATTCTGTTTCTAAAAATCCTTTGCTTTCTTTTCTATACAATTGCTACAAAATGGTAAAAGTGGTCCCTTGTATCTGCAGATATCCCAGAAAGTTGAAATGCTTATTGAAATGATACTCCATCTTTCAAAGCCTCATTGAAATGTGACCTCCTTTCCAGGCTGGTGTGATTTCTCGGTTTCCTGAAATTCTTTCTCTTTGGGGTATTTCATTCATGGTCTTGATAAAATTCTGCCTTGTTTATTTGTTCATTGTTTGTTTGCATATCTTACTTCTTCTACCATACTAAACTTTTTAAGGGCAAAGACTACATCTTATCTTTGCATTCCTCATTCATTTATTTGATAAAAATTTAATGATCACTTATAAAGTGTCAGATACTACTACTTTTAGTCTCAGAAAATCTAGAGATTAATAAGAAACGGATACAAAGTTGAGATGCTGAGTAAAGCAAAGATAAGCAATTATCTTTAAAGCAGGACTTCTCAGATCCTTTTATTATAAATACTGTAGGAGCCCAATCCCAAAGACCTGAAGAAACCTGACATTAGCTATTATAAACAGATATTATTGTGACTTTCTTCAAAACCTTATGAACAAATATTTGATGAATGTTTTATTGTTAGGCTTGAAATTTAACATTCATGAATAGTGACGGAATATATGGCTTTCATCAGTGAGACCTCAAAGATAAGAAAGACATGGGTTATTTTAACCTGCTTATTAGGTTAATGTACAGTGTTGTATTACTGACTCTAGTTACTCTTGTTTCATTATTTTCATAGAGTAACACCTTAAATTGTAAATATTATATTTTGTTTTAACGAGAACAAAGAAATTTTTAATCCAGTTATTTACTCTTAAGCTGCAGTAAAATGAGGGAATGATAACGACATTGTTGCAAAACATGTAGAGTGCATTTCAAAGTCAAAATAAATGTAAAATAGACATTAATTTGGAACATTAAAAAATATTGTGTTTATTAAAATATTAGTTTGAAGAAACATGAAATGTTACAGATAGTCTTTTTATCTTGAGTAGTTTTTTCTTAAGCCAGTATATATATTATTCTGAACTCTATTATTCTTAAATGTTTTCTTAATAATGCAGAAGTACACTGGATTTGGGTTGTTTCCACAGATTTTGTGTTTAAGTAGAGTTTGATTTGATAGGACTGATTATAGTTCTCTATTCTTTTGCATTAATGACACTACTTCCTTCCCTTTAGTAAGGCCAATGAGCAAGGATCAATTGTAGTAATAAGTCACTTTGAGGTTATTAGAACAAGGTTGCTGTATTTTGTCTTGTAATTATAGGCCATCTGACATTTTGCTATGGAAGTAAATATTATCTACTAAATGTGAGTAGAAATTAATATTAATGTCCAAACTCAGGCAGAGCCTCACTGCTTTCAACATTCCTTTTTATTTATTTTGAGGCCAGTACCCTTTAGTGTCAATAAATTGCCAACCTTACTCTTCTACTCCATCCCCCTGCATCCCTGTTTCAAATGTTTATTCCCTTCTTAAGGCTACTTCACCTTTGACCCTTATTCTTAGTAGTTACACTAGGGTCCTTTCTTTTTCTGTGAGAAAACATGAATAGTAATAAAATATATTCCACTGCAACTACCTATGATTGATATTGAAGTGTCCACTGTGCCAAGGTATGATTCTAATGAGATCACTTATTCCTCACAACCACTCTGTGTTGTTGTAGGTACTGCTGTTATCTGCATTTCATAGATAAGGGCGCTGACACACAGAAGTTATGGTTTGCCCAAGGTCACAAGACGAATTTATTGATGGAACTGAGATAAGAGATTTCAAGGAAATTTTAAGCTCTAATGGACTACTATAACCTTTGCCCCTAGACTTTTTCAAAGTTACACAACTACTTTCTCACAATTATTGGTACTTTTGAAAAAAAAGAGAGATAGATTAAGGGTATGTGATACTTACGGAAGCACAGAAAAATTGGGAATACACTTAATTTACACCTTCAGGGTACTTCTTAGGAAAAATTTCCAGGGAAGAATAGTATTACCAAACTATTTTCATATTTCTCAGGTGCTGTATTTTCCTCTGCTACCAAGTAAAAGGACTGCTCACTCATTACACAATAGTTTGTTTTTAGAGCTCCCATAGCAATGTCATACAGTCACAGTGATTTGAGTAAGGTGACTTTGCTTATGGGAAATAAACTGTATTTTATCAGGCTTATTTAAATGACATTTTGATAACCTCTGTGTTATGATACTAGAATCATTAAGACAATACAATAACCTACAAATATGTCATCTGTATGAGCTTGCTCAATGGGTTTTGACTGAGTACTTTCACTGAATCAGTGAAAGTACTTTCACTGAGACTGTTCACTGAATCAGTGTTATTCTTGAAAGGACATAGATCTATTATCATATCTTGTAAAAGGTTCTTTTTTCCCTCTTTCTCAGCCTGCTAAAGAGGTTAGGATTTAGTTTCAGGACAGATGGGGGATTTGATACTAGGGGTAGGTAAAAGTACTCAGTCTGACAAGATTAAAGGCTATTGAACTTAGTTTCTCTCTTCTTCCTCTTCTAAATTTTGAATTGCTTTATCCTTTACTTTTCCATTTGAAACTCATTGTGGGTAGTGCAGTAAAAGCAGTGGCCCTGGTGCTCACACATGTAATCCCAGCACTTTGGGAGGCTGAGGCAGGAGGATTGCTTGAATTCATGAGTTTGAGACCAGCCTGGACAACATAGTGAGACCTCATCTCCTAAAAATGTATTAGCTGGACATGGTGGCATGCACCTGTAGTCTCAGCTACTTGGGAGGCTGAGGTGGGAGGATCACTTGAGCCCAGCAGGCAGAAGTTGCAGTAAGCTGTGATTGTGCCACTTACTTCAACCTGGGCGACAGAGTGAGACTCTTCTCAAAAAAAAAAAAAAAAAAAGACTAAGTGGGCCAGGACAAAGAGGTCAAGAAGCATGTTCCTTTCATCTGCTCAGAGTCTGGGAAGTATAGTATGATTAAGGACATGAGATTTGCCATTCAGATTGAGCTGTAGCTGTGCTACTTGGTAGAGATATTTGTCATTGGCAAGTTACTTCTCAGAGGTTTTGTTTACTTACTTATCTGTAAAATTGTGTAAAGAATCTTATGCAGAGTTTTGTAATTATTGCAGTCATTGAATGCATGTAAAGTGCCTAGCTCAGTGTCTTTCTTATAGTTATTGAATAAAAATATTAAGTATTATTGTTAATGAAGATACTGGTGAAATATCCCATGTCAGATATGGTCCAACCTGGTTAACCAGATTAGGAAGGTACTTGGGAAATTGGGGACAGAGTCTTTAATGGATAAATGAGAGTGGGTATTTAGAAAGGCAGTAGAACATGCTGCCTAGTGTCAAATACTGACATTACCCCTTATTAACTATTTGGCACTAGCAAGTTATTTCATTTTGTTTCCAAACTGTAACAATAATGATACAGATTGAATATCCCTAATCCAAAAATCTGAAATCTCAAATACTCCGAAGTTTGAAACTTTGAATGCTGACATCATACTCAAAGGAAATGCTCATTGAACCAATTTTTGGATTTTGGATTTTCAGATTAGGGATGCTGAACTGATGAGCAATGCAAATATTCTAAAATTTGAAAAAGCCCCAAATCCAAAACGCTTCTGGTCCCAAGCATTTTGGATAAGTGATACACAACCTGTAGTATCAGTCTCATGGGATTATAAAGGTTAATTAAGTCAATGCTTGTAAAATACTGGCACACAGAATAATTTACAACTTACTGGCTGTCATTGTCATTATTTTCCATGCATAGTGGTATCAGTGCTAGATGATTTGGGGGTTCAAAATTTGAAAAATGCCCCCCAGGGGACATTTGTCAATGTCTGGAAGCATTTTTGGTTGTCACAGCTGGGGAGGAGAGAGGCTAACTGGCATCTAATGGGTAAAGGCCAGGGATGCTGCCAAGCATCCTTCAACGAACAAGACACTCCTCACAGTAAAGAATTGTCCAACACAAAATGTCAGTAGTGCCAAGATTGAGAATTCCTGCAGTACAGCTGTCTGGATCTGTAGTTGTCAGCATCTGCAGTAACCTGCGCCTGATGCTTCCCTTTCATTTGCTCTGTAGTATCTTACTGGACTCAATACTCATTTTTCTCTTAACTCTTATCCCAGTACTCCCAATCATTATATTTGCAGGTAGCCTGTTCTCAGGCATTCTTCTTGACCTCTTTGTAGTATAACATATTATCAACCCCTTTAAAGAGTTAAAAGTAAAAATTAAATATTATATAATTTATGGTTCTTGTAGAAAAACTGATATACAAAGAGAGAAAATTTAAATGTTTCACTACCTTTTCCATCTAGAAATAAACACTATTAGAAACTTGGTATATTCCCTTTTATTATTACCCTCCCCTCAGCCTCCCAAAGAAAGAAAAGTTTATAAAATATACATTTTTATTTTTAAGAAACTAAATTCTAAAGACATTTAGTAAAAGGTGAGTTTCCTTTTTTCTCCTGCCTTCATTTCCAGTCCTGTCTCTAGAGATAAGCATTAAACTGGTGCAAGTCTTTTGCCATTTTTTTATACTTTTATATACGCCAGGCATTCCCATGTCAATTTTTTTGTGTGTAAACAGTGCCGTGCTATAAGTACTGTTCTGTGACTGTTTTTTCCCTGTCACTGAATATACTGTACATATATTCCTGTCTGCATATTCTTTGCAATTATGTGGTATTCTGAAATATCTCTATCATGATTTATACAGTCAGCTATTAATGAAGATGGATGCTTATAGTTATAAACAGTGCTTAGGTTCCTTGGATTTCTAGGCATACATATAAATGCTTCTGTAATATACATTTCTGAAAGTGAAACCCTGGGTCAAAAGGCATGTAGATTTAAATTTTGATAGATTGCCAAATTATTCTTCAGAAAAGCTGTACCAGTTTACAGTTTCACCAAGAACCACACTGATGGTTGAGTTATTTTCTTTAGGCTTATTTTAAGCATGGGTTTTTCTCTGAATACTTTAGTCACATATCTTAGTTTTTTATGTGTAATACTCATTTTGTTTGTATTTGAGTAATTTTCACATAAGAAGAGTTAGAGAGATAGGTAAGTAGGCAGATGGATTACATGATTTTTTGTTAATTTTTAATTTCGCTACCTTCAGAGAATATGATCTGTAGGTTCCAGTATTGATTTATTTTTCTGTGTAGCCTTACATAGGATCAGCTTATTTAAGTATTCCATAGGTTTCAAAAATATGTTTATTCTCTGGGTAGAAATTTCTGTGTATATATTTGACAATTAAGCATATTATTTAAATCATTTTTACTTTTTAAGCACTTGATTTATCCATATCCAAAAGACCTATTAGTCTTTTAACGTGGAATTTGCTAACTTCCCATTGTTTCCAAGTTTTTGCCTTAAATATTTTTAAAATTTTTGTTATTTATGTTCTTGCCTCTGTCATATCAAACTTTCATGTCTTTCTAATTTCCTTAAATGAATCACAGAAATAATGCAACTACTTATTGAGCACTTAATGTGTACCAGGCACTGTGCTTAGATTTCACATATATTATCTAATTTATTCCTCATAGTTCATACTCTTATACTAATTCGATATGTAAGAAAACCAAAAATGCAAGTATCTTGCTCACTATAATTATGGAATTATAATAACGTAATTATACAGTATGTATTCTTTCTGGACTGGCTTCTTTCACTTACCAGTATACATTGGTCCATGTCTTTTCATGGCTTGTTAGCTAATTTCTTTTTGGTGCTGAGTGATATTCCATTTTCTGGATGTACCACAGTGTATTTATCCATTCAACTACTGAAGGACATTGTGATTGCTTCCATATCTTGGCAATTATAAACAAAGCTGCTGCAAATACCTGTGTGCAAGACTTTCTGTGGATCTAAGTTTTTAACTTAGCTGGGTAAACATCAAGAAGAGCAATTGCTGGATCATTGCCTTGTGTCCTTACTGCTCTTAAAGATCAGATCCTGCTCTTAAAGATGAGATCTGTTCAGTTTTTTACTTCTTAGAATGGAGTGGCAACTTCCAAGCTCCTTATGTACAGAACCAGAAAAAGCAGACTGAGTTCTCAACTACTTTTTGGTACCCATTTTTTCGGCCTCCTTACTCTGAATGAAACTTGTCTCTTTGAGGGTCATTTCCCCTGTGGCATATAACTCTCTCAAGCGGGAGCTTTTGTTTCACCTCATGAGCCTCAAGGTGGGAGATGGTCTTGGTTACTTTCTCATCCAAGTTTGTGTTAAAGGCTTCTGTTTCTTTGGGTCTTCCAATTTAGAAGGAAATAGAAATCCCTTTAGTTCAGAATAAATTGTTCTAAGAATTAAATATAAAGTTCTCAATTATAGGATAAAATAATTAAGGTCTTATTGATTTGGCTTTTCTAATTGAATTCAATTCTAGGGGAAGAAGTGCTTTGATTTTCCTGCTTCCTTGATTCTAAGATAAGATCTACTCTGAAACATATAATCAAATTTGATTTGAGGGAGGTTAAATAGTACAGTCAATTACATTTTGATTATGAGACATTTGTTTTTAGAAATATTAGGGGGCAAAATTGTATCTTAGAGTTGAGGAAATGGAACAGTTCTCAATCTGTTATGAAAGGTTTACTTTGCCCAGAGGCAACTTAAAAAGAAAACTACAACTAGCATAGAAATAACTCAAGCATAAATGTGGAGCTGAGAACTAGAGAAACACCTGTTACACAGGAGCTGTGTTGAATTGGAATCAGAAATTATCTTTTTCTTGGCCAGATGATACCCTTTGTTGTTTGCAGTGTTGACTTTGATAGAGAACACCCAGTTAGTGTAGTTATGTTTCACATTGTAGTTGGTCTTAAAAAAATAGGAAACCTAATCATTTATCTTTAAATTGCAGTTTTCCCACGTGTTTGATAAGTTTTTAAACTTTTGTAACCATGGATAAAGTTTCTTGAAATACAATACAGTTTGGTTTTAACACCACTTGGGAATTGAATTAGAAAGCTTTGGTCCATAATTTCAGTGTAAGTAGTCTAGGAATTGATGGAAGTTAATTTATTTATATATCCCATGATACGTTAAATACCTCATAGCTGAGTTCAGGGTATACAGCGTATTACTTCACATAGTCAATGTTAAGAATTTAAAAGATAAAGAAAAAATCCAATGGGAAAAAATATAATCTTAACTGAAAGTATAACTATGTATTTGCTAATTTTTAAAGAGTATTAAAAAAGCAGAAAGCATTTAGAAATTTGATGGCAGATAGTACTACAAGGTACACACTGTTTAGAATAAAGGGAGAAACCTTCATCACTGTTTCCAAAAAGGGAAGTTACTCAAAAAAGCGTGGGGTGGGGCGATGGCAAACAGTCCAGTCCTTAACTAGGAAAATCATGAACCACTTTTACTTCTTTTTTTTGAGACAGAGTCTCGCTCTGTCACCCAGGCTGGAGTGCAGTGGTGCGATCTTGGCTCACTGCAGCCTCCGCCGCCCGGGTTCAAGCAATTCTCTTGCTTCAGCCTCCTGAGTAGCTGGGATTACAGACATGTGCCACCATGACCGGGTAATTTTTTTGTATTTTTAGTAGAGACAGGGTTTTGCCACGTTGCCCAGGCCGGTCTTGAACTCCTGAGCTGAAAAGATCCCCCCACCTCGGCCTCCCAAAATTCTAAGATTACAGGCGTCAGCCACCATGCCCAGCCCCCACTTTTATTTCTGATTTTAGTAATTTGAGTCTCTCTTTTATTCTCAATCTAGTTTATGGGTGGTCAATTTCGTTTATTCTTTTGAAGAACTAACAATTGGTTTTGTTGATTGTTATTTTTTTGTTTGTTTTTTTTTTTTTTTTTTGAGACGGAGTCTAGCCCTGTCGCCAGGCTGGAGTGCGTGCAGTGGCGTGATCCCGGCTCACTGCAACCTCCGCCTCCCGGGTTCAAGCAATTCTCCCGCCTCAGCCTCCCGAGTAGCTGGGATTATAGGCACGCGCCGCCACGCCCAGCTAATTTTTGTATTTTTAGTAGAGACAGGGTTTCACCATGTTGGGCAGGATGGTCTCAATCTCCTGACCCCGTGTTCTGCCCATCTCAGCCTCCCGAAGTGCTGGGATTGCAGGCATGAGTCACTGAGCCCGGCTGATTTCTATTCTTTTCTTTCTTTCTTTCTTTCTTTTTTTTTTTTTTTTTTTGAGACAGAGTTTTACTCTTGTTGCCCAGGCTGGAGTGCAGTGACGCTATCTCGGCTCACTGCAACCTCTGCCTCCTGGGTTCAAGCGATTCTTCTGCCTTAGCCTCCCAAGTAGCTGAGATTACAGGCACGCACCACCACACCCAGCTAATTTTGCATTTTTAGTAGAGACAGGGTTTCACCATGTTGGTCAGGCTGGTCTTGAACTCCTGACCTCAGGTGATCCACCCTCCTCAGCCTCCCAAAATGCGGGGATTACAGGCGTGAGCCGCCATGCCCAGCCCGATTTCTACTCTTAAAATCTCTTCTATTTATCTCTGCTCTAATCTTTATTTTTTTCTTGTTTTTGCTAGCTTTGAGTTTAGTTTGCTCTTCTTCTTCTAGTCCCTTATAGTGTAAACATATTGTGTAGCCTTGTAGCTTTCATAAATGGCACCCATTGCTTCTCTCACCGGATGAGGTCCCACTTAGGTAGACAGGAATCAGTCCTTCTGGCCGACCAGAGAGGGTAAAATGTTACGAGTTAGGTCTGCACTCTTCCCGCCCATTTGAAGGGAATGAATTGGGAGTTGGTTTGCTGCCTCCTCCAGACCCAGATAAACTGCAGAAGGGGAGGGACAGGATCACAGAAAAATGTCACAAAAGTTTTACATGTTTTTTTTTTTTTTCTTAATTGGGCATTTGCTTTGTTGCTATAGACATTTGACTGTTTTTCACAGGTCCTGTAAGGTTAATTCAACTAGTTTCTGGTTGTTTTTGGTGTTTCTGTGAGGGAATGAGTCTGCGAGCTTTTTAATTTGCCGTTTTGCTGATGCCACTCAATAATGCTTTTTAAATTATGAAAATAATAGAATCATGTTGAAGGAAGTTTGCAGCCCCCAGAAGTATAACAAACTAAGAAAAAAATCTCACCCTCATTGTACTATCCCCAGAGTAGCCACCATTTTACATTTTACTGTGTTACCTTTCAGACTTTTATTTTTCTTCCTCTCTCTTTTCCCTTTGTCCTGCGTCGTCTTATTCCCCCACTCCTCACCACCAATAAAAAGGGAAAAAACTGAAAAAAAGCCCTCTAAACATGATTTATTGAGTACAGTGTTAATATTTTAATTAGCATACTTTTGTTTTTAATTTCCCAAACATTGTTGTATATACTAAAATTTTCATTTATATTTCTAAAAGGAAATATTATAGATATTTCTGGTAACATCCAAATGCTTGGGTTTTATTCTAGTCTTTCTGCCTTCAAGGTTTAAGAGTTAAGAAAGAATCAGGTGTGGCCAACCCGTGTTACTTTCCTGTGACTTAGACCTTTATGGCATTTTTACATCTAGTAAAAAGTGGCATGCTCTCAGTCAAAGGGGTAAGCCCAAACCATGTGGAAAGGATCTTATTATCTCTTTTGAAAGCTAATATAAAAAGAATTCCTCCTAGACATATAAATATTGTGCCATCGGTTACTTAGGCTAAACATGCCTATTATTCTAAGTGAATTATTAACAATAAATACTTTAACTCTGTGCCATGTTAATTATCATAATATGAATTCTAATTTGTTTTAACCTTAGGTTATATATACCTTGAGGCCATTTATATTTTGTTATACTTGTAATAGTTACTATACACTAGACTATGTATATTGGACTAGACATGGAGAGTCAAAAAAGTGTATGTGATCAGAGTGGAAATCATGCCATAGCTTCCTTCATGTCTACCTCGAGTAGAAGCGGTAGAAAAAGTAATTACCTAAGATTTTTTTGGATTCTGGTTTATGGAGAAGCACCCTTATGTTTAGGCTGATGGGTGGCTAAATTAGAAAGTATTTTTTGTGATTTAGAATTTTATATGGAGATGTTCATTGTGATTAATTATTCTTTGTATTAGCAGATTTTTGCTTTTTGTAGCTGCATGATTTCTTTTGGTCATCCATTATTGTCTATTAATAAAGAAAAACTTTATTTCACTGAAGCAGTGATACATAATCCAACTTGGATTTTTTTTAAAATCACTGAATTTTTTCCTTGGGAATACATTACTGTTAAAAATGTAAATTATTAGATAATTACTTTTAATGAATATAAGTGGTATAATTAGAAGGCTGAAAAGAATCCTTGGAAACATGAGTCTAATTTGATAGCTACGAAACTGAGGACAAGATACTCTTTGTAGCATATTTTCTAATGTCATTTCATTGTCTCACCAAGAAGTACTTGCATAAAGCAAGTTGGATTATAGCATCTGTTGAATATTTAAGGTTGGGTAAAATGGGTGAGTTTAACAGATATTTTCCCTTATTTCTTTTAGGGGAATCTGGATTGGGAAAGTCGACATTAATCAACTCATTATTCCTCACAGATTTGTATTCTCCAGAGTACCCAGGTCCTTCTCATAGAATTAAAAAGACTGTACAGGTATGGATATTAGTATTGTTAATTGATGATAAGCTGGAATAATATTAAGACATACAAAGCACATGTTGTAACTTTTATTATGCTTCCTTAGAGGTAAGATGCAAATTTGCCCTTAGCCAGTGTAAGATGGTAAATATGACTTCATAAAATTAAAAAGAAGAAGGAGTACAGTTAATCAGAAGAATTATCTTGACTAGAACTTTCCAAATTTGTCCTAAGACTCTCCTAGAGATGAAACTGTGACATAGTAACCAATTCTCCTGGAGTTGTACTATCTAGTATGATAGTCATTTGCCAAATGTTTACATCAGTTAAATGAATTAAATTAAAAATGCAATTTCTCTTTTGCTCCAGATACATTTCAAGTGCTCAGCAGCCACATGTGGCAAGTGGCTGCCATTCTATGCAGCACATATATAAAGATTTTCATCATTTCAGAAAATTGCATTGGACAGTGTAGAGAAAACATGATTCATAGAAAAGCTATTGTTATTTAAATACAGTGTTCTATATTAGTCAGTGGGGTAATACCATATCATAGTTGAATGGCAATAGCAATTCTGTAAGACTCCCAAGGTATATGTGATCTAATTTACTGCTTCTCAGTCTTTGCTATGCATTCCAATCCTGGGCATCCTGTTAAATTTAGTTCTTCTAGTAGTTCTGAGATGGGCTGTGTTTCTACATTTCTAACAAGATCCCAGGTGGTGCTGATGCTGCTGGATGGTAGATCACACTTTATAGAGCAAGGGGCTAGACTCTAGATATGCACTTTTTATTAAATAGTACAGCAGCCTGTAGCCGTATATGGCTATTAATCTTTGAAATGTGGGTAGTCTGAATTGTGATGTTCTGCAAATATAAAATATACCACCGATTTCTAAGACTGAGCATGGAAAAAATCTCCATAATTTTTTTATATTGATTGTATACTGCAGTGATCATATTTTGGATGTATCAGGTTAAATAAAATTGATTAATTTCACCTTTTTCCTATTTTAAAAGTGGCTACTAAGAAAATTTTAAATTGCTTATATGATTGACATGGTATTTTTATTTGGCAGCACTGCTCTAAACTGTTGATGAAAAATACTGTTGGTGGCCTCTGCTTGTGTAATATATAGGACATGAGCAGAGAAGAGGCAAGTGAACAGTTCTGGCTGGAGTAGGCTTCATGGAGGCAGTGATGCTTTTAGCTGGATTTGAAGAAGTGGAAGTGATCATCCCAGTGCACAGGATGGAAGGACTGTCTGTATATTCTGGGCAGTAACTCATACATATCAAACTGCAAGATGGAGTTTAGTAACTAGAATCTCAAAGGAGTAATTTTGCGAAGTGAATATCTTATTTCTCCTTTTTAATGTTCCTCTCTATTATAGGATTTTTTTGGTAACCTTCATAGGACTTGAGATTTAAAATTACCTGCAAAATTATGCTGTAAAATCTTGATCCTACCTGCTTATTTATTTTGCCTGACGTGCCTGAAGTGGAGTGGTAGAGCTTTAGAAGTAACTGTTGTGGCTATAAGAGAACATGAATTTATCAAGGGACAGAGTCTGGGAGATGAGATTTTTGGAAAACCCAGACTTAGGACTAAAGGGAGTGAACTATCAGAGAATTGCATGGAAATGTCAGTACGATATGAATCAGAGTAATTGAATATCACATTTTATTCACAAAGGGGGAGATTCAAGAAGCTGGATTGTAAAGTAACAGTAAGGGTTTTCTGGATGTAAGGAATGATAAAAATGTACAATAATACACTTTTTTTTTGAGATGGAGTCTCATTCTTGTACCCAGGCTGGAGTGCAGTGCACGATCTTGGCTTACTGCAACCTCCACCTCCTGGGTTCAAGCAATTCTCCTGCCTCAGCCTCCCAAGTAGCTGGGATTACAGGTGCCCACCACCACACCTGGCTGATTTTTGTATTTTTAGTAGAGATGGGATTCCACCATGTTGGCCAGGCTGGTCTCAAACTCCTCAGCTCATGTAATCCATACGCCTTGGCCTCCCAAAGTGCTGGGATTACAGGTGTGAGCCACCACACCCAGCCAACAATACACCTTTATGTTTGTCTCCCAGAAGGGAGTTTTAGTAACGTGGTGAAGATGAATGATGGCAGATATAGGAAGTTTGAAATAGAATAGATGATGAGAAGAGGGAGGACTGACAATACAGAGTATTGCCACCCCATGTATATCCAAGAACACTGCATTGGTAAAGGATATCCATAGAGGAGCTAAGGGTACCTTCAGTGTCTTGAATTATTAATAATGATGACATCATCCCATATGTATTGTGGATTTATCTCATATGTATTGATTTTATATATGATAGAAATGCTATAAACAAAAATTTGTTTAACCAAAATACCACATTCACCTAGACAATTTGAAGAAACAGAAATTTATTCTAAAATTCCCTAGTTTAAAAACAACTTGATATGTGTTCTGAAATATATTATTATGTATTAATAAAAACTCACATATTACCTTAGTAATATTGCTAAAAGGCAGTTTCTTTTAGATTTTATGAGCTTCAGTAGTAGCTAATCTACAGTTTCTTGTCTAGTATTTAAATAGATAATATAAAGATGAACACTCTTTCATAGAAAGGTCATCCTTCAGTAACTGCTTTGGGAGATTTATGGGGTTTTATTTTTTTTGAAACAGAGTCTTGCCCGGTCGCCCAGGCTGGAGCGCAGTGGCACAATCTCGGCTCACTGCAAGCTCCGCCTCCCGGGTTCACGCCATTCTCCTGCCTCAGCCTCCCCAGCAGCTGGGACTACAGGTGCATGCCGCCATGCCAGGCTAATTTTTTTATCTTTAGTAGAGACGGGGTTTCACCGTGTTAGTCAGGATGGTCTCGATCTCCTGACCTTGTGATCTGCCCGCTTCCACCTCCCAAAGTGCTGGGATTACAGGCGTGAGCCACCGCACCCAGCCGAGGATTTATTTTCTTTATTTAAAAAAATATTTTTGGCCAGGCGCAGTGGCTCACGCCTGTAATCCCAGCACTTTGGGAGGCCGAGGCGGGTGGATCACAAGGTCAAGAGATCGAGACCATCCTAGCTAACACGGTGAAACCCCGTCTCTACTAAAAATACAAAAAATTAGCAGGGCGTGGTGGCGGGCGCCTGTAGTCCCAGCTACTCGGGAGGCTGAGGCAGGAGAATGGCATGAACCCGGAGGCGAACCCGGAGGCGGAGCTTGCAGTGAGCTGAGATCATGCCACTGCACTCCAGGCTGGGTGACAGAGCGAGACTCCGTCTCAAAAAAAAAAAAAAAAATACAAAAAGTAGCCGGGTGTGGTGACATGCTCCTGTAGTCCCAGCTACTCAGGAGGCCGAGGCAGGAGAATCACTTGAACCCAGGAGGCAGAGGTTGTAGGGAGCCGAGATTGCAACGCTGCACTCCAGCCTGGCGACAGAGGGAGACTCCGTCTCAAAAAAAAATTAATGTTTTCCTCTATGTTATTTTAGGAATCAAGCAACATGGGAGGTGTTGAGACAGCACAAGCGGGCAGGGAGGAGCGTTGAAGAGCAGGCAGGCTCGCTGGGAAAGCGGAGGTCGGGGACAGGGAGACAGCGTGGGATGGAGAGGGCATCTGAGGGGAGACGGTCAGAGGTCGACTGCTGTCCTCAAGCCCTTTTTCAAAGTCATCCCACCTCTTTGAAAGGCTCATTTGCCATTTAACAGCTGTTGACGTTTCTTTAAAAATGAATCTGAGGGTATGTGGCTGGGAAGCAGGCACCAGCATCAAGAGGCAGAGGACAAACAAGGTCCCTGGGCTGAGGATCCCACCCTGGGCAAAGCCTGTAGTGCATAGAAGTGGCGGGAAACTTAGGGGTCCAAGAGGCTGACCTACAGGGAGCTGGCCATTTGCACCCACCCTTCCTATCCTAGGCAAAAGAGGGAGCGAGCTGAGGTAAAGTTAGAACTAGGCTTCTTTAAAGTAACAGATTAAGCACTATTTAATTTCTGGTCTAGACCTCAAAGGAGTTAAAACAGGTGATTTCCACCAGATTTTCTTGGTTCTGGGTTTGTTCCATGAGAAGCTGTAGGTTCAATCCTGTACAAGTTCTAGAACCTTCCGGAACCTGCAGAACCTATTTGGGCAGTTGAAGTGAGTGGAGAAAGCAGGAATCTCAAAATATCTCAATATGAAGACACCACTCCTTCCCCTCTCTTCACTGCCCTCACAAAAGCAGGTCCTCCACGCCACTGCTGCCTACTCACACCGCTGCACTCTCACTAATAAGGCCATTTCTTTCTTGACTTCGCTGTGCTCTTGGCCCAGTGACAGTGATCAGAAATAATCAGGGGCGATCAAGCCCATGCTACCCTGGACAGGGGGTAATATTTCCATTGAGGGCCTCTCTAGTGGCTTTCCCTCTCTGAGCAGCGGGGACATGTGACAGCACAGGGCAGCCCGTGGGGGTTATGGCGGGGTGAGAAATCTTCCTGTGGCTGTGGAATTCTTGATAAGGTGGCGAACGTGTTGTGCAGTGGCATCCTGAGGGCTGCCCGCCCTCCCAGGCGCCCAGGGCGGGCAGGCAAGCTGCACGCTGTCATCGCCTAAGTCAGCGGCATTGGGCACTCTTAATTACAGGGGAAGCAGAATCTGATTGCATTTCTGTGCCAGCTCCTGACTTCGTTTGCATTGTCCTTTTTTTTTCTTTTTCATACCTCAATGTACTAAATCTGAAAGATGTTTAGAGCTAGATTTTCACCAGCACGTATTCAGAAATGAATACGGGGATGAGGAATATCATTCATTTATCCTTGCATTGGCTGAGCAAATATTTATTGAGTGCCTGTTGTATCCAGGTGCTGTGCTTGGTGATAGGGGGATTCTCAGATTTGTTTTCTAAGGTGAAATAATTGGAATTTGGAGCCACTGATATTTTCCATGATCATCACAAGGGAGAGGGGAGCTATAATATTTGGATATCATAATGTGGTAAACTGGAAGTAATCAGCCCAGAAGACGCTGCCTGGTTCCTGGAAGGTGAAGATTGAGATGCAGGCCCATAGTTGGGAAGCTCTGCCTTAGATCTGGGCTTTGTGTTGTTTCCATTAATGAGGCATAAGGTGGAAAGGTGGTGCCTGTCATCTGGGCTTGACAATCTCAAATGCCCTAGAAGAAAGTCTTCCCCTCCTATGCCCATTTCTCTTTCTCTTTTCTTTTTTTTATTATACTTTTAAGTTCTAGGGTCCATGTGCACAACGTGCAGGTTTGATACATAGGTATACATGTGCCATGTTGGTTTGCTGCACCCATCAACTCATCATTTACATTAGGTATTTCTCCTAATGCTATCCCTTCCCCAGCCCTCCACCTCCTGTCAGGCTCCCGGGTGTGATGTTCCCCGCCTTGTGTCCAAGTGATCTCATTGTTCACTTCTCACCTATGAGTGAGAATATACAGTGTTTGGTTTTCTGTCCTTGTGATAGTTTGCTGAGAATGATGGTTTCCAGCTTCATCCATGTCCCTGCAAAGGACATGAACTCATCCTTTTTTATGGCTGCATAGTATTTCATGGTGTATATGTGCCACATTTTCTTAATCCAGTCTATCATTGATGGACATTTGGGTTGGTTCCAAGTCTTTGCTACTGTGAATAGTGCCACAATAAACATACGTGTGCATGATTTATAGTAGCATGATTTATAATCCTTTGGGTATATACCCAGTAATGGGATGGCTGGGTCAAAAGGTATTTCTAGTTCTAGATCCTTGAGGAATCGCCACACTGTCTTCCACAATGGTTGAACTAATTTACACTCCCACCAACAGTGTAAAACTGTTCCTATTTCTCCACACCCTCTCTAGCATCTGCTGTTTCCTGACTTTAATGATTGCCATTCTAACTGATGTGAGATGGTATCTCGTTGTGGTTTTCATTTGCATTTCCCTGATGACCAGTGATGATGAGCATTTTTTCATGTGTCTGTTGGCTGCATAGGTGTCTTCTTTTGAAAAGTGTCTGTTCATATCCTTTGCCTACTTTTTGATGGAGTTGTTTTTTTCTTGTAAATTTGTTTGAGTTCTTTGTAGATACTGGATATTAGCCCTTTGTCAGGTGGGTAGATTGCAAAAATTTTCTCCCATTCTGTAGGTTGCCTGTTCACTCTGATGGTAGTTTCTTTTGCTGTGCAGAAGCTCTTTAGTTTAATTAGATCCCATTTGTCAATTTTGGCTTTTGTTGCCATTGCTTTCGGTGTTTGTCATGAAGTCCTTGCTATGGGTCTTAAAATCTCTATGGAATCTAAATTTGGTGTCAAGTTAGCTTATTTTTTATTGGTCTACTTTGAGTGTAAATGAAAACAGATGAATGCTACCTTCCTTAACAATAGTCTTTTGTTAATTTTAAATCTGAAATTTTTGTTTTGGTAAAATTTTGAATTTATATTAAAGCTTTTTTAGCTTTATGCCCCCTAGCTATTAATAGAAGCAAACTCTTGCTGTTTATTTATGACAGAACACACATGCAGGACTTGAAAGATGTTACTAACAATGTCCACTACGAGAACTATGGAAGCAGAAAACTGGCAGCTGTGACTTACAATGGAGTTGATAACAACAAGAATAAAGGGCAGCTGACTAAGTAAGTATATATTTTTTCTCCAAAAAAGGTATTCTTTCTGTAGTCAATAATCATATTGTTTCATTTTCATTAAATTTCTCCTGGCTCCTCAGTAGAAAATTTGGATAATGTTCTCTATGCACAACAGCATAAATGTATATTGTTATGCTTTGTTAATAGTAGACACTTTTTTGAATGAACCATTTTGATGGAGTTTTCACTTACAGATTATGTGGAAACAAAGGACAGGCTTTAATAAAAGGAATATGTAGATGAATTTATTCTTGCTTACCTTCTCTAATCCTATTCCAGGGAGTAAATTAGCTGGAGTTTTGGTTTCTTTTTTTGGTTATTAGAGTGGTGTAAGTGACTATGAATTGTGTAGCTTTGTCCTATTGAGCTTGTATCTCAAGCTGTGGTGTTTTTATGTGGGGGTCGAAAAAAGAGATGTGTGAGGAAGCTGGTAACCATGTCTGTGCCCTCCTTTTAAAAAATTTGTCATTATTGAAGATCATAATTACACCATATGTCACTTAACAATGGGGCTATTCTGAGAAATGTGTCATTGGGCTATTTCGTCATTCTGTAAACATCATAGAGTGTACCTACACAAACCTAGATGGTAGAGCCTTCTACACACCTAGGTTATGTGCTCTAGCTATTGCTTGTAGGCTATAAATCTATATAGCGTGTTACTGTACTGAATGTCATAGACAGTTGTAACATAATGTTAAGTATTTGTGTATCTAAACATAGAAAAGGTGCAGTAAAATACAGTATAAAAGATTAAAAATGGGATATGTGTATAGGGCACTTGTTGTGAATGGAGCTTGCAGGACAGGAGCTTGCTCTGGATGAGTCAGTGAGTGAGTGGTGAGTGAATGTGAAGGCCTAGGACATTACTGTACACTACTGTGGACTTTATTAACACTGTACACTTGGGCTATACTAAATTTATTTTTTAAATTTGTCTTTAATAATCTTATTTTGCTGTAACTTTTATAACTTAAATTTTAAAAAACTTTTTGATTCTTTTGTAGTAACACTTAGCTTAAAACACAAACACATTGAACAGATGTACAAAAATATGATCTTTATAATATTTATTCTATAAGCTTTTTTCTATTTTAAAAGTTCTTTCTTTTTTCCCTTCAAACTTTTTTTTTTCTTAAAAACGAAGACGTAAACTTACACGTTAGCCCAGGCCTACTCAGAGTCAAGATCATCAAGATGCTACCGGGCAGTAGGAATTTTTCAGTTCCTAGGGGCCACCATCATATATGCAGTCCCTTGTTGACTGAAATGTCATTATGCAGTGCATAGCTGTATTACAAAATCATTTTAAATAATGGGCATTTGTAGCTAGGTGTTAGCTACCATTAGACGAAAATCCTAAAGGATCAACTATATAAATACGAATGACAAGTTCTGAAAGTAGCTATAGTGTTTTCCATAGTGGTTAACATGCCTTATAATGGAATAAAAAAATGTCCCTTCTTAAATATTTAAAATACAAGATTCTGTTTGAGGTAAGCCTCAGTACGTGAACAAAAGGAAGGCTTTTTATCTCTTTTGAGCAAAATGTTTATTGAACAACTTTGGCAAAAAATGTAAGGATCCACCATAGTGAATATTGTTCATAAAATCCTAATTCACTTCAAACTCATTATCATTAACGATGAACTTTTTAACTCATTAAAAGAAACACATACACAAAGCTACTGATAATTTTGTATGTTAAAATACTACCAGTACATATTTTTTGTTAAATATATGTACTTATTCAATATATTTTTTAAATGTTTGTTATGTTGTAGATATAAGGAATTGTTTATTTGTCCCCATGTCTCAAATATAAGGCTTTTTTTTTTTTGAGACAGAGTCTCACGCTGTTGCCCAGGCTGGAGTGCAGTGGTGCGATCTTAGCTCACTGCAAGCTCCACCTCCGGGTTCACGCCATTCTCCTGCCTCAGCCTCCCGAATAGCTGGCAATACAGGCGCCTGCCACCAGGCCCAGCTAATTTTTTGTATTTTGTTCAGTGGAGACGGGGTTTCACCATGTTAGCCAGGATGGTCTCGATCTGCTGACCTCGTGATCCGCCTGCCTCGGCCTTCCAAAGTGCTGGGATTACAGGCATGAGCCACTGCGCTTGGCCATATAAGGCTTTTTAAAGTAGTGCTGTTGGATGCAGGTAAGATAATTCAGAGAAAAATTGTAAACTTTACAGTATCATGAAGTTTTTTTCTAAATATACAAAATTCTACTGTGTGGATACATGAGTTAAACTATATCCCAGGTGAAAACATAAATAGTAGAATTCTACTGGAAATATATCTCTTAAAGAGAGGAATGATGACCATACTTTGCCTATGCAAATATAAAAAATGTTTGCATTGCTAAAACGCAAATTGCTCCAGGAGCTAGCAAAATATTTTATGTTAATAATAAGTAGGAAAATAAACATTTTAGAAAATAAAGCCAAGTGGGGAATGGCTGTAATTGGAATAGATATTTGATACGATTTGATAAATTAGATTGTTACTACTTCATTGAATAACACATACTGAATCTGAAAGAAATCACTTAGAAGTTTTATCGATTGGTTGTATCTTACATTGTCTTGAAAATGTTAGCAATTTCAAAAAATATTTTTGTTAAATTTTTCTTTAAAAATCATTAACAACTTATGGTTCTTTAGCTGATGTAAGGTGCTTTTCCTCATAGCTCAGTACATATCCATGAATAACTGAAAAGAAAGACTAATGTTTAAATAAGTGAAGTAAGCAGGTGTGAGTTTAGGCTTCTTTTAATGTTCTTTTTGTATTGCTCTCACGTGACTCTCCATAGCAATGTATTCTTTGATAGTGGTAGTGAGGAGGGGTTGAGAGTTGCAAGAATTTTGGCATGGAAGGTGAACCTATTGAAAATTTATAGTTAAATTGATCTTTGGCAATGTATGCTTCACAAAGTGCTAATCACACTTTGGTTTTAAAATATAAGCCAAACTTTTTAAAGATGTTAGACATTGAATAGTAAAATACATTCATGTGCCACATAACGATGTTTCGGTCAATGACTGACTGCATATACGACAAATTCCCATAATATTATCATGCCATACCATAGAGCCTAAGTGTGTAGTAGGTTATACTATCTAGGGTTGTGTAAGTACACTCTGTGTTGTTCGTGCAATGACAAATGAATTTCTCAGCATGTATCCCAATTTTTAAGCAATGCATGACTGTAGATCAATTTATCTTATGTTTAAATTTTCTGAGGTAGTTTTGGGCAAACTGTAGAGTCTATTGAAACATGAAATAAAAAACCAAACACCGCATATTCTCACTCATAGGTGGGAATTGAACAATGAGAACACATGGACACAGGACGGGGAACATCACACACTGGGGCCTGTTGTGGGGTGGGGGGAGGGGGGAGGGATAGCATTAGGAGATATACCTAATGTTAAATGATGAGTTAATGGGTGCAGCACACCAACATGGCGCATGTATACATATGTAACTAACCTGCACGTTGTGCACAGGTACCCTAGAACTTAAAGTATAATAAAAAAATAAAAAATTAAAATTAAAATTAAAATTAAAAATGTAAGTGTAGATGTCTGAAAATGTGCCTTTCTGTTATGTCAAGAGCCCTAGAACAATTCTATTTTAGAGGGACTTAAAACAAGAATTAGATTGTGTGGTTTAAATCTGAAGAATTAGATTGTGTGGTTTAAATCTGAAGACTAGATGAACTTGTCCAGTCAGCTATAATTCATCTCAAGGTTAGATCTAGAGAAGTGGATGCTATTCTTAGCAGCTATCCAGTAATTACCTGTTTCTGACAAAGAAAGTATGGAGCCATCTAAGTGCTTCTTATATCCTTAGAGAATGTATCTTGCATCCCTGTATGGAGGTTAGTGTATGGTTGGAAGCCACAGAAACGGTAACCTCTGAAATCAAAGAAAATTCAGCAAGGGTTTGTAAAGGAAAGGGCAGAAGAGTTGGTCATATCCAGATTGCTGATCTCTTAAAGGAAGTGATCCCCAATAAGAGAAGGGCCATCTCTTTTTTTTTCTTTTTGCTAAACATCCTTCTTGAAGTTTTATCTGCCTCCTTTTTCCTTGATCTTCCTTGTACCCTTTACTTAAAGTCACATTTGATTGGTGACTCTTTTTCAGAACTGATGTCTATCATTGGTACCAATTGTGACAATAGATACCTTGCTCCAAGTTGGGGGCAAACCCTAGTCTCTCTTTCCTTTATGTTAATTTATTTTTCTCTTCTTTATAGCCTTCTCCATCAGTCATCTTGGGAAAACTTTATAAGTGAATGACTAAAAATACAAGTTTCAAAGGTAGATCCTCAGAATTCTTGATACATGACAAGAGTTTTCATTTTGTGACCTATTAACCACTGGAGCAAAAGTATGTAAATCTACTTGCTTACTATGTTCTTTAGGAAAGACCACCGCACATAATTTAAATGAAACATGATTGTCTTTTATTACACTCCAAATGTGGGTCAGGTGTAATGCAGCAAAGTAGAACTTGACTAGGTCATCCTTCTGTGGTGGCTCTAATTTTATTGGTCACATGAAGGGGTGTGGCTTGCAAGAATTTTAACGTTATAAAGACAACCCTAGAAGAAGCTAAATCTTTGGGGATTTAGTTTCATATTCAGGTTATGTTGTAACCATTTTCTTTTTCTTGTTTTACTAGGCTTTTTCCATTACTTTGTCTGGGTTTTTAATTTCGCTGGTAGGTTTGTGAGCTTTACTACTATATGTGTGTGGGTAGGAGTTTCCTATTAAAAAGCAGGCAGGCAATGATATAACTGAAATGGTTTTTCCAGCCATTTAATAAAAGGTTTTACTTGGAACAAAATAGTAAATGTGAAGACAAAAAGTGATCTCCCTACATTTTCTATATTGTAAGCACAATTGTTTGTTTTGATTTTTTAAAAATTAATCAAGATGACTAGAAGTGAGGTGTTAGTTTAAAAATTAAAAATTTGAAAGATAATTTTTACTGGTGAGAGACTTCAAAAAATTCATTTTAAATATGCATGAATGAACATTTTTCACGGTATTTGAGTATATTTGGTCAGATTATTTTTACAAGGCTAAAATCTTACAGTATCTTAGCTGTTAGATATTGCAGATTTCTTTTAGAAAGTACACACATTTAGCAGGTTTAGAACTTTGAACAGACTTTCAGAAGACAATCGCACAACATATTTATTTTCATAGTGATTTAGTGTAATGATTATGAAAGTAATTTGGGAAATAAATTAGCTTTAGCAAATTTTACTGTAATTTTTTTTATTTAGGGCACATACCTTAGTAATTTAATTGTGAAAGCTATGCGTTTGCCTTTAATTGAAGCTTTTAGCATGCTTTACTTTAAATGTGCTAAATCACTAATTTTTGTTCCTTTAGATATGATACAGTTGAAAGCATGTAAGGCGGGGGATTGTTTTTCTAAAGACATAGCAGTTTTACTATACAGGGATTTTTAATATTTAAATTTTGAATTTAAAAGAAGATTTTTTTCTTTTTCTTTGAGATAGAGTCCTGCTCTGTCACCCAGGCTGGAGTTCAGTGACACAATATTGGCTCACTGCAACCTCTGCCTCCTGGGTTCAAGCAATTCTCCTGCCTCAGCCTACCAAGTAGCTGGGATTACAGGTGTGCACCACCATGCCCAGCTAATTTTTGTATTTTTAGTAGAGATGGGGTTTCACCATGTTGGCCAGGCTGGTTTCGAACTCCTGATTTTGTGATCTGCCTGCCTTGGCCTCCCAAAGTGCTGGGATTACAGGTGTGAGCCACTGTGCCCGGCCAAAAAGAAGATTTTGAAACATCATTGCATGCTTTCTCTGCAGTCTCTTATTTTTCCCCTAGAGTTATTTAAATAATAATTTAGGTGGCAAAATTACCTGCTCCTTCCCAAGGATAAAGTAAAATAAACATTTTATAGATAAGTTATGTAAGTAGGAATATTTAATTCTCTCTGATTTCTAATTTAATGTATTTACAATCACAGTTATATTGTTGAATAATATTAAGTTGCTTAAATACACATATTCAGTTACTAAAGGTTAGCAATTAAAAATCATTTTTAGATTATTTCTTTTCTAGAGCTTAAAAAAGATTTTTGGGGTGGTAGGGGACAGTGGGAATTATAGACTCCTTGAAAATCTAGCAAAAGCTTTGGACCCTTTCACCAGAAGAATACTGGCAAACACAAACACACATTTGGTATGCTGTTTCAGGGCAGTCACTGACACTGGGTGTGCTCAGGAGATCAGAAGCAACTATATTAAAAACACCTGCCATTAATATGAGGCATATATTATTAAGAAGGATCTCATCAACTTTTAACAAAAAAAAAATTTACACTTGAAAATGTATTTCAGCTGACTCCAGTTTTTGTTTTGTTTTTTGAGATGGAGTCTCACTCTGTCACCCAGGCTGGAGTGTGGCGGGGCAATCTCGGCTCACTGCAACCTCCACCTCCCAGGTTCCAGCGATTCTCCTACCTTAGCCTCCTGAGTAGCTGGGACTACAGGCATGTGCCACCACACCCAGCTAATTTCTGTATTTTTAGTAGATATGGGGTTTTCTCATGTTGGCCAGGCTGGTCTCTAACTCCTGGCCTCAGGTGATCTGCCTGCCTCGGCCTCCCAAAGTGCTGGGATTATAGACATGAGCCACTGCGCCTGGCCTGGACTTCCTCTTCTCAGCGCCCTGCTGACATGTCCTGATGATGACTGTTCCTGCAGAGGTCTGCAGAACCCCCAGTTACCTGGCCCTGAGATCATGGAGTGCTCCCTTGCCCAGGCTCCCTTGCCCAGGGAGGCCCCGCCTCTCCTGACATGCTGGAGGGGACCTGCCTTAACTTTCTCGGGTACCCTCTCCTCCCCTCCCAGGTCTCCCGATTCCTGTTGGTGCAACCCCAGAGCTGCTGCACAGCGGAAGAGGCCTTGGCACACCCCTTCTTCCTGCAGTACGTGGTGGAGGAAGTGCGGCACTTCAGCCCCCGGGGGAAGTTCAAGGTACGAAGCCTCCTGACCCAGACCCTGAGGTAGTTGCCGCCAGCTCCCCAAGTGCAAACCTCTAAGCCGTCTCCTCTCCCAGGGGTCCTTATACCCCGCGGGTTTCCAGAGTACCCACCCCTCCCCTCCCAGCCGCCCTGTGATGGCTTCAGAGATGGCAGGTGTCAGCCCACTGGCTCCGTCCCTGAGGATGCTGGCCAAGTGGGAAGTGGGGGACACTAGGAGGGCCCCGCAGAAGCCATCGAAGGCTTCGTGGCAAACGAGCCCAGAGAGTCCTGTGCTGGAGGGGCAGGGCCTGGCAGGGCGTGGGCTGCAGCCCAGCTTCTCTGCCTGGCCCTGCAGGTGATCGCTCTGACTGTGCTGGCTTCAGTGCTGATCTACTACCAGTACCACCGGGTGAACCCGGTGACCCGGGAGATCGTCATCCGAGACCCACCCCTACACCCTCCAGCCTCTGCGCCGGCTCATCGACGCCTATGCTTTCCGAATCTATGGCCCCTGGGCGAGGAAGGGGCAGCAGCAGAACTGGGCAGCCCTTTTCAAGAACACACCCAAGGCCGTGCTCCTCTCCCTGGCCGAGGAGGACTACTGAGGGGCTGGCCAGTCAGGGAGGGCTGGGGGGCAGGTGGGGAGGGGAAGCCACGGAAATACAAGTCAAAGGGGTAAGATGCATGCAGGCCTCTGCAGAAGGAGCGCTTGGCCCTGGCCAGGAACCCCTGGAGCTGAGGCCACGATCGCTTCTGTGCACAAGGGAAGCAGGTTTTCCTACCACACAGCAATACCTACAGGCTGGGGCAGGCCCTGGGTTGGCAGAGATCACACGTGGCCTGAGAACCAGGAACCCCCTGCTCCTCCACTTCCTAGATGAGCCGCCATCTCCGTTTCTCTTTAGGGGAGGCCCAGAGTTACTGACACTAGGGCCGTCTTCCCTTAGGGTCCCAGGGTGAGGATGAAAGACACAGAAATGTCTGAGATACACAATCGCAGGAGATTTTATTGACCCCATGACATCCAGTGACAGTGTGGGAGCAGGCTACTCTCCAGGGACATGTTTCTGGAGGCATATGGAGAAGGGGGCCCAGGTGAGGTGGCTCACACCTGTAATCTCAGCACTTTGGGAGGTCGAGGTGGGACGATCGCTTGAGGCCAGGAGTTCGAGACCAGCCTGGGCAACATAGTGAGATCCTATCACTACAGAAATTCAAAAAATTAGCCAGGCATGGTGGTGCATACTTGTAGTCCCAGCTACTCAGGAGGCTGAGGTGGGAGAATTGCTTGAGCCCAGGAGCTCAAGGCTGCAGTGAGCTGTGATCTCCACTGCGCTCTAGCCTGGGCAACAGAGCAAGACCCTGTCTCAAAAAAAAAAAAAGAAAAAGAAAAAAGAAATGGAAGGGGAAGCTTCTGATATTTCTCTTTCTGGAGTACTGTTTGCTTTGTGATTCCCACAATGCACTGCTTCACCTAGTACATCATTCGGTTCTCCCAGGCCTTTTAGGACTGAACTGTGCTTTAGATAGTTACATGCCTGCCTGTTACACAGTGGAAACTAGTTTTCTTCAGAGGGACACGAAATGACAGATGAGGCCATGAAGAAAGCATTCTCCTTCCACAGCAACTAGCTAGGAAAGCGAACACACAAGTGATCCTCCTGCCTCAACCTCCCTACTAGCTGGGACTACCAGTGTGTGCTACCATGAAGGGCTAATTTTTTTTTTTAATTTTTAGTAGAGATGAGGTGTGTGTTGCCCAGGATGGTCTTACTCCTGGGCTCAAGTGATCCTCCCACCTCAGCCTCCCAAATTGTTGGAATTACCGTTGTGAGCCACTGCATCCAGCCCTTCATCACATATCTAAAAACAATCACCAGAGGTAGATGTAGCAGGTGTTATTGTTATTAACTCCATTTAACAGATGAAAAACACTGAAGCAAATGGAAGTGAAAAATTGGGCTTTTAAAATGGAGTTTTGGCCGGGCATGGTGGCTCATGCCCAAAAGTGGTAGAGACTGAGAAATAATTAGCATTAACTCATCAACAAAATTCAAGTATTTTGATTGTTAATACTTTCAGCTTGATCCCAGTGCAAGAAAACAATCTGAAATGGGAACAAATATTTATTTTTTTTTAAAGTTCACTACTATATGGATTTTTTTTTTTTTTGAAACGGAGTCTCACTCTGTCACCCAGGCTGGAATGCAGTGGTGCAATCTCAGCTCACTGCAATCTCCGCCTCCCGAGTTTACGCCATTGTCCTGCCTCAGCCTCCCGAGTAGCTGGGACTACAGGCGCCCGTCACCACGCCTGGCTAATTTTTTGTATTTTTAGTGAAGATGGGGTTTCACCGTGTTAGCCAGGATGGTCTCAATCTCCTGACCTCGTGATCCGCCCACCTCGGCCTCCCAAAGTGCTGGGATTACAGGCGTAATCCCACCTGTAAAGCCACCACACCTGGGCCATTATATGGAAAAGTTTCAAGAAACTGAAACATTCAACAATAAAAAATTAATTGGTAAGTTATGTTTTTTACCTAAAGGAATATTGTGTAGTCATTTTAAAAAACTTTATAAATTTCTAATTGTAAGAGAAGATAGTAATGATATACTAAGTGAAAAAAATTAAAAATTTACTTCATTTAACCTCAACTGTTATGTTTTCTTTCTTTCTTTCTTTTTCTTTCTTTCTTTCTTTCTTTTTCTTTCTTTCTCTCTCTCTTCTTTCTCTCTCTCTCTCTCCCTCCCTCCCTCTCTCTCTCTTTCTTTCTTTTTTTTTTTTTGATGGAGTCTTGCTATGTATCCCAGGCTGGAGTGCAGTGGTGGGATCTCGGCTCACTGCAACCTCTGCCTCCTGGGTTCAAGTGATTCTCCTGCCTCAGCCTGGCAAGTAGCTAGTACTACAGGCACGTGCCACCAAGCCCAGCTAATTTTTGTTGTTGTTTTATTTTTAGTAGAGACGGCGTTTCACCGTGTTTGTCAGGCTGCTCTCCAACTCCTGACCTCAATCTGAAATGGGAACAAAGATTTATTAAAAAAAAAAAAGTGCTACTATATGGATTACAGGTGTGAGACACTGCACCCAGCCTTGGTTTTTTGTTTTGTTTTTTTGAAACGAAGTCTCACTCCGTCACCCAGGCTGATGATCCACCTGCCTAGGCCTCAGATGATCCACCTGCCTAGGCCTCCCAAAGTGCTGGGATTACAGGCATGAGACACTGCGCCCAGCCTCTTTTTTTTTTCTTTTTTTTAAAATAGAGATGGGGTTTTGCTACGTTGACTAGACTGGTCTCAACCTCCTGACCTCAAGCAATCCTCCCATCTTGGCCTCCCAAAGTACTGGGTTAACAGGTGTGAGTTACTGTGCCAGCCCTCACCTGTTTTTTTTAAATGCAGAAACATTACTGGAAAGGCTGCAGTGAGCTGTGATCATACCACTGCAGTTTAGGAGTGTGAGACCTTCCTAGGTAACAGGGTGAAACCCCACCTCTACAAAAAGTACAATTTTTTTTTTTTTTGTAGATGGAGTCTCACTCTGTCGCCCAGGCTGGAGTGCAGTGGTGTCATCTTGGCTCACTGCAACCTCCGCCTCCTGGGTTCAAGTGATTCTCCTGCCTCAGCCTCCTGAGTAGCTGGGATTATAGGCACCTGCCACCTTGCCCAGCTAATTTTTGTATTTTTACTAGAGACGGGGTTTCATGTTGGCCAGGCTGGTCTTGAACCTCACCTCAGGTGACCCACCTGCCTCGGCCTCCCAAAGTGCTGAGATTACAGGCGTGAACCATTGGCCTCTACCCTTCTCTTTACTAGAGCAAAGGAATATTTCCATTTCTAGTTACCTAGTTACCCACTAGGTCAGGGAAGACAGAAACTGCTTTTAATATTCTTTTGCTGCTTGAAGAATTAACTCAATCATATGCCCTGACCAATTCACATGGAATTAAACTCCTGGGTCTAGCAAATGGTGTTTATTTCACTAGGGGGAGGAGAAACCTTTATGAAGTAGGTCTACAGCGGAGCCAACCTTATCTGTTGCTATAATTTTGCCCCAGTTTTTAAAGGCCTCATTAAAGATATCAAGGCCATGATTCCACAGGGATTTATAAACTCATCAGGGACATGTCAGGGAATGAGATAATGAAGACAACACACTATTTGGTGAGTTATCGCCGGAGCCACACTGTATTTGGCTGTGAGCACTGTATATCGTGGCTTAATTAGAAACACCCGTTAACCAGGAGCCAGACTGACATTTTTATCTTGCGCCCATACTTCTAAATTATTCCTCAAATGGAATATGTCGTAGCAGCCAAGATATCCAACCCTGACATTACACGCATGGACCCAACCAGCCAATAGGCCTGGAAGAAAATCAGACAGTAGCGTCCTGGACCATTCTCTTATTTATTTAACGTGTGTTCATTCATTCCCCAGAGTGTTGTTGGAATCAATTAAAGATAAAAGACACAAAGCCATGCCATGCAGAATAAATGAGATAGATAGATAGATAGATGATAGAAATAGATAGATAGATGCTAGATAGATAGATAGATAGATATGTATAGATGGAGAGAGAGAAACAGATGGATAGGCATAGAGAGATAAGTAGAAGATAGATAGATATATAGATAGATAGATAGATATAGGTGGAGAGAGAAACAGTTGAATAGGAATAGATAGATGGATAGATAGATGATAGATAGAGGAATAGATGGATACATAGATGATAGATAAATATAGATACATATAGATGGAGAGAGAAAAATGGATAGATATATGGATAGATGGATAGGGAGAGATACATAGATATAGATCAATAGATGGATACATGATAGATAAATAGATATGTATAGATGGAGAGAAATGGATAGATAGATGGATAGGGATAAATAGAAGTAGATGGATACAGAGATGGATAGACAGATATAGACAGATGTGAAAAATACATATATATGTGTATGTGTAGTTATAAATATGTATATATGTAGTAACAAATATGTGTATATGTATTTATACACGTGTGTGTGTGTGTGTGTGTGTGTGTGTGAACTCTCCATGCATCCTGGGTTGTCAGAGACAAGAAGGAGCCCAGCAGAAAGTACCCGCTGAGGGAGACATGAAAACTCTGAATTTTGAATGTGTTCCCCACACCACGCAGCTCCATAGCACAGCATAAAACATTTGGCATTTGGAAGCACTTTGTGCTTTTCTGTTGGTTTTGGGTTAAATTCTGTTTGTAGTTCTATGTATTTAGGGGGTGCAAGTGCAGGTTTCTTAGGGAATATATTGTGGAGTGGTGAAGTCTGGGCTTTTCATGTACCCATCGCCCAAATAGTGAACATTATACCCAATAGGTACTTTTTCAGTCCTCACCCCCTCCCAGCCTCCCACCTTTCATAGTCTCCAATGTCTATTATTCCCTCTGTATGACCATGTGTATGCACTGATTAGCTCCCACTTACAAGTGAGAACGTGTGGTATTTGGCTTTCTGTTCCTGAGTTATTTCACCTAGGATTATGGCCTCCAGTTCCATTCACATTGCTACAAAAGACATTATTTTATTTCATTCTTTTTAATGGCTGAGTAGTATTTCATGGTGTCTATATAGCACATTTTTAAAATCCAGTCTTCCCTTGATGGGCACTTAGGTGGATTCCACATCTTTGCTATTGTGAATAATGCTGCGATAAACATACAAGTGCAGGTGTCTTTTTGATATCTTTATTTTTAGAGGCATTTTGAAGCATAAGTGGACTGTGGGAAGGCAGAGATCCATCCATGAGAAGGGCATGTCAGGCAAAAAGAATGGCTTGGACAAAGGGTGACAGTGTAGAAATACATGGTGTGAATGAGGATAAAACACAACAAGCCCCATTTGGATTGAGCAAAATATACTGCAGGAGAGAGAACTGGATGCAGTTATGGCATGAATCAGAAATAATTTCAACTTCCTAAGGGGAAGTTGTGAAACTTGATTTCCATCATATCTGGGAAGTGAATAAAGCCCAGAAAGTTTAAGGTATCAGTTTGAAGAACTTGAGTGTTATGGTTCATGCCACTGGGCCTCTGGGGATCGTGTTGAATAAATATTTAGAAATAGTGCTTTATGAGTATTGCTGTTAATTAAGCATTAAGGAGTAATCATGTAATTGCCTGATAGCCTCTTATCCCCCACTGCACAGATACAGCCAATTTACTGAGACAGAAGTATTGTAATAAAGAGTTTAATAAACACAGAGCCAGCTAAACAGGATATAGGAATTTATTACTCACATCAGTCTCCCTGAAAGCTTGGAAGCTAGGGTTTTCATGGCTAATTTGGCCGGGAGGGGCTAAGCAATGGGTAGTGCTTACTGGTTGAAGATAAAATCATAGGGGTGTGGAAAACAGTCCCTGTGAGCCGAGTCAGCCTTTGGGTGGGGACCACAGGACTGGGTTGAGTCATGAGTCATGGGTCCAAATGGAGTTAGTTGTAAGAATGCAATAGTCTGAAAAACATCACAAAAGGCCCCTTTTAGGTTCTACAATAGAGATGTTATCTATATGAGCAATTGGGGAAGTCACAAATCTTGTGAAGTCTGGATTCATGAATCCTGAGTGATTAGGGATTATAAGAAAGCAAGCTATGGAACAATGGCGGGTTATTATTTAACTAAGCCTACATCTGAGCAGATTTCAGACCCCTCCTATAATCCCAATCTCGTGGTTTTTCACGGATCTTACAAAGATGGTTTCAGTACTGGGACAAGGAGGAGTTCAGTTTTAGAAAGGGAGTCCTATTATCCTTGATTCAAAGTCAAACTGTAAATTAAATTTCTCCCATGGTTAGGTTGGTCTATGCCAAGAATGAACAAAGGCAGATTGGAGGTTAGAAGCAAAATGGAATCAGGTCAGATTTCTTTCCCTGTCATAATTTTTCTATGTCATGTTTCTCTCACTGTCATACTTTTTGCAAAGGTGGTTTCAATCATAACGGAGATACCTGAGCTACAACATTTCCAAGTTTTTTTTGGTTTGTTTTTTGTTTTTGAGACAGAGTCTTGCTCTGTTGCCCAGGCTGGAGTGCAGTGGCTCCATCTCGGCTCACTGCAAGCTTCGCCTCCCAGGTTCACGCCATTCTCCTGCCTCAGCCTCCCGAGTAGCTAGGACTACAGGCGCCTGCCACCACACCTGGCTAATTTTTTGTATTTTTAGTAGAGACGGGTTTCATCGTGTTAGCCAGGATGGTCTCGATCTCCTGACCTCGTGATCCGCCCGCCTCGGCCTCCCAAAGTGCTGGGATTACAGGCCTGAGCCACCACGCTCGGCCCATTTCCAAGTTTTATCAGCATCTCTTCTAGAGATTAAACAGGTACTGCACAGGGTTGACCTTCAAACCATAGGTGGAATGAACAGAAGCTTGTGCGTGGCCCACATGAGAAAAGATGGCACATCCTGTGGTCTTCCACGAAGTGTCTCTAGCAGTCATGGTGGCAGCATTCCAGCAAAGGGTAGCTAAGGGCTGCAGGATAGAAAATTCCGAAAGCAATGATTTCTTCCAGTTGTGCAGTGGAAGCCTTCTCCTGCAAGAAAGAAACCAAAGCAAAGATCAGACTACAAGCAGCAAGGTCAGAGTCCATGGGGAGAAAGTTTACAGGCACCTTCCCACAGAAAGCCAAACATCAGGAGCCAGAAGAGAAAGCTTCCTAAAGAAGCCAGAGAAGTCAAGACTAGCCCCACCTGGCTGGAATTTCCAGAGACAAACGTTAAACCACAGCCTGAAAATGCAGTTGCATGTTTCAACCCGGTCTTATCCTCTAGGTGAGGCTAGACCCTGCCTGCCTGGTCTCATGCTTATTACTCTGTGCAATGTAGGTGGACAAGAAGTACCCCTGGAAGGACCTGGGAGGGGAAAATAATGCCACCTTCAGTTTCGGTTTTCAGAAAGGGGTTCGCAAGGAAAGTACATTTGTCCAGGAATCAGGTCTGAGTGCCATAGCCCAGTACACAGGCTATGGAACCAGCAAATTTGAGTTCCAATCCAAAACTCTGTCTCCGAACCAGATTAAGAGACAGGGTCCTAGGCCATGTCAACATGTCATACATCAGAAATGTGGTGTCTGTTCTGGACTTCTGCTTTGCTGGTTTGCCCTTAACATGGTAGGTGATATGCTGATCCTGACTCATTGAATAAATAGTGAACAAATATTTAAAAGAGGTACAAGGCTGGGTGTGATGGCTCACACCTGTAATTGCAACACTTTGGGAGGCCAAGGCAAGAGGATTGGTTCAACCCAGTTCGAAACCAGCCAAGCAACATATTGAGACCACCATCTCTGCAAAATAAAAAAAAAATAATTAGACAGGTGTGGTGGTGCGTACCTGTAGTCCCTGCTACTCATCAGGCTGAGGTGGGAGGATTGCTTGAGCAGGGGAGGTCGAGGCTGCAGTGAGCTATGATCACGCCACTGCACTCCAGCCTGGGTGACAGAGCAAGACTCTGTCTCAGAAAAAAAAAAGAGAGATATAAACATTTTAACATTATTTTATGAAATGTTATAAAAAATAAAAATTACAAACTTATCCTGGGTGTTCTGTCCGCTCTGCTCTGCTTCTTCTAACTGGGTGATCTTAGGACAGATGTTTAATGCCTCCAAGCCTCACTCTTCTCATCTGCAAGAATGTAATAGGTCCTGTAATCCCAGCACTTTGGAAGGTGAGGCAGGTGAATCACTTGAGATCAGGAGTTCGAGACCAGCCTGACCAACATGGTGAAACCCCGTCTCTACTAAAAATACAAAAATTAAGCCAGGTGTGGTGGTGGATGCGTGTAATCCCAGCTACTTGGGAGGCTGAGGCAGAATTACTTGAAAGCAGGAGGCGGAGGTTGCAGTGAACCAAGATCATGCCACTGCACTCCAGCCTGGGTGACAGAGTGAGACTCCATCTCCAAAATAAACAAAAAAAAGAATGCAATAGGAAGTGCAATATTTTTCCTAAGGCTGTTCAAGGGGTGAGTGGCGGGTGTTCTATAAATTGTGATTATTCATCCCTAGCTCTGCCAGTAAGTGTTTGCTCTTACATAGCTCACTTTTCCTTTCCGAAGTTCAGTGTTCTCACATGCAAAATGGGGGATTCAGACCAGATAACCCCTAAGAAGTAAAAGCGAGCTTTCTGTTTTTCATTGTGCTGTGTTTCCAAAGCAGCACCTGGTGAGAAAGCAAGCGGTGCCCCACCTGGAAGCAGGAAGAGAACTAGTGTCTTGAGGTTACTGTGTTAGTCCATTTTGCATTGCTATAAGGCAATACCTGAGACTGGGTAATTTAGAGAGAAAAGAGGTTTATTTGGCTCATGGTTCTGCAGGCTGTCCAAGAAGCATGGTGCCAGTGTCTGCTTCTGGTGAGGACCTCAGGAAGCTTCCAATCATGGTAGAAGGTGAATGAGGAGCCAGTGAATCACATGGAGAGAGAGGAAGCAAGAAAGAGAGGAAGAGGTACCAGGTTCCTTTAAACAACCAGCTCTTCATGCCTGTAATTCCTGCCCTTTGGGGGGCTAAGGCGGATGGATCACATGGTCAGGAGATTGAGACCATCCTGGCTAACACAGTGAAAACCCATCTCTACTAAAAATATAAAAAATTAGTCAGGCGGGGTGGCGGGTGCCTGTAGCCCCAGCTACTCATAAGGCTGAGGCAGGTGAATCGCTTGAACCCGGGAGGTGGAGGTTGCAGTGAGCTGACATCATGCCACTGCAATTCTGCCTGGGTGACAGAGCGAGACTCTGTCTCAAAATAAATAAATAGATAAATAAATAAATAACCATCCAGCTCTTCAGTGAACTAACAGAGCAAGAACTCACTCATTACCTTGGGGCGGGCACCAAGCCATTCATGAGGAATCCACCCCATGACCACACGCCTCTAACATTGGGGATCATATTTCGACATGAGATTTGGAGGGGACAAACATTATATCAGATACTTAGAGTTCTTTCAGATGAAAGTTGAGTCTCTAACCTCCTTGATAGCCAAGATACACAAAGCCGGTTCTCATAACTTTCAAAAGTGAATTAACTGAAAAGGCAGACAAGGGACTTTTGTTAAGTGCTTTGCTTGAAGAGAAATCCTTAGAGGGCTTATTTCTCCTTGGAGCATAATGTCAATTATTATTAATAGCTTAGAATATACTCTTGATAATATTAAGGAAGTAGTCTCTAATTCTTATATGTCTTTATAAGACTTTAAAATAATAATGGATTGACTTGATAAAACACCCTTTAATATCTACTCATTTATTGATTTATAGATTCATTTTTTAGAGATGTAATATAAGCTATAGTAATATATTAATGTTTTTCTTAATATTGATCACTTCTATACTTGGGATAAACCCTTTGTGCTTTTACATTATTATTTTAAGATATCATTAAATTGTACTTACTTTGTTATTAATCACATAGTTTTGTATTCACAAGTGAGATTATTCTAATATACTTTTGGTTATCTTGGTCAGGTATTGGGAACAGGAACATCTGCCTTATAGGATAAATCTTATAGCTTTCTGTCTTTTTGTAAAGACAGGGAGCAGAAAACACCCACATTAAATATTTCTCATTTGTTTCATTCCTTAGTATAATTTCAAATTCTTATTTGATCTTATATCAATTTGCCATTGTCAATTTATGTTATGTAAAAATAATACATCTCATTAAGATGCTTCATTATTAATAGAATATAATTATGTATACCTTATAATTGCATTTATAATAATGCATTAAAAGTGCATTATTATTTTCTATTGTTACACCTCCTTTTTTTCTCTCATGTTTTGAAACTTGCTAGTGTTTTAGTTCTTTTTTTTTTAGATGGATTCTCACTCTGTTGCCCAGGCTGGAGTGCAGTGGCGTGATCTCTGCTTACTGCAACCTCTGCCTCCCGAGTTCAAGCAATTTTCCTGCCTCAGCCACCCAAGTAGCTGGGATTACAGGTGTGCACCACCAGGCCAGACTAACTTTTGTATTTTAGTAGAGATTTCACCACGTTGGCCAGGCTGGTCTCAAACTCTTGACTTCAAGTGATCCACCCACCTCTGCCTCCAGAAGTGCTGAGATTACAGGTGTGAGCCACCACCACCAGCCCCAGTTATTTTAGTATTTTATTTAATATTAATTACTATTTATTTACTAATTAATATTATTAATATTAATTATTTCATTTTATATTTAGTGTAATATTTTATACTAAAATAACTAGTATTTTAGTTATTCTATTAGTCTTTTCTAAAATACATTTATTGCTAGGTTTCACGGTTTCATGTCGTTTAAGTAGACAGTATAATTATTTTCTTTATTTTTAAATTTTAGTTAGAATGCTTCATTTTGCTTATTTTCAACTTTTTATTTTATTATGAAATATTCAAAGCTAAGAATTTATTTTGGAGTCCTGCTTTGACCACACTGCAGTCACTCATCACTTAAAAACAGATATATTCTGACAAGTGCTCTATTAGGCAATTCCATCATTGTGTGAACATCACAGAGTGAGCTTACACAAGGCTAGATGGTAGAGCCGACCACACACCTAGGCCATATGGTAGAGCCAATTGCTCCCTGGCTACAAATCTATTCGGCATATGACTGTACTGAATACTGTAGGCAACTATAACACAATGGTGTTTGTGTATCTAAACATAGAAAAGAAACAGCAAAAAATACATTATTATAATCTCATGGGACCACTGTCATAGACACAATTCATCACTGATCCAAGTGTCATTATGTGGCGCATGACTGAATATATGTTTCTATAGTGGTTTTGGTGGCAGGGGTTATGTGTGTGTGTGTGTGTGTGTGTGTGTGTGTCTGTGTGTGTGTGTGTGTCTGATTCAGAGTCATACTCCTTTTCCCAGGCTGGAGAGCAGTGGTGCGATCTCAGCTCACTCCAACCTCCCTAGCTGGGATTACTGGCATCCGCCACCATGCCTGGTTAGTTTTTGAATTTTTAGTAGAGGTGAGGTTTCACCATGTTGGCCAGGCTGGTCTTGAACTCCTGACCTCAAGTGATCCTCCTGCCTCCGTGTCCCAAAGTTCTGGGATTACAGGGGTGAGCCACCGCCCCCAGCCTGTTTCTGTAATGTTTTAAAATAAAAAAGAAGTTTCCTTATTTTCTGAATAATCTGTGGTTTTAATCTTGAGCTGTGAGACAATTGTTATTTAATAAAATACTTGTAAAAATTCTATATTTATTGAATGCTTTTTTTTGAATCTTTGTGCCTTTTAGTGTGTATCATATAATCAATTTGTATAAACAATCACAAACATAAGAAAAGAAGGTATATTTTCAATAAAGTAAAAAAACTTATTCATTCCATCTAACTTATTTTCATTGTTTATATCATTTATATCCATATTTACTTTTTGTGTCCTTAATTTGACATTAACATATAACAATCAAAATCATTCTCTAGGCTGAGTGAGGTGGCTCTCGCCTATAATCTCAGCACTTTGGGAGGCAGAGGTGGGCGGATCACTTGAGGTCAGTGGGAGGCTGAGGTGGGCGGATCACTTGAGTTCAGGAGTTCAAGACCAGCGTGGCCAACATGGTGAAACCCCATCTCTACTAAAAATACAAAAATTAGCCAGGCATGATGGCAGGTGCCTGAAATCCCAGCTACTCAGGAGCTGAGGCAGGAGAATCATTTGAACAGGGGAGGTGGAGGTTGCAGTGAGCCAAGATGTCACTGCACTCCAGCCTGGGCGACAGAGCAAGACTCTGTCTCAAAAAAGAACAAGAAAAAAAATTATCCTCTAATTATGATTTTCATGTCTTTCCCGTGGGTTGTATTTTATTTATTATATTGATTCAAAGAATTAAACTTTGATAATCTCAAAATTGTATTATTGATTTTAGATTTTTATCATAAGTAATTTTCCTGCTTGTCATGGCCAATAGTTTTGCCCTAGATGTTAGGTTACTATTTTCTACACTGGAAGTCACCTTTTCTTTTTTAATTAATATTGCCTTTCTCAAGTTTGCTTTTAGACTTTTGAGGTCATTCAGCTTCAGCGAGATGTTTCAGAAGCAGCAATTTGTTAAACAAATACAGTCCTGTAGTGTGAGAGTCTTGGTTTCTTGGCAGTGGAATTTACACCGTTAGGTACAAATCACTGGTGTAAGTGCCTCCTGGATCCACCCTCTGTCAGTCTATTTCATGCTGTATTTTAATATTCTGCTATTGAATCTTCTATTTGGCCTTCTGATGTCTAGGCAATGCTCTACTTGTTGTCATCTTTGTCACTCATTTGGAAGACAAACATACAGTTTTTGATTCTGCTAGGGCTTCCTTTAAAGCATTAATACCAAAATTACCTCTCCATAACTAAGCTCTCTAATAAAAAAAAAAAAAGCTATTTTTGCTATTTTTATTGGGGAGCTTAGTTATCTTAGCTCTTTCTTTCTTTTTTCTTTTTCTTTTCTTTTTTTTTTTTGAGATAGAATTTCACTCTTGTTGCCTAGGCTGGAGTGCAATGGCACGATCTCAGCTCACTACAGCCTCCACCTCCCGTGTTCAAGCTATTCTCCTGCCTCAGCCTCCTGAGTAGCTGGGATTACAGGTGCCCGCCACCACACCTCGCTCATATTTTTTTTTTTGTATCTTTAGTAGAGATGGGGTTTCACCATGTTGGCCAGGCTGGTCTCAAACTCCTGACCTCAGTTGATCCACCCTCCTCGGCCTCCCAAGGTGCTCGGATTACAGGCGTGAACCACCACACCCAGTCTATCTTAGCTTTCTTTTATGAAAGACAAGGACATGTATACTTTTCAGCCTTTTTCTTCTCTTCACCTCATTTATTTTCATGTTTCACAGTACATCTGGGAGCCTGCAACTCCTCCCACCCTCACACTGCCCCCCATAACCCTCCTACGCCACCTCTCCACCTCTACCCTCCCCACTCTGCAGTTAATCTGAGAGTCTGGAACTGCTTCCCTCAACCCCTTTGATTATCTTATTCTTTTTCCAGGATCTTTTTTGATCTTCTGCAAATGACTCTATTCTAAGTACAGCTCAAATGCTGGCAGATTTCATCAATGTTTGAATTAGACATGAGGTCACATGGAAACCAACATCAGTGGCAAATTCCCTTCTTTTCTACCCTGCTTTCTCCTTTGGCATCATTTCACCCCAAAATATTTCTGTTCATCTCTTTGGTGGGCAGAATAATGGTCCCCTAAAGATACCCAAATCCTAATCCCCAGAACGTGTGAATATGTTATCTTACATGGACAAAAGGATTTTGCAGATATGATTAAGGTTAAGGACTTTGAGATGAGAGTATCATCTCAGATTATGCAGATGAGCTCAACCTAATCACATGAGTCCTTAAAAGAAACTTTTCCAGATGAGGTCAGAGTCGGAGAGTGGCTGGGCACAGTGGCTCATGTTTGTAATCCCAGAACTTTGGGAAGCTGAGGCACGAGGATCGCTTTAGCCTAAGAGATTGAAAGCAGCCTGGGCAACATAGCAAGACTGTCTCTACAAAAGAAAAATGTAAAAATTAGCCAGGCATCATGGTGCATGCCTGTAGTTCCTAGCTACGTGGGAGGCTGAAAAGGGAGGATCACTTGAGCACAGGGGGTTGAGGCTGCAGTGAGCGATGGATAATATCCAACCTGGATAATCTGAGATGATACCCTCATCTCAAAGTCCTTAACCCTGATCACATCTGCAAAATCATTTTGTCCATGTAAGATAACATATCCACACGTTCTGGGGATTAGGATTTGGGTATCACTGCACTCCAGCTTGGGCAACAGAGCAAGACCCCATCTGAAAAAAAAAAAGAGTCAGAGAGGGAGCTGTGATTATGTGAGAATGGTGAGAGAGATGCAATGTTCCTGGATTTGAAAACAGAGAAGGGGGTTATGAAGAGAGAAATGTGATGTGAGCAGCCTCTAGAAGCTGAAAAGGGCAAGGAAATAGATGATCCCCTAGGGCAGGGGTCCTCAACCCCCAGGCTATGGCCTATTAGGAACTGGACCGAGCAGCAGGAAGTGAGTGGAGGGCAAGCAAGCGAAGCTTCATCTGAATTTACACATGCTCCCCATCACTCACACTCCTGCCTGAGCTCCACCTCCTGTTACACCAGCTGTGGCATTAAATTCTCACAGGAATGTGAACCCTATTGTGAACTGTGCATGTGAGGGATCTAGGTTGCCTACTCCTTATGAGAGTCTAATGACTGATGATCTGTCACTGTCTCCCATTAACCCCAGATGAGACCATCTAGTTGCAGGAAAACAAGCTTAGGGGTCCCACTGATTCTACATTATGATAAGTTGTATAATTATTTCAGTATATATTACAATGTAATAATAGAAATAAAATATAATAATAGAATAAGAGAAATAAAGTGCACAATAATGTAATGTGCTTGAATCATCCAGACATCCAGACATCAAGTGATCCTCCTGCCTGGGCCTCCCAAAGTGCTGGCATTACAGGCATGAGCCACCGCACCTGGCCTCGAACTCTTAACAATAAAAAAAAAGTAGGTAGAGAATGTCTTAGTCACACCAGATTATTGAAGAGTTGAGCTTTTTATTCAAAGCCAAGCCTAGAAGTTATCTTCCCCACAGAGCTATCCCCCTTTAAATCTCAGACTTCACTTAAGAGCTTTATTGATTCTGTGTCTTGTATTAAATGCACTTCAAATACTTTGTGGGAAGTAGGGGTAATGAAAGTTTTAAGGTGAAAAACTAAACAAAAAACTTTTCTGGTTTGGTTATAGAATTTGTTTTGGGCTGAGTGGGGTGGCTTAGACCTGTGATCCCAGGATTTGGGGAGGCTCAGGTGGAAGGATCACTTGAGGCCAGGAGCTAGAGAGGAGCCTGGGCAACATAACAAGACTTGGTCTCTACAATAAATTAAAAAAAAAAATAGCTGGATGTTCTGTTGTGCACCTGTAGAACCAGCTTCTTGGGAGGGAGAGGGAGGAGGATGGCTCGATCCCAGGAGTTCAAGGCTGCAGTGAGCTATGATTGTGCCATTGCACTACAGCCTGGGCAACAGATCAATTTGAGACAGAGTCTCACCCTGTCACCCAGGCTGGAGTGCAGTGGCATGATCTCGGCTCACTGCAAGCTCTGCCTCCCGGGTTCATGCCATTCTCCTACCTGAGCCTCCAGGTTAGCCGGGACTACAGGCACCCGCCACCATGCCCGGCTAATTTTTTGTATTTTTTAGGAGAGATGGGGTTTCACCGTGTTAGCCATGACAGTCTCGGTCTCCTGACCTCGTGATCCACCTGCCTTGGCCTCCCAAAGTGCTGAGATTACAGGTGTGAGTCACCGTGCCAGGCCCAAGATGTGATCCGCCTGCCTCGGCCTCCCAAAGTGCTGGGATTACAGGTGTGAGCCACCAGGCCCAGCCCAAGACCTGTCACTCTGTCGCCCAGGCTGGAGTGCAGTGGAGCAATCTCGGCTCACTGCCAGCTCTGCCTCACGGGTTCACGCCATTCTCCTGCCTCAGCCTCCTGAGTAGCTGGGACTACAGGCACCCACCACCATGCCAGGCTAATTTTTTTTGTATTTTTAGTAGAGACGGGGTTTCACCATGTTAGCCAGGATGGTCTGGATCTCCTGACCTCGTGATCTGCCCTCCTCGGCCTCCCAAAATGCTGGGATTACAGGCGTGAGCCACCACACCCGGCCAAGACCTGTCTTAAAAAAAAATTCGTGGCCGGGCATGGTGGCTCACACCTGTAATCCCAGCACTTTGGGAGGCCGAGGTAGGCGGATCACGAGGTCAGGAGATCGAGACCATCCTGGCTAACAGGTGAAACCCCATCTCTAATTAAAATACAAAAAATTAGCCGGGTGTGGTGGTGGGCACCTGTAGTCCCAGCTACTCAGGAGGCTGAGGCAGAAGAATGCACCACCACACTCCAGCCTGGGCAACAGAGCAAGACTCCATCTCAAAAAAAAAAAAAATTCATGTTGGAAAGGGTTTTTAATTTTTAGTAGATATGAGTTCTCGCTATGTTGCCCAGCCTCTCTCAAATTTCTGAGCTCAGGCAATCCTCCCAGCTTGGCCTCTCAAAGTGCTGGGATTACAGGTGTGGGCCACCATGCCTGGCTGGAAAGGAGTCTTATTGGACAAGCCAAAAGCTGTTTCCCGTGATAATAATCTCTCCATTAGGAAGATGTATATCCAATAACTGGCCTTACAGCTTAGCTATGCTTTTCATCATCGATGTATTAATACAATGTCATTGTAATTCTGGACAGGAAACTGGATTAAGCCACTTTTCTTTCTTTTTTTTTTTTTTGAGACGGAGTCTCGCTCTGTTGTCCAGGCTGGAGTGCAGTGGCGTGATCTCGGCTCACTGCAAGCTCTGCCTCCTGGGTTCACGCCATTCTCCTGCCTCAGCCTCCCGAGTAGCTGGGACTACAGGCACCCACCACCATGCCTGGCTAATTTTTTGTATTTTTAGTAGAGATGGGGTTTCACCATGTTAGCCAGGATGGTCTCTATCTCCTGACCTCGTGATGCGCCTACTTCAGCCTCCCAAAGTGCTGGGATTACAGGCGTGAGACACCACACCCGGCCCTTCAGCCACTTTTCAAACGCCAGGGTAGGGCGCTTCCCAGGTTTTAACTTACAGAAGAACCCTGATGTGTCAAGTTGATACATTTCTTTCTTTCTTCTTCTTTTTTTTTTCTTTTGACGTAGTCTCTCTCTGTTACCCAGGCTGGAGTGTAGTGGCGCAATCTCAGCCCACTGCACCCTCTCCCTCCCAGGTTCAAGCAATTCTCATGCCTCAGCCTCCCGAGTAGCTGGAATTACAGGAGTGCACCACCACGCCCAGCTAATTTTTGAATTTTACTAGAAATGGGGTTTGTCCATGTTGGCCAGGCTGGTCTGAAACTCCTGACCTGAAATGATCCACCTGCCTCGATCTCCCAAAGTGCTGAGATTATAGGTGTGAGCCACTGCGCCCAGCCCAGCTGGTAAATTTCTGAGTTTAGTGAAAGTTAAAATGGCAGCTCGATTGTTTAAAACAATGTGATGAGAAGAACGTCTTTGTCTATGTGTGTCAACCCCATGGGATCTGCGTGGCATCCCTCAAGTTGGTGAAAAATATTTACCATATAATAGAGAATAAAGGATTCTCACCACTAACTGATAATCCTGCTAAACAGCAGCTGCTTTGTAAAGGGAGTAGACAATCATTGAAATCCAGGTAACTTTAAAGAATTCACCAGCCGGAATCTGTAGGTCCAGAGTATTTTATAAAAGATCAGGTCTCATTGTAGAGGGAGGTAGCAAGGTTAATATAATGAAGTACAATTTGCTGCTATACTAGACATGTAATCTAATAACAGTACAGTATGATAAGAAAATTTAAATATGTAGTTTTGAAAAGGTTTCAGAAGGGCTCAATGGTTCTGCATCAGAAAGTGAATTTCAGTAACAAGAGGAGACTCAAGGCAGGGCTAATTAGAAGGCTCAGGGGACATTCACAGGGTCAATTAGGCTGTTCACGCAATCTTCCTTAAATGGATCAGAAAGCCTAGGGCAGAGATACTGTGAACTAGAAAAATGAAAAGGGTCAACAATTCAACAGTAAAGAGAAATTTCAGTTAAGAGTTATATCTAATGTAAATGAGGAGTTAATGGGTGCAGCAAACCAACACGGCACATGTATACATATGTAACAGATCTGCACGTTTTGCACATGTACCCTAGAACTTAAAGTATAACAATAATTTTAAAAAGTTATATCAGTAAACATAATTAGGCCCAATTTACCCATAAAAATAAAATACATATTTTTAAAAAAACCCAAAAAGGGTGGTAGAAACACATTTTGAGTAAAAAGGCGATGATTAACTAGATTTTTTTTTGAGATGGGATCTCACTTTGTTGCCCAGGCTGGGGTGCAATGGCACGATCTTGGCTCACTGCAGCCTTGACCTCCTGGGCTTAAGCAATCCTCCCTCCTCAGTCTCCCAAGTAGCTAAGACTATGGTGAGCACCACCATGCCCAGCTAATTTAATTTTTTTAGAGAGATGATCTCGCTACGTTACCCAGGCTGGTCTCCAGCTCCTGGGCTCAAGTGATCCTCCTGCCTTGGCCTCTCAAAGTGTTGAGGTTATAGGTGTGCACCAGTGTGCTTGGCCAACTAGATTTTTTTTAAAGGCTAATTAAGGCAAGGTTTGAAGCCAGACTAACCAATATTATATGTGGCATAATATTGTTAGGGAGAAATAAGAAATGCTAAACAGCACAGTAAATAGAAACATGAGCTTCAACTTCTCTTAAATAATCAAGTAAGAAAATCTATAAAATATGTAAAATAAAAATGGAATGAAATGTACTGTATAAAAGTGTAATCCTACTATTAGGTCGGTGCAAAAGTATTTGCAGTTTTGCCATTACTTTTTTTTTTGAGATGAAATCTCGCTCTTGTCCCCCAGGCTGGAGTGCAGTGGTGTGATCTCGGCTCACTGCAACCTCCACCTCCCACGTGCAAGCAATTCTCTTGCCTCGGCCCCCCAAGTAGCTGGAATTACAGGCACCTGCCACCATGCCTGGCTAATTTTTGTATTTTTTAGTAGAGACGGGGTTTCACCAAGTTGGCCAGGCTGGTCTAGGACTCCTGACCTCAGGTGATCCACCTGCCTCAGCCTCCCAAAGTCCTGGGATTACAGGCGTGAGCCACCGTGCCTGGCCTACTTCTTTTTTTTTTTTTGAGATGGACTTTCACCATTCTCACCCAGGCTGGAGTGCAGTGGCATGACCTATGCTCACTGTAACCTCTGCCCCCTGGGTTCAAGCAATTCTCATGCCTCAGCCTCCCCAATAGCTGGAATTACAGGCACCCACTACCACGCACAGCTAATTTTTGTATTTTTGGTAGAGGCGGAGTTTTGCCGTGTTGGCCAGGATGGTCTTGAAATCCTGACCTCAGGTGATGTGCCTGCCTCGGCCTCCCAAAGTGCTGGGATTACAGGCGTGAGCCACCGCACCCGACCTGCCATTACTTTTAATGGCAATAACTGCAATTACTTTTGCACTGACCTAATAGAAAACTAACTACCCCACTAGGAGAATCTCACACAGTTGTGGGGTTTTAATCCCATGGAATCTAGAAACCACTTCACAGTTCAATTTACAGAGGGGAAATCACTGGAGCATTTGGTTAACATGGAAAAGGACACAGACTTAAACCAAGAGCCTCCACAATTCTTCCCAGAGCTATAATAGAATGCTCCTCTTGAAAACAGGAATGAAAGAAAAGGATCAGAGGCTCTGAGTGTCACAAAGGGTGCACATTCACTACTTGTAGGTAATGCAGTCTCATGTAATCCAAGGGATTCACTTGAGCAAATGGACTGGGACAATCATGGGTTCAGCAAAGCGCTATGTTTCTTGGTAAAGACAAGAAAATAACAAACTCCCCTATACCAGTAATAAACATCCACAAAATAAAATAAAAGATCTTTCTCATTTACAACAGGGATAAACATATAAGCATGTGGGAATTAAAATAATGTAGTATAAATTCCACCAATAGAAAAATCAGATTACAAAATGCTTGGAGCAAAGGAAAAGAATGATACATTTCTTAGTGCAGTTGCATTAAATATAAAGAAACATACATTTCTTTCCCAAGTTAATTTATAAAAGTTGGTAAAATGGCTGGACATGGTGGCTCATGCCTGTAATCCCGCACTTTGGGAGGCTAAGGCGGGCAGATCTCGAGGTCAGGAGTTTGAGACCAGCCTGCCCAACATGGTGCAACCCCGCCTCCACTAAAAATACAAAAATTAGCTTCGCATGGTAGTGGGTGCCTGTAATCCCAGCTACTCAGGAGGCTGAGGCAGGAGGAAGGAGAATCACTTGAACCCATGAAGCAGAGGTTGCAGTGAGCCAAGATCACACCACTGCCACTCCAGCCTGGGTGGCAGAATGAGACTCCGTCTCCAAAAAAAAAAAAAAAAAAGTGGTAAAATGATGAGATGCATAGAGAAAAAATAGGTGCCCAAAATACTAAAGGTCGTTGTTTTTGTTTAAAGTAAAAACAATAGTAAACTGGCTATACAAGATATTGAAATAGAAAACAAGGAGACTTCATCAAAAGAGTGTGGCACTTATTAGAGTGAAAAACTAGACTGATAGAATGAAATTATAGACAGAAATCCAGATGTATGTGTAATTATGCCCGATTTGTCAGATATTATTTATCGGGGGAAGAAGTCATCAATATTATTGGGCAAACTGAGTATTAAAGAATAAGAAAAAGAAACAGATATTACTCTATATGCTATAATAAATTTCAGACAAGTTAAAGATACAATAAATCACTGAAGAATAAGAAAATGGATTGAGGAGAAAAGACTGTTTTCTTTTCTTTTTTTTTTTTTTGAGACGGAGTCTCATGCTGTCTCCCAGGCTGGGGTGCAGTGGCATGATCTCAGCTCACTGTAACCTCCACCTCCCGGGTTCAAGGATTCTCCTGCTTCAGCCTCCCAAGTAGCTGGGACTATAGGCATTCACCACCACACTGGGGTAATTTTTGTATTTAGAGTACAGATAGGGTTTCACCATGTTGGACAGGCTGGTCTTGAACTCCTGACCTCAAGTGATCCACCCACCTTGGCCTCCCAAAGTGCCAGAATTACAGGCATGAGCCACCATGCCCGACCTGAAAATACTATTTTCCATCATTGAAACCATATTAGAAATGATGAAGGATAAGATTGATGGGACCTATCTTATTTATATATATTATTATTTATGTGTGGTTGTACAAACACACACACACACACACACACACACAAGTTGACCCTTGAATATGGGTCTGAACAGTATGGTTCCACTTCACCTTGAATATTTTTTGGTAAAATTACACTGAGTGTGCCTGGCTCCCCTCCCACCTCCTCCTCTGCTGTCACCAGAGACAGCAAGACCAACCCTCCTCTTCCTCTTCCTTGGCCTACTTGATGTGAAGACAATGGGGATGAAGACCTTTTTGATGATCCACTTCCACTTAACAGAAAGTGTGTTTTCTTATCCTTAGGATTTCCTTAACATTTTCTTTTCTCTACCTTACTTTATTGGAAGAATATTGTATATAACGTATGTAACTTACAAAACATCTTAATCGCCAGTTTATGTAACTGGTAAGGCTTCCGGTCACTAACAGGCTGTCAGTAAAACTTTTGAGGAGTCAAAAGTTGTACTTGGATTTTTCACTGTGTGAGGGTCAGTACCTCTAACCCCTGTGTTGTTCAAAGGTCAACTATATATGATTCTTCTGGACAGTGAAAATCACTAAAACTCGAGTGAAAAGAAAGGCAATTAACTGACAGGTAAAGTAATCATAAATGTGAGTGAGTAGCTAAAATCCAGAACATGTGTAGAATTACTACCCAGTTCCCACTGTACCCATCTTCACAGGATATAAGGAAACACAGAGAGAGTAAAATAAATAGGGATCGGGTGCTGTGGCTCACGTCTGTAATCCCAGCACTTTGGGAGGCAGAGGGGGAAGGATCACTTGAGCCCAGGAGTTCGAGACCAGCCTGGGCAACATAGTGAGATCTCATCTCCAAAAATAAAAAAAATTAGCTGGGTGTGCTGGCACTTGCCTGTAGTCCCAGTTACTCAGGAGGCTGAGGTGGGAGGATCCCTTGAGCCCAGGAGGTCAAGGCTGCAGTGAGTGGTGATTGCACCACTGCATTCCAGCCTGGGTGACAAAGCTAGATCCTGCCTCAAAACAAAGAAGCAAACAAATAAAAAGTCATGTGGTACAAAGTGGCACTGTGCAAAGCGGTGGGGCAAAGACAGAGGAGGATCCGGCCACAGGCATCAAGGCTCTGTTAATCTGACGCAGATGCTTAACCCTTCCTTTGCCATGGTCCCCTCTGGAAGTCTTGTAAAGAATACAGGCGTCTATTCACAATATTTTAAAGACTTAAGTCCATAAGTCTATTATAGGAAGTAAGCCTAATCATGTTTTAAGGACCAAGGAAAACAACTATTCTGAAGTGCAGTTATTGCAATTTATTTTTTATTTTTTATTTTTTCTGAGACTGACTCTAGTTCTGTTGCCCAAGGCTGGAGTGCAGTGGTGTGATCTCAGCTCACTGCAACATCCACCTCCTGGGTTCAAGTGATTCTCCTTCCTCAGCCTCCCGAGTAGCTGGGAGGCCTGCTACCACACCTAGTGAATTTTTTATACTTTTAGTAGAGATGAGGTTTCACCATGTTGGTCAGACTGGACTAAACGCCTAACCTCAAGTGATCTGCCCACCTTGGCTTCCCAGAGTGTTGGGATTACAGGCATGAGCCACTGTGCCCAGACAATACTTTTCTAAAACCAGATTTGTGATATAGGAACAACTGTTCTTTACTGTTGCTCTAAATATCTAAGAACCGCTGACATTTTGAAGATGAATCCAAACAGCGTTTGTGATCTCTGCAACAACGGGAATGAGATGTGAAAGCCTCTGTGATTTCCACTCACAGCAAGGTCACGGTCTGCAATTAGCTCGGTGTGGGGGCTTCATCTGCAATGGAAGGAAATGCTACATTGCAGTTAGACATTGATGGAAATAAAGATATATTTTTTCTGGGTTCAATTCGTGAAGCTCTCGGGTTCTCTCTATAGACCCCACATGAAAAGCCCCTAGAATGGGGGAGACCAGAGCCCTCTTTCACCAGAGCAGGTAAGTGTGGGCACAGGAGCAGGCAAGGCAGGGCAGGATCTGCTTGTCAGGAAAGGTGGAACCAGCTGTAAGATGAGCTGGGGAAAGGGCCTGGGATTCCACAGGATGGGGAAATTCGATTTAGCATAAGATGAGGCTGGGAAGGCAGGGCTGTATCCCAAAATGCCTGTGCATCATGCTGTGATTTTGGACTTGCCCTTAGAGACGAGAGAGCGCGCCACGGAGAGATTTTAAGTGGGACAGGTTTTAGCAGGATCAGACATATTTTAGAAAGATAATTTTAGCAGATGCATGGAGGGTGGTTTTGTCCAGGGAGAAACTGGTGGCACAGGGTCAAGTTTGGAAGATCTTGAAGAAGTGAGACCAAGAGATGAAAAACAAATTAAGGCCGGGAATGGTGGCTCACACTTGTAATTCCAGCACTTTGGGAGGCTGAGGCAGGTGAATCACTTGAGGTCAGGAGTTCATGACCAGCCTGGCCAACATGGTGAAACTCCGTCACTACTAAAAATACAAAAATTAGCCAGGTGTGGTAGTGGGTGTCTGTAATCCCCACTACTCGGGAACTTAAGGCAGGAGAATCGCTTGAACCTGGGAGGTGGAGGTGTCAGTAAGCAGAGATTGTGCCACTGTACTCCAGGTTGGGTGACACAGCGAGACCCTGTCTCAAAAAATAAAAAAAAGAGAGAAAAAAGAAAAGAGAAGGAAAACACATTAAAATGACAGTAGTAAGAGAGGCGATGAAGTTGGGAATGTACAATATTGCCAGAACTAACACGAATTAGACAGGAGGGCTCACAAAGGAGTGAAGAAATACCATCCATTTCTGGACTGAAGGAGGAGCAGATATCGCTGGGCAGAGGAAAAAAGCAGAAGGGGCTGACTATAGGGAAGGGGGAAGTTATGGAGAATAACAAGTTAAGCTGAGTTTGAGATGCTCATGGTAGAAATGTCTAGTAAGGAACTGAAAATACAGAGGTTTTTCTATTGGGAAAGGAAACTTTTCTTTTTTATTATTATACTTTAAGTTTTAGGGTACATGTGCACAGTGTGCAGGTTAGTTACATATGTATACCTGTGCCATGCTGGTGCGCTGCACCCACTAACTTGTCATCTAGCATTAGGTGTATCTCCCAATGCTATCCCTCCCCCCTCCCCCCACCCCACAACAGTCCCCAGAGTGTGATGTTCCCCTTCCTGTGTCCATGTGATCTCATTGTTCAATTCCCACCTATGAGTGAGAATATGCGGTGTTTGGTTTTTTGTTCTTGCGATAGTTTACTGAGAATGATGATTTCCAATTTCATCCATGTCCCTACAAAGGACATGAACTCATCATTTTTTATGGCTGCATAGTATTCCATGGTGTATATGTGCCACATTTTCTTAATCCAGTCTATCATTGTTGGACATTTGGCTTGGTTCCAAGTCTTTGCTATTGTGAATAATGCCGCAATAAATATACGTGTGCATGTGTCTTTATAGCAGCATGATTTATAGTCCTTGGGTATATACCAGTAATGGGATGGCTGGGTCAAATGGTATTTCTAGTTCTAGATCCCTGAGGAATCACCACACTGACTTCCACAAGGGTTGAACTACTTTACAGTCCCACCAACAGTGTAAAAGTGTTCCTATTTCTCCACATCCTCTCCAGCACCTGTTGTTTCCTGACTTTTTAAAGATTGCCATTCTAACTGGTGTGAGATGGTATCTCATTATTGTTTTGATTTGCATTTCTCTGATGGCCAGTGATGATGAGCATTTTTTCATGTGTTTTTTGGCTGCATAAATGTCTTCTTTTGAGAACTGTCTGTTCATGTCCTTCGCCCACTTTTTGATGGGGTTGTTTGTTTTTTTCTTGTAAATTTGTTTGAGTTCATTGTAGATTCTGGATATTAGCCCTTTGTCAGATGAGTAGGTTGCGAAAATTTTCTCCCATTCTGTAGGTTGCCTGTTCACTCTGATGGTAGTTTCTTTTGCTGTGCAGAAGCTCTTTAGTTTAATTAGATCCCATTTGTCAATTTTGGCTTTTGTTGCCATTGCTTTTGGTGTTTTAGACATGAAGTCCTTGCCCATGCCTATGTCCTGAATGGTAATGCCTAGGTTTTCTTCTAGGGTTTTTATGGTTTTAGGTCTAACGTTTAAGTCTTTAATCCATCTTGAATTGATTTTTGTATAAGGTGTAAGGAAGGGATCCAGTTTCAGCTTTCTACATATGGCTAGCCAGTTTTCCCAGCACCATTTATTAAATAGGGAATCCTTTCCCCATTGCTTGTTTTTCTCAGGTTTGTCAAAGATCAGATAGTTGTAGATATGCGGCATTATTTCTGAGGGCTCTGTTCTATTCCATTGATCTATATCTCTGTTTTGGTACCAGTACCATGCTGTTTTGGTTACTGTAGCCTTGTAGTATAGTTTGAAGTCAGGTAGTGTGATGCCTCCAGCTTTGTTCTTTTGGCTTAGGATTGACTTGGCGATGCGGGCTCTTTTTTGGTTCCATATGAACTTTAAAGTAGTTTTTTCCAATTCTGTGAAGAAAGGCATTGGTAGCTTAATGGGGATGGCATTGAATCTGTAAATTACCTTGGGCAGTATGGCCATTTTCACGATATTGATTCTTCCTACGCATGAACATGGAATGTTCTTCCATTTGTTTGTGTCCTCTTTTATTTCTTTGAGCAGTGGTTTGTAGTTCTCCTGGAAGAGGTCCTTCACATCCCTTGTAAGTTGGATTCCTAGGTATTTTATTCTCTTTGAAGCAATTGTGAAAGGGAGTTCACTCGTGATTTGGCTCTCTGTTTGTCTGTTGTTTGTGTATAAGAATGCTTGTGATTTTTGTACATTGATTTTGTATCCTGAGACTTTGCTGAAGTTGCTTATCAGCTTAAGGAGATTTTGGATTGAGACAATGGGGTTTTCTAGATATACAATCATGTTGTCTGTAAACAGGGACAATTTGACTTCCTCTTTTCCTAATTGAATACCCTTTATTTCCTTCTCCTGCCTAATTGCCGTGGCCAGAACTTCCAACACTATGTTGAATAGGAGTGGTGAGAGAGGGCATCCCTGTCTTGTGCCAGTTTTCAAAGGGAATGCTTCCAGTTTTTGCCCATTCAGTATGATATTGGCTGTGGGTTTGTCATAGATAGCTCTTATTATTTTGAAATACATCCCATCAATACCTAATTTATTGAGAGTTTTTAGCATGAAGCGTTGTTGAATTTTGTCAAAGGCCTTTTCTACATCTATTGAGATAATCGTGGTTTTTGTCTTTGGCTCTGTTTATATGCTGGATTACATTTATTGATTTGCATATACTGAACCAGCCTTGCATCCCAGGGATGAAGCCCACTTGATCATGGTGGATAAGCTTTTTGATGTGCTGCTGGATTCGTTTTGCCAGTATTTTATTGAGGATTTTTGCATCAATGTTCATCAAGGATATTGGTCTAAAATTCTCTTTTTTGGTTGTGTCTCTGCCCGGCTTTGGTATCAGAATGATGCTGGCCTCATAAAATGAGTTAGGGAGGATTCCCTCTTTTTCTATTGATTGGAATAGTTTCAGAAGGAATGGTACCAGTTCCTCCTTGTACCTCTGGTAGAATTCGGCTGTGAATCCATCTGGTCCTGGACTCTTTTTGGTTGGTAAGCTATTGATTATTGCCATAATTTCAGATCCTGTTATTGGTCTATTCAGAGATTCAACTTCTTCCTGGTTTAGTCTTGGGAGAGTGTATGTGTCAAGGAATTTATCCATTTCTTCTAGGGTTTCTAGTTTATTTGCGTAGAGGTGTTTGTAGTATTCTCTGATGGTAGTTTGTATTTCTGTGGGATCGGTGGTGATATCCCCTTTATCATTTTTTATTGCATCTATTTGATTCTTCTCTCTTTTTTTATTAGTCTTGCTAGCGGTCTATCAATTTTGTTGATCCTTTCAAAAAACCAGCTCCTGGATTCATTAATTTTTTGAAGGGTTTTTTGTGTCTCTATTTCCTTCAGTTCTGCTCTGATTTTAGTTATTTCTTGCCTTCTGCTAGCTTTTGAATGTGTTTGCTCTTGCTTTTCTAGTTCTTTTAATTGTGATGTTAGGGTTTCAATTTTGGATCTTTCCTGCTTTCTCTTGTGGGCATTTAGTGCTATAAACTTCCCTCTACACACTGCTTTGAATGCGTCCCAGAGATTCTGGTATGTTGTGTCTTTGTTCTCATTGGTTTCAAAGAACATCTTTATTTCTGCCTTCATTTTCTTATATACCCAGTAGTCATTCAGGAGCAGGTTGTTCAGTTTCCATGTAGTTGAGCGGTTTTGAGTGAGATTCTTAATCCTGAGTTCTAGTTTGATTGCACTGTGGTCTGAGAGATAGTTTGTTATAATTTCTGTTCTTTTACATTTGCTGAGGAGAGCTTTACTTCCAACTATGTGGTCAATTTTGGAATAGATGTGGTGTGGTGCTGAAAAAAATGTATATTCTGTTGATTTGGGGTGGAGAGTTCTGTAGATGTCTATTAGGTCCACTTGGTGCAGAGCTGAGTTCAATTCCTGAGTATCCTTGTTGACTTTCTGTCTCATTGATCTGTCTAACGTTGACAGTGGGGTGTTAAAGTCTCCCATTATTAATGTGTGGTAGTCTAAGTCTCTTTGTAGGTCACTCAGGACTTGCTTTATGAATCTGGGTGCTCCTGTATTGGGTGCATATATATTTAGGATAGTTAGCTCTTCTTGTTGAATTGATCCCTTTACCATTATGTAATGGCCTTCTTTGTCTCTTTTGATCTTTGTTGGTTTAAAGTCTGTTTTATCAGAGACTAGGATTGCAACCCCTGCCCTTTTTTGTTTTCCATTGGCTTGGTAGATCTTCCTCCATCCTTTTATTTTGAGCCTATGTGTGTCTCTGCACGTGAGATGGGTTTCCTGAATACAGCACACTGATGGGTCTTGACTCTTTATCCAATTTGCCAGTCTGTGTCTTTTAATTGGAGCATTTAGTCCATTTACATTTAAAGTTAATATTGTTATGTGTGAATTTGATCCTGTCATTATGATGTTAGCTGGTTATTTTGCTCGTTAGTTGATGCAGTTTCTTCCTAGTCTCCATGGTCTTTACATTTTGGCATGATTTTGCAGCGGCTGGTACCGGTTGTTCCTTTCCATGTTTAACCCTTCCTTCAGGAGCTCTTTTAGAGCAGGCCTGGTGGTGACAAAATCTCTCAGCATTTGCTTGTCTGTAAAGGATTTTATTTCTCCTTCACTTATGAAGCTTAGTTTGGCTGGATATGAAATTCTGGGTTGAAAATTCTTTTCTTTAAGAATGTTGAATATTGGCCCCCACTCTCTTCTGGCTTGTAGGGTTTCTGCTGAGAGATCCGCTGTTAAGTCTGATGGGCTTCCCTTTGAGGGTAACCCGACCTTTCTCTCTGGCTGACCTTAACATTTTTTCCTTCATTTCAACTTTGGTGAATCTGACAATTATGTGTCTTGGAGTTGCTCTTCTCGAGGAGTATCTTTGTGGCATTCTCTGTATTTCCTGAATCTGAACGTTTGCCTGCCTTGCTAGATTGGGGAAGTTCTCCTCGATAATATCCTGCAGAGTGTTTTCCAGCTTGGTTCCATTCTCCCCGTCACTTTCCGGTACACCAATCAGATGTAGATTTGGTCTTTTCACATAGTCCCATATTTCTTGGAGGCTTTGCTCATTTCTTTTTCTTCTTTTTTCTCTAAACTTCCCTTCTCGCTTCATTTCATTCATTTCATCTTCCATTGCTGATACCCTTTCTTCCAGTTGATCGCATCGGCTCCTGAGGCTTCTGCATTCTTCACGTAGTTCTCGAGCCTTGGTTTTCAGCTCCATCAGCTCCTTTAAGCACTTCTCTGTATTGGTTATTCTAGTTATACATTCTTCTAAATTTTTTTCAAAGTTTTCAACTTCTTTGCCTTTGGTTTGAATGTCCTCCTGTAGCTCGGAGTAATTTGATCATCTGAAGCCTTCTTCTCTCAGCTTGTCAAAGTCATTCTCCATCCAGCTTTGTTCCGTTGCTGGTGAGGAACTGCATTCCTTTGGAGGAGGAGAGGCGCTCTGCTTTTTAGCGTTTCCAATTTTTCTGTTCTGTTTTTTCCCCATCTTTGTGGTTTTATCTACTTTTGGTCTTTGATGATGGTGATGTATAGATGGGTTTTTGGTGTGGATGTCCTTTCTGTTTGTTAGTTTTCCTTCTAACAGACAGGACCCTCAGCTGCAGGTCTGTTGGAGTACCCTGCCGTGTGAGGTGTCAGTGTGCCCCAGCTGGGGGGTGCCTCGCAGTTAGGCTGCTCGGGGGTCGGGGTCAGGGACCCACTTGAGGAGGCAGTCTGCCTGTTCTCAGATCTCCAGCTGTGTACTGGGAGAACCACTGCTCTCTTCAAAGCTGTCAGACAGGGACATTTAAGTCTGCAGAGGTTACTGCTGTCTTTTTGTTTGTCTGTGCCCTGCCCCCAGAGGTGGCGCCTACAGAGGCAGGCAGGCCTCCTTGAGTTGTGGTGGGTTCCACCCAGTTCGAGCTTCCCTGCTGCCTTGTTTACCTAAGCAAGCCTGGGCAATGGTGGGCGCCCCTCCCCCAGCCTCGCTGCTGCCTTGCAGTTTGATCTCAGACTGCTGTGCTAGCAATCAGCGAGACTCCGTGGGTGTAGGACCCTCCGAGCCAGGTGTGGGATATAATCTCGTGATGCGCCGTTTTTTAAGCCCATCGGAAAAGCGCAGTATTTGGGTGGGAGTGACCCGATTTTCCAGGTGCTGTCCAGCACCCCTTTCCTTGACTAGGAAAGGGAACTCCCTGACTCCTTGCGCTTCCCGAGTGAGGCAATGCCTCGCCCTGCTTCGGCTCACGCACGGTGAGTGCACCCACTGACCTGCGCCCACTGTCTGGCACTCCCTAGTGAAATGAACCTGGTACCTCAGATGGAAATGCAGAAATCACCCGTCTTCTGCGTCGCTCACGCTGGGAGCTGTAGACCTGAGCTGTTCCTATTCGGCCATCTTGGTTCCTCCCCCAAAATGAAACTTTTTTATTGCTCTGTAAGGGCTTACACTATCTCTCTCTCTCTCTCTCTCTGTCTCTCTCTCTCTCTCTCTCACACACACACACACACACACACACACACACACACTCTGTTATATACATTGCAAATATTTTTGCCAGTCTGTCTAAATTCATATGTCCATCTGTCCATCCATGCATTTATCCACCCACCCATCCATCTCCATAAAGCTCTGAATTTCCCTTTGTGATTTCTACTTTTGGCATCATGCTTAAAAAAAAATTTTTTTTCTACCCCCTTATTTTATAAATATCCACTAAAATTGTTCCTAGTGTCTTCATGGGTTTTTTTTTAGTCAATTTAAATGTTTTAAACTTCTAGACCAAGTGTGATGGCTCACGCCAGTAATCTCAGCACTTTGGCAGGCCGAGGTGGGTGGATCACTTGAGGTCAGGAGTTCAAGATCAGCCTGGCCAACATGGTGAAACCCTGTCTCTACTAAAAATTCAAAAATTGGCTGGGTTTGGTGGCATGTGCCTGTAATGCCAGCTACTTGGGAGGCTGAGGCAGGAGAATCACTTGAACCCAAGAGGTGGAGGTTGCAGTAAACCGAGATCACACCACTGCACTCAGGTCTGGGCAACAGAGTGAGGCCCTTTCTCAAAAAATAAATAAGTAAATAAATAAATAAATAAATAAATAAATAAATAAATGTTTTAAACATGTAGACTTTATTTTGCATGGGGCTCAGCTCTGACTCTATTGGCTTCTACATAGATGACCTGTTAGTCTACCATTTCCTAAAGACTCTGTCCTTCTTTAATGTACTTAAATTTGAGCTATTTTAAAACTTTTTTTTTTGTTTTTTACCCAGCACTATGGGATGCCAAGGTGGGTGGATCACGAGGTCAGGAGATCAAGACCATCCTGGCTAACACTGTGAAACCCCATCTCTACTAAAAAAAATACAAAAAATTAGCCGGGCGTGGTGGCGGGCGCCTGTAGTGCCAGCTACTCGGGAGACTGAGGCAGGAGAATGGCATGAACCCAGGAGGTGGAGCTTGCAGCGAGCCGAGATCATGCCACTGCACCCCAGCCTGGGCGACAGAGCGAGACTCTGTCTCAAAAAAAAAATGACTTTTTTTTAAAAAATAGAGATGATGTCTTGTGGTTTTGCCCAGGCTGGTCTTGAATTCCTGGCCTCAAATGACCCTACTGCCTCGGCCTCCCAAAGTGTTGGGATTACAGGTGTGAGCTGCTGCACCCGGCCAATTGATCAATTTTTATATACAAGTTTTTCTTCTTTTGGCAGTCCGCAAAAATTCAGAAAGCTACTATAAGAAAATGACAATCAACCATCTGTGTACAAAAAGAATTAGCCACTTAACACAACTGGTCCTTTTTCCATTGTAAAAATCCATAGGAAATTGGATTTGTAATTATGTTTCGGCTTTCCATGGAAACCACAGAGCAGCCGGTCATCTATATATTCAGCAAATCCTTCAAATTGCAGAGGTGTTTTTTTTTTTTTTGAGACAGAGTCTCACTCTGTTGCCTATGCTGGAATGCAGTGGCATGATCTTGCTCACCACAACCTCTGCCTACCAGGGTCAAGTGATTCTCGTGCCTCAGCCTCCTAGTAGCTGGGACTACAGGCATGCACCACCATACCCGGCTAATTTTTGTATTTTTAGTAGAGATGGGGTTTCACTATATTGGCCAGGCTGGTCTTGAACTCCTGACCTCGAGATCCACCCACCTCAGCCTCCCCAAGTGCTGGGATTACAAGTGTGAGCCACCATACCCAGCCTGCAGAGATTTTTTTTTAGGGATGGGAAGATCACAGAAATGCATCAAAGCACATATTGTCCAAATAAGAAGAAGTGAAAAGGTAAAAATATAGGCTATCCCATAAAATTTCAAGAATAAGCTGTGCTTTTGTGCTTCAGGCTATTTTGATAGCAAGCATTCTCAACACTACATATTTTTTAGTTTTTTTGAGACGGAGTCTTGCTCTGTCGCCCAGGCTGGAGTGCAGTGGCACGATCTCAGCTCACTGCAACCTCTGCCTCCTGGGTTCAAGCGATTCTCCCACCTCAGTGATAGCGATAGAAAAATTGGATTACAAAATGCTTGGAACAAAGGAGAAGAATGACACATTTCTTCTGTGCAGTTGCATTAAATATAAAGAAACATACATTTATCTCCCTAGTTAATTTATAAAAGTTGGTAAAATGGCTGGGCATGGTGGCTCATGCCTGTAATCCCTTAGTAGCTGGGATTGCAAGTGCCTGCCACCACACCCAGCTAATTTTTGTGTTTTTAGCAGAGGCGGTGTTTCAACATGTTGGCCAGGCTGGTCTCAAACTCCTGACCTCAAGTGATCTGCATCTCTTGGCCTCCAAAATTGCTGGGATTATAGCTATGAGCCACCGCACCAGACCCCAGTGTTGACTTTTTAGAGACATATCTATGAAGGCATTTGCAGCTTTGTAATGGTTTGAACTTGGACTTTTGGCCACCGTATTAGTGGCACCTCAGTGGTGACTAATGCAGATTTTAAAATTTAGGGTCCCTGAGGAAGATGATGGGAAACAAAACCTTTCACCTGGCTCTCCCTGCTGTGGCATGCTAATATGGATGAGTAGGTCTTGCAGTGCAGATAATGATTTTTACAAATTCATCGTGGAAAGTGACAGAATTCTTTCGAGTGGGGAGAGACCTTAAGCAAGGGGAGGTAAGCAGACCTTTTTCAAATGTGCCAGGTGATGCCAGGTGCCTTGCAGGTCCTGTGCCAGGCACTGGCATGACATTCTTTGTTTCTGAAACAGAATCTCCCTCTGTTGCCCAGGCTGGAGTGCAGTGGCGCTATCTGGGCTCACTGCAACATCCACCTCCCGGGTTCAAGTGATTCTCCTGCCTCAGCCTCCTGAGTAGCTGGAATTACAGGCACCCGCCACCACATTTGGCAGATTTTTGTATTTTTAATAGAGACGGGGTTTCACCATACTGGCCAGGCTGGTCTCGAACTCAAGACCTCAAGTGATCCACCCACCTCAGCCTCCCAAAATGCTGGGATTACGGGCGAGGTATGGCATTCTTTCATTTCACTTATGAAAATACTAAGGCCCGAGTATTTAAACCTCCTGCCCTGCTGGAGGTTACATAATTCATGGAGTGGGGAATCAAACCCAGGTCTTTACAATGTTGCCACCCAGCTTCTTCCCATCACTACTCATGCTTTGCTGGGTGCCCTGGATGCAGCCGTGCCTGAAGGCCACTCCACAAACAGGCCCTGCTGGGAGACAGTATCAGAGATCCAGGACTCTGGGAAGTAGAACTGGGCAAGAAAGTGCAAGGGGCTGACAAATGGGCTGGCTCTCCATCCTGCCTGGCATCTGGTCTGATCCTGTTGTAGTACTAGTGAGGTGGGTGCTGTGGCCGAGGGAGGGGCTTTGTGGGGCCACACCTGGGGACAGATGGGACCAGAGTCAGGGTCTCTGAACTGTGTGCATCATCCACTGTCCCTGACTTTTCACTAGAGATGTCTACAAACATCACAGAGCAGCAGTCTAGGAACAGGGGCTCCCTGCCAGTGCTGCTGTGAGCCCTTGGAGAATTCTGCACTTCCAAAATCTCTTATCTGATGGCCTTGGGAAGCTATCTCAAGATGCCACAGCTGGCCGGATGTGGTGGCTCATGCCTGTAATCCCAGCACTTCTGGAGGCTGAGGCGGGCGGATCACCTGAGGTCAGGAGTTCAAGACCAGCTTGGCCAACATGACAGTATTTTTACTGTCTCTAGTAAAAATACAAAAATTAGCCTGGTATGGTGGCATGCACCTCCCACCCACCTGGGAGGTTGAGATGGGAGGATTGCTTGAGCCGGGCAGTGCAGGTTGCAGTGAGTGGAGATTGCGCCACTGCCTTCCAGCCTGGGTGACAGAGCAAGACCCTGTCTCAAAATTAAATAAGTAAAATTAGAAAAAAAAAATAAACAACTGGTATACTTGGTTGTAGCTGCAGGGATTATCAGTTACCCTCTGTCCATAACCCTTAAGTGAAAGCCTTGTCTAGGGGCCACTGATCTTGGTGGACCTGGCAGGGGAGCAGTACACTCCAGGTGTCTTAGTAGGGCCATTCCTAAAGTCCTAAAGATGGCATTGGGCAGTACAAGGGACTTCTGCACAGCACACACACACCAGGTCTGCATCTTCTCTGCAGGACGTGCAGCGTTTTATGCTGTAGCCCCAGAGATTTCAGTCTCTGCTTTTACGAAGGCATCCCCTGGAGATTATGTGAGTACTTCAACAAGTGCAACCAATTTCCCTCCATATCCAAAGTGTGGGTTGTGGAGAATTCACGTGTGCAGCACTCCCTGGTTTCCTGGGGGAAGTTGCCACTGATGGTGTATTTATTTTCCTTGGGAAAGCCAAGAAGAATGAACCCCAAACTCACCGACTCACCAGACACAATGTCCGCCACAGGTGGGACATCAGTGCTGGGGCTTACCTGGGATGTCAATCAATCTTTTGTAGACATTCAAGAAAGCTGCTTCAGCTTCCTTGCTTCTTTTAATAACGTGTCAATCTGAAAGGGAAGGAAAGAAAGGAAAGAAAGAAAAGAAAACAAAGAGCTCAATATTTGTCAAGAGGTAATTTACAAAGCATTACACATCTAGTGAAGTCCCGCAGCAAGGGGAAGTCTGATTCCTCCGCGTAGATGCTTGACAACTGGGCTTCAACCTCTTAGAGGAAATGCCTGCAAACCACAAAAAGGCCCCTTTCATGAAGGTAAAAGAGGCAGGAGCAGAGATTTGGGAATATGGAGCCATTCACTATACAGCAGGGAACACTGGGTGGGTCTTCCATAGAGAATGGTCTGGCGTGCGTGCCCTTCGTGGTCTTTTTCTTTCTGCAAGTACTAAGAGCTGGCCATGTGCTAGACACTGCTGGGGGGCCGGGGGTGGGCGGAAGAGACAGTTCCTACCCCCAGGAGCTCAGGGTCTAGTAGGGAAACAGGTACGTAATTAAGAAGTAATTAAATCCCTGGGGACATGGAGAAGGGAACCTCAGGCAGGAAAATCGTGACCTTGGAGCAGAGTCTTAAAAAGTATTTCACCCCAGTGGATGGGTAAGACACCGCATGTAAATGGAAGAACATACTCAAACGCCCGGAGCAAAGAATTTCATAAAATTCCTTTTTTTTTTTTTTAAGACAGTTTTGCACTGTCTCCCAGGCTGAGGGGCAGTGGCGCGATCTCGGCTCCAAACTCTGCCTCCCGAGTTCAAGAGATTCTCCTGCCTCAGCCTCATGAGTAGTGGAATTACAGGTGCCCACCACCATGCCCGGCTAATTTTTGTATTTTTAGTATAAATGAGGTTTCATTATGTTGGCCAGGCTGGTCTCAAACTGCTGACCTCAGGTGATCCACCCGCCGCAGCCTCCCAAAGTGCTGGGATTACAGGCCTAAACCACTGCGCCTGACCTATGTGTTCTCTTTTGAGATACTCATTCACATGTCAGCTTGTGCTCCATTCCTGGAGTCCAGATTAAGAGCCCACCAATGGGGCTACAACACACCATGGGGGATAGGGGACCCACGAGAGTCTGCCGGGTGGGAACGTGGATACATATGCAGGATCTGTGGGTGACGCAGTTGGGCAAGCAAATGGGGTCAGATCGTGAGGGGCACAAGAGCAAGTGGTGCAGGGTGACCGTCATCACCTGGGCAGCAGTCGGGGAGAAAAGAGCACAGGGGGCGGCAAGGAGGAAGAGATCACTCTGGAGTCATTGCTCTCATCCAAGGGAGACATGCTGGGCAGTGGCTGTGGGTGTTGAGGAGGACGAGAGGGCGGCTGGAGAGATCAGTGGCACACACAGTTGATGTGAGGCCCAGAAGAACAAGGCGAATCGAGGACGATGCCCAGGATTCCAGATTAGGTAACTGGTGAGGTTTTGCGATCGTGGCCAGGATTGGTTTGTTTTGTGAACTGACTAGCTGAGCCAGTTTCCTCCAGCGTAGACGTCTATTCTTCAGCTGTGCCGGACGCACATGCAAAGAGCCTGCCGTGGTTGGACCGACTTATTAGAATATTTAGCTTACCTACACACTTGCTGAGACAACAGATCACGCTTTACAGCCAAAACACACAAGACTGCACGTGCACCAATTTCATACTGGCTCAGGCAAAGGACAGTAAATTATATATTCCTTCTGTCCCTTCCTAGAACTATGCTGTCTCTGATGTTATTAAAGAGGCAAAAAGATGTGGTTTAATTACAGGGCCTTTCAGCTGAGCCACCTGGCAGTTTGTTAAGGGCTGAGAGAGGTCCCCTGATTAAGGATGTGGGGTTCTCAGGACTAGGGGATGAGGGCTAGTGGGAGCTGGGCCTAGAAAATCAAATGCATAGCAGACTAGTGTAATGCAAGCATTTCCAACTTCTAACAAGCTGTGCACTAAGATTCCAATTTGAAAGTCAGTTGTTTGGAACTCAGACACATTCGCCCCCCCACCGCCCCCTGCCCCCCGCCCCCCAACCTGATAAGTTAAGGCTGTGATTCTAGGCCAGTTGTGGTGGCTCACACCTGTAATCACAGCACTTTGGGAGGGTGAGATGGGAGGATGGCTTGAGCTGAGGAGTTCAAGACCAGCCTGGGAAAAATAATGAGGTATCTACAAATTAAAATTTAACAATAAAAATTTTACAGAATAAAAAATAAAAAAATTAGCTGGGTGGGGTGGCAATGCACCTATAATACCAGCTACTTGGGAGGCTGAAGTGGGAGGATTGCCTGAGCCTAGGAGTTCGAGGCTGCAGTGAGCTGTATTCACACAACTGCACTCCAGCCTGGGGAACACAGTGAGACCCTGTCTCAAATTAAAAAAAAAAAAACAAAACACACACACACACACACACAAAATGTTGTGAATTTGGTGTTGAGTAGAGTTTCAGAACACTCTACAAGGACTGTTTTTTGAGATAGAGGCTTGCTTTGTTGCCTAGGTTGGAGTGCAGTGGCACAGTCTCAGCTCACTGCAGCCTCTGCCTCCTGGGTTCAAGCAATTCTCCTGCCTCAGCTTCCCAAGTGGCTGAGACTATAGGAGTGCGCCACCATGCCCAGCTAATTATTTGTTTTGTATTTTTAGTGGAGATAGGGTTTCATCATGTTGGCCAGGCTAGTCTGGTCTTGAACTCCTGACCTCAGGTGATCCACCCGCCTCAGCCTGCCAAAGTGCTGGGATTACAGGCATGAGCCACCATGCCTTGCCTGCAAGGACTATTAATATGACATGACCGCCCTTTGTTTTTAAAATAACTCCCTCCCCCTTTATTAGCAATTCATACTCATTGTGTGATCAGAAAAATATCAAATATATAGAAAAAAATTAAAAGTATAATTACAGTGTGCCACTCACAGGCAGGAATCAGACTGTGAGGTCTGTATTTCTAAGTTTGTTTTCCTAATTATACAAAAAAATATCATTGCGGCCAGGTGCAGTGGTTTATGCCTGTAATCCCAGCACTTTGGGAGGCCAACGTGGACAGATCACAAGGTCAGGAGTTCGAGACCAGCCTGGCTAAGATGGTGAAACCTCATCTCTACTAAAAATACAAAAATTAGTTGGGTGTGGTGGCATGCACCTGTAATCCCAGCTACTCAGGAAGCTGAGGCAGAATCGCTTGAACCCGGGAGGCGGAGGTTGCAGTGAGCTGAGATAATGCCACTACACTCTAGCCTAGGCAACAGAGTGAGACTCCGTCTCAAAAAAAAAAATAAATCAGTGACATGAAATGCAGACACACAAGAGACTGATGTATTATACATTAGAGTGGTCTCGGGCTGGGGGTGGGCAGGAAGGAGGGGCTGGTAGATGCCAACTGAAGGGTGTGGGATTTCCTTTTGGGTGATGAAAATGTTTTACAATTGTCTGGGGTGACAGCTGTACAACTTTGTGAATATCCTAAAAGTCAATGAACTGCAGATTTTAAATGGGTGAATTATATGGTATGTGAATTGTATCTCAATCAAGCTGCTTAAAACGGGTGTGTGTATGTACATATTCGAAATCAACCTATACATAAGATTGTGCAGTGTGCTTTCTTTACCTGTCGTATCATGTATCTTTCTCAATATCCATTACAAATTTTGGGAACTGTCTAAATGGTACTGTTTCAACTGTACCTAAGCCCACATATTATAGATGTCTGCAGTAAGCAACGGATTTGGAGTTGCTTCTCCAGACGAATTGGAACACTCCCTGGGGCCCTTCTAAGAGAGGCAGGTGGGTAGCAGAGCCTGTCCAGAAAGCTGGGCAGATGCCCTGGCTGCTGTCCGTACTGATTGACAGCCACACAGAGGCTTCTCTTCCTGGCTTAGGATCTGCCTAGGGAGGGCCCTTCACTTCCCAGGTATTCCGACTGAGGGTACTAGGTGGCTGCATCTCCTGGAGGCAAGGGCTGGGATCTGGAAGGATCCTGAACTCTGTCCTCCTGTCAACTATGTTATTCCCAGGGATGTGGGGTTTGGTAATTTACATGGCACACTTCGGGGCTGTAACAGGTTGAATTGTGTCTCCCGAAAGATGATGAAGTCCTGACCCTCAATACCTGTGAAGATGACCTTATTTGGAACTAGGGTCTCTGTAGGTGATCAAGATAAGGCAAGGTCATTAGCCTGGGCCCTCGTCCAATAGGATCCGATAAGAAGGAGAAACGTGGACACAGAGACAGACACATAGACAGGATGTCACAGGGAGACAAAGGAAAGGCTGGGCTGATGATCTACAAGACAAAGATGACCAGGAAACCACCAGAAGCTGGGACAGGGACACAGTAGATTCTCCCCTACAGCCAGCAGAAGGAACCAGCCCCGTGGACATCGGTGTTTTAAAACCACTCTGCTGAGCTGGGCATGGTAGCTCACACCTGTAATCCCAGCACTTTGGGAGGCCGAGGTGGGTGGATCACCTGAGGTCAGGAGATCTAGACCAGACTGGCCTACATGGTGAAATGCTGTCTCCACCAAAAATACAAAAATTAGCCAGGCGTGGTGGTGGGAGCCTGTAATACTAGCTACTTGGGAGGCTGAGGCAGGAGAATTGCTTGAACCCAGGAGGCAGAGGTTGCACTGAGCTGAGATCATGCCGCTGCATTCCAGCCTGGCGACAGAGCAAGACTCCATCCCCCACACACAAAAAAATTAATTAATTAATTAAAAAAAACCACTCCAAGCATGTCGTTTTGTCTAAACTAGCATAAAAACCAAAAACCCTAGTGTTCCTCCACCCATTGGAGCTGTATCACAGGGACCACGACTTTCAGACCTCTCCCCATGCCCTCTTCCACTAACACAGGGAAATTCCAGCCCAGTCCTGAGGAACATGGTCAGGTCGATGGGTTTAATTAATTCAGTATGCAAATGGGCCATGAGGTTTCTTAAAAGAGATGACTTAAAAGATCCTTTTCTAAATGATGAAGTCCCCTCAGCCCCACAGACAAGAATGGGCCCCAAGGCTGGGCGCAGTGGCTCATGCTTGTAATCCCAACAATTTAGGAAACGGAGGCAGGAATTCAAGACCAGCCTGGGCAGCAGAGTGAGACTCTATCTCTACCAAAAATAAAAATTAGTTGGCCGGGCGCGGTGGCTCAAGCCTGTAATCCCAGCACTTTGGGAAGCCGAGGCGGGTGGATCACGAGGTCAGGAGATCGAGACCATCCTGGCTAACACGGTGAAACCCCATCTTTACTAAAAATACAAAAAAATTAGCCAGGCGTGGTGGCAAGCGCCTGTAGTCCTAGCTATTCAGGAGGCTGAGGCAGGAGAATGGCATGAACCCGGGAGGCAGAGCTTGCAGTGAGCCGAGATCGCGCCACTGCACTCCAGCCTGGGCGACAGAGCGAGACTCCGTCTCAAAAAACAAAAACAAAAATTAGCCAGGCATGGTGGTGTGCACCTGTAATCCCAGCACTTTGGGAAACTGAGGTGGGAGGAGGACTTGAGCCCAGGAATTGAAGACCAGCTTGGGCAGCATAGCGAGACCCTATCTCTACAAAAAAATACAAATTAGCCAGCCACAGCGGTGCACACCTGTAGTCCCAGCTACTCGGAGGCTGAGGTGGGAGGGGCTCAAGGCTGAAGTGAACTATGATTGAGCCACTGCACTCCAGCCTGGAAGACCAAACGAGACTGTGGTTTTTTTAAAAAAACAAAACAAAACAAAACAAAAAAAACAGAATGACCCTGGAGGTGGAGTTCAGTCCATCCTCCCTCTGCAGCTCACCCAGTCTGTGGTGGGCTTTCCCTTCCTGTGACTTCACTGCTGCAGCCTAGTTCCGTGTTCCGTGCTTTGCTTACTTGGAACACCCTTGGCTGGCCTCTCCACTCAAAACCTATCTATTCTGCAAGACCCGATGCACACACCACTTCCCCCAGACCTCGAGCTGGGTTCCTGGGCTGTTCTGAGTCTGAAGGGAGGGAGGGAGCCAGGCCTTTGAATGCCAGCCCCACCTCATCTGCATGAGGAGGAGACAGCAGCCACCTCCTGGGGCTGGACGAGTCGCTGACCTACGCTGGCGAGGGCCCCAGTACCAGATACAACACAGTGACTCTGCCACACAGAACAGCTTCCCTCCAGGTGTCCACACGGCTACTGGCCAGGAAGAGCACCCGTGGGAGGGAGGGAGGAAGGGACAGTGTTGTGCTCATCTTCATGGCCCGCACCCACCCACCTCCCTGCAGGGAGCCCAGCCCGTCCACTGCATGCCTTGGAGGTGCAAGCCAAGGCTTGGTAACACAGCTCCCTCTGAGAAGGGGAGGGATCTGCGAATGAGCAAGTGTCTAGGGCGAGGTCTTAATGCAAGGATTGCTGAAGAGAGGATCCCAGGCTAGGGTTCCGGCTCCCTCATGCCTGCGTGCACGTTAGCTTGAGGTAGGTACCATGCCCTTAAAACCATTTAGGGCCGGGCACAGTTGTTCATGCCTGTAATCCCAGCACTTCGGGAGGCCAAGGTGGGAGGATTGCTTGAGCCCAGGAGTTCAAGACCAACCTGGGCAGCATAGCAAAACCCCATTTCACACCGCTCTCACACAGACACAAAACCATTTAGAAGAAGCTAAACTGGGACGGATCTAGAAACGTCAGACACTGGCCTGTGGCCCTGGGTAAAACCTGTCCTGCTCTGAGGGATAGCCTATTTTTCAGGCTCACCTCCTGCCACACCCAGTCACTCCCAGTTCCCGGAACACATGAGCAATTTCCCCTCTGCCTGTAAGGCGCCTCCCAGGAATGCTACCCTGATCCCAGGGCTCAGAGCAGATCCATCTCCCAGTCGTGGCCACTCCCAACACAATGTGGGACTGTCCTGGAGTTCTAGGATGACAGATAAGGCTGCCTGACTCAGGGATCCTGAATTCCTGGAAAACTAAGCTGTAGCATCAACCGCCTTTCCTCCTGACCATGGGCACACAGTGGGTGTTTAATATGCTTTTAATATTTTCCTCAATGGCCAACTGCATGGTTTGCAGATGTGACCCAAGGGTTCAGGAATCCAGGTTTAAATCTTTATGAAAATGCTCAATATGTAAAGAGTTCTTGACTGGGTGTGGTGGCTCACGCCTGTAATCCCAGCACTTTGGGAGGCCAAGGTGGGTGGATCACTTGAGGTCAGGAGTTCAAGACCAGTCTGGCCAACATGGTGAACCCTCGTCTCTACTAAAAATACAAAAATTAGCCGGGTGGGGTGGCAGGCACCTGTAATACCAGCTTCTCAGAAGGCTGAGGCATGAGAATCGCTTGAACCTGGGAGGTGGAGGTTGCAGTGAACCGAGATCACACCACTGCACTCCAGCCTGGGCAACAGAGTGAGACTCCGTCTCAAAAAATATATAAATAAATAAATAAATAGAAAATGCTTAACATGTAAAGAGTTCTCTGTGTAGTAAGCATTGTTTTGTGTGCTGTGAGACAATGACAGCCATTTGGCTGGCAGTAGCTCCTGGGAGGTGTGTTTCTCCACTGTACACACACAATGGTGCTCTCCAGCCGTTTTCCTGCAGTGACCCACACATCCACACTAATGACTGCTGCTGGATTCCATGGTTATCTTTTCAGCAACATCAATTTCATAAGGTTGAGTTTTTCTTTTTAAATGTAATAAGTGTTACATTTAAAGACAAATGTGTAGGCACAGTGGCTCACACCTATAATCCCAACACTTTGGGAGACCAAGGCAGGATCACTTGAGGCAAGGAGTTCGAGACCAGCCTGGCCTTCGTGGCAAAACCCTGTCTCTACTAAAAATACAAAAATTAGCCAGGCGAGGTGGCCCTTGCCTGTGATCCCAGCTACTTGGGAGGCTGAGGCAGGAGAATCACTTGAACCCAGGAGGCAAAGGTTGCAGTAAGCCGAGATTGTGCCACTGCACCCCAGCCTGAGCGAGAGTAACATACAGTAAAAATAAAGACTAAACAACCAATATCTTGAGAGCTGAGGGATTTTTGTGTGTTTGTTTTGAAGCTTGTTTATTTTTGACAGGAGTGGGAAGAGGGGAAGATCATATAAGTAAAAAGGGCACTAAGTTTGAAATCAGAAGACTGGATTAAGGCATGGCTCTATCATGCATTTTGGCTCAGGCTGGGAGTGGTGGCTCACACCCGCAATCCCGGCACTTTGGGAAACTGAGGCAGGAGGACTGCTTGAGGCCAACAGTTTGAGACCAGCCTGGGCAACATAGAGAGAACACTTCATTTTTTGTGGATGAATATCTTTTTTTTTTTTTTTTTTTTTTTTTGGAGACGGAGTCTAATTTTGTTGCCCAGGCTGGAGTGTAGTGGCGTGATCCCAGCTCACTTCAACCTCCGCCTCCTGGGTTCACGTGATCCTCCTGCCTCAGCTTCCTGAGTAGCTGGGATTACAGGGGCTCATCACCATGACCAGCTAATTTTTGCATGTTGGCCAGGCTGGCCTCAAACTCCTGACCTCAGGTGATCCTCCCACCTCAGCCTCCCAAAGTGCAGGGAGCCACCTCTTCCAAAGAGCTGGGAGCTCACATGCGTGAGCCATTGTGCTTGGCCAACCTCTTGTAAGCTTTCAATAGGATTGTGTGCAAATGCCTATAATTAGGTCTAGCACTCAATGGGCACAGAACATGCTATGACTGTTCCAAGGCATACTGCACGCACAGTGTCAAGTCCAAAACCTCACTAGAGCATGGTCTATTCACCACCACTGTTGCTCACCAAGCTCACGGTAAAAAGGATAATAGTAATTTGTGCACTGGGCTGCAGCAGGCTTTGGGGACCTGCGTGGGGGTGGGGGGTGCACCAGGAGACTAGCTGTCCAGTGGGTGCCTCCCCATGTGCTGCACAACAGGGTACCTGGCATGCCAGGTGGGAGGCACAGAGGGAGACAAGGATGTGGACTGCACAAGGGCCCCAGATCACCAAGGTGTGAATCGGAAAGACTGGACTTCAGATCATCTGTGGGGGTGGTAACCGAGGCTTAAGAAGTGCTGTGTATTTTTTGTTTCTGAGATGGATTTTCACTCTTGTCATCCAGGCTGAAGTGCAGTGGCATGATCTCAGCTCACTGCAGCCTCCGCCTCCCAGGTTCAAGCAATTCTCATGCCTCAGCCTCCTGAGTAGCTGAGATTACAGGCACATGCTAGCACATCCGCCTAATTTTTGGATTTTTAGTAGAGACAGGGTTTCGCCATGTTGCTGAGGCTGGTCTTGAACTCCTGACCTCAAGTGATCTGCCGGCCTTGGCCTACCGAAGCGCTGGGATTACAGGCGTAAGCCACTGCACCTGGCCAAGAAGTGCTGTGTATTTTGAAATAAGAAAGGCTCATCTCTCCAGTGTACCATGCCCATGTGGTAGGCAAGTCCATGCCACACACAGCCAAGAGCCTGGGTATGTTTTTGGCAGACCAGGGTTTGATTTCCAGCTCCAGCATAAAACAGGTACTCTGCCTGGGCCGTTCAATCAACCTCTCTGGGCCTCAGTTTTTTCATCTGCAAAGTGGGGCGATACATCTTGGTTGCTGTCAAGATCAAAGCCGTGGTGACCGTTGGAAAACAGCGAAGGAGTCGCTGCCTCACCAGCTCCACTTCTCAGACGCAGAAACCCATCAAGCCACTTGGAACCTGGCCCCTGGCCCTTCCTAGTGATATGATAAAATCCAGCATTGTGCACTGGGGCTGGGGGCCACATGGTTGATGGAAAGAATATGTGCTTTGATGGAAAGACAGACTTATGTTTGAATCTTAGTTCCAGCACACACTGGCTGGGTGACTGGGAGGCAGGTTATTTAAATACTGAAGCATTTGGCTGGGCACAGTGGCTAACACCTGTAAATACCAGTACTTTGGGAGGCCAAGGCAGACAGATCACCTGAGGTCAGGAGTTCGAGACCAGCCTGGTCAACATGGTGAAATTCTGTCTCTACTGAAAATACAAACATTAGCCAGGCATGGTGGCACATGCCTGTAATTCCAGCTACTTCAGAGGGTTAGGCAGGAGAATGGTGTGAACCCAGGAGGCGGAGGTTGCAGTGAGCTGAGATCACACCACTGCACTCCAGCCTGGGTGACAGAGCAAGACTCTGTCACAAAAAAAAAAAAAAATATATATATATATATATATATATATATATATATATACTGAAGCCTTGGTCTCTTCGTCTATTAAGTGAGGGTAGTAACTCCCTCCTTGTTAAGCTGTTGTGATTATAAACATGAGAACCTCCTACATCAAGTATCTGACACAGTCTGGATAGAAACCAAATCAACATCACAAACCTTCACTAATAAATCCAAAGTCAGCACCTTTCTTTCCACCACACCATAGGTTATTCTCTGTCGTGATCAAACCAAGCAGGAAGCCAAGATGTGGAAAGTCCTGGAGGACCAGGACACTTAAGCAACATTTAAGATGCTGCTGGCTCTTCTTTACATGAGAGATCTCCCCCAGCCCCCCATTCTTCCTTCTGTGCCTGGACCTGCCCGGGGTCAGTGCTGCCCAGGCAGGAAGCGGAAGCCCAGGTCAAGACCCACGTGGGCCTGGCTCGTTTCTCTCCTGGGGGGCGTTCTGCAACCCTCTGCCTGGTGCTGAGGTCGACCAGATGCCCCGGAGCTTCCAGACTCCCATCTGGGAGGTCCTGGTTCCTGTCGCTGGCCGGTAGATTTTGTGGTGTGGCTGAGCGAAAGTGGGTGCAGAATTGTGTCGGCACACTGATGTCGCGTGGTTTATAGAGCCAAGGGCCCCGCAGAGAAGACGTGCTCAGAGCCCTGCCCACCCTCACGGGGTGGCCCACCATGGCCCTGACCCACCCTGCCTCACACTGGGCAGTGGCTCATGGCCATACGAAGAAAAATCCCACAGCCTGCCCACCCCAAGGCCCTCCCTCCCAGCCTCGTGACCCTAATCGCGGCTTCCAGCACCTCAAACATGACCACTAGCTCACAGCAGGCCCCGCCCAGGAACACCCGTCCCCAGGCTGCACTCCCGGCCCTGTCCTGCAGACCTCCGCGTCAAAGGCCCCCAACGGGACAGGGGTCCTCTAACTGCCCCCCACCTCTGCGCGCCCTCTGTTCCATTCCTTTTTGCCCCCTGCCTGAATCACGCACAATCTTGTTGCATCCATCCTCTTCCCACCCTGCGCCCGTGTGTCATTGTGGCCCTACTGCGTCCTCAGAGCAGGAGGGTGCAGCGACACGGCAGGCACTGGGTAAATGCCCCATGGTGGGGGTGTGTGAGCGGCGTCGGGGTGCGGCCGCTGTGAGGGGCAGCTCCTCTTGTGGCTGGGGCGGAGCTGAGGACACTCGGAGTTGGGGTGGGAGAGACGGGACTCAGGACTTAGAGGGAGCGGAAGGGGGCGGGGCTGGGAAGGGAGGTAGGGCGGGGAGCTGGGGGAGCGGGTGGGACGGGGCTGTGTGGGGCCAAGCTGAGTCGGGGGGTGGGATGCAGCTGGGCGTGGCTGAGTGGGGGCGGAGCTGAGTGGGGGGCGGGATGCAGCTGGACCACTCATTGTAGGAATTGCTGGAAGGGGCTGGTGGAGCAGGTCTGGTTGTGGGAGTTGGGTGGTGGCAGTGGGCAGGGCCGGCGGTGATGGAGGAGCCTGTGGGTTGGGGCAGGGCCGGTGGTGGAGGGCGGGGCCGGCGGGGAGGGGTCTGTGTGTGGGCGGGGCTGGGGCGGGGCGGAGCGGGGCTGGGGCGGGGCGGAGCGGGGCTGGGGCGGGGCAGGGCGGTGCAGGGAGCTGGGCGGATTAGGCCCCCGGCCCACTGTGCACGCTCCCCAGGCACTGCGGGCGTGATGATCTCTCTGAGCCGCATCCTCACGGAGCTACTGCTGCCCGACGAGCGCGCCAGCATGCTCATCTTCTTCCTGGTGTCGGTGGCGCTGGAGCTGCTGTGCTTCCTGCTGCACCTGTTAGTGCGGTGCAGTGGCTTCGTGCTCTTCTATACCACACGGCCGCGCGACAGCCGCCGGGGCAGGCCAGGCCTGGGCAGGGGCTCTGGCTACCGCGTGCACCACGACGTCGTCGCCGGGGACGTCCACTTCGTAAGTGCGCACCGCCCACCTCCGTTCCCTCCTCTGTCCCCACCGCGACGTAGGGAAGTACCTGGGGCCCAGCCCCTGCCCTGCATCCCAGGCTGCGGCCTCCTGCTGTGGTGGAGAATCCTTCCCGCCAGCACCCTTTATTCTGTCGACTCAGGTGTGGGTTCTTAGTGGCACCCCACGTCTCGTGGCCTAAGGCCCCACTCCACCCGCATCTGTGGTCCGGAGATCTGCCCAGCTGCTGTGTCCCACGGTGTGGGGCGTGCATGGTCCCTGTCCGCAGTGACACCCCACATGATGTACACTAAAGTTTCCATCCCTGGGACAGCCCACGTTCGTTCTGAGGGTCTCAGCCCTCCTGGCTGCGCCAACCCACGTTGGAGAGTCCTCCTGCAGGCTCAGCCTGGCAGCAAACTCTCTAGGAAGCTCACACTCTTCCTCCCTAGAGACGGGACGCCAGGAGGGAAGTCAGGGCTCAGGGATAACCCTGGGTTCCCTGAGGGGGTGTGGCGGGGCCCCCAGAATTTCCCACAGAAGTCACCAGCCAGGAAAGGGAGTGGTCTCCCAGGTGGGGATAGACAGGCGGAGAGGGAGGGCCAGGGGCTTGGTTCTGTGGCCCCTGGCTCTGCTGGGCTTCCCTGTCACAGCACAGAGGCACTGCCCCTACGGGGTCCCCAGCACAGACAGCCCCTGCCAGGAGGTGCCCTATCCCACCATCCCTGGGCAGGCAGCTGTCCTTGGGGGGCTGGGGTGCCCTCTGGTGGCAGCAGCACTGCACAGACCCCCAGGGTCAGGGCCGGCAGCTGTACAGGCCTGGGGACACCTGCAGGGTGAGGTCAGGAGTGCCAGGCCATGCAGAGGCGGGTCGAGGGAGCCATTGGTCCTCATTCCTGAGGGTCCAGAACCAGAACGGTCTTGATGCAGGTCTTGATCCAGTGAGTCACCTGGGCACTTGGCTGGGGACACTGAAGTGAGCCAGAAACACATCCCCAGGGGAGCCCCCAGACCCAGAGAGGGGCCCAGGATGGAAGGGGACAAGCCAGGGGAGGGGTGTGTCCCTCTCATGGTCAGGGAGGTTCCCTGAAGGACTTTTGGGCTAAGACCTGACCCACAGGAAGGGTGTTGGGGCACAGGGAAAAGTGTGTGCAGTGGCTCAGAGGTTGGGAGGAGCTCCGTTGGGTTTAGAGGAGGGGAGAAGCAAAGGGGTCATGGGGGACTAGATGCTCTTGTTGGTTTGGTCAGAAGCTGGTAGAGGGTTCACGGGAGTGATGAGATGGAATTTGCTGCATCAGAAGTGTGAGAGACAGCCAGGCTCATTGGCTCACAGCTGCAATACTAGCTATACAGGAGGCCAAGTTGGGAGGATCGCTTGAGCCAAAGAGTTTGAGATCAGCCTGGGCAACATAGCAAGACCCTGTGTCTACAAAAAAGAAAACAGCAAAAATAATTGGCCTGGGTGATGGCACATGGCTGTAGTCCCCACTACTTGGGAGGCTGAGGTGGGAGGATTGCCTGAGCCCAGAAAGTTGAGGCTGCAGTGAGCTGTGACTGCACCACTGCACTCCAGCCTGGGCAACAGAGCAAGACCCTCTCTCTAAAACAAAAAAGAAATGTGAAGTGAGAGACCTTGATAAATTGGGGGAGGGGTGTCTGCACATAGTAGGCACCACCTGAATGTCAGCACCAGCCCCAGTGTGGCTCTTCTTCTGATTGGGCCTGAATTCCTGGCCCGTGTCTCCTGTCCTCCCCTCCACTCCAACCCCATCCCACTCCATCCTCCCTCCAGGAGCACCCAGCCCCGGCCCTGGCCCCCAACGGGTCCCCAAAGGACAGCCCAGCCCATGAGGTGACCGGCAGCGGCGGGGCCTACATGTGCTTTGACGTACTGTGGCCAAGGGTCCAGCGCAGCTGGCCCACCTTCAGAGGTGAGTGCGGGAGGTCCCTCTGCAGCCCTGGGGCTGGCACCCAGGCAGGGGGTGAGGGGGTGGGGGAGGCAGGCAGGGGTCCCCGTGGGCGCTGCCTCTGACCCCCACCCGCCACCGCCCAGCCGTGTTACTGCACCGCTACGTGGTGGCAGGGGTGATCTGGGCCGACATGCTCTCCATCGCCGTGACCTACTTCATCACGCTGTGCCTGTTCCCCGACCTTGAGTCTGAGATCTGCCACTGCATCCTGGGCGAGTGGCTGCCCATCCTCATCATGGCTGTGTTCAACCTGTCAGACTTCGTGGGCAAGGTGGGCTGCCTGCCCTGCCCGGTGTCGGGGGACACCATGGGGTGGGGGTGACGGGGAGGCCCTGGCCCATCCGGGAAGGGTTCTGAGTGAAGGATGCATGTGGCTCCCAGGTGGAAAGGGCAAGAGCCATGCAGTGGCACCATCCTGGACAGTGTCCTCTGGAGGACAGCTCCGGCCTGATCTCACTGGGGCGCTCCGGAGTGTCAGCTGTATCTCAGAGGACAGGCGTGGCCCTCACCCTCTCGCCTCATGGTCACAGATCCCCCGGGGATGAGCACAGGAGGATGCCCCAGAGGGGACCCAGAGAGGGCAGGGACACTTAGAAATGGCTCAAAGAAATGGCCAGGTTCAGTGGCTTATGCCTGTAATCCCAGCAGTTTGGGAGGCCAGAGATGGGTAGATCACTTGAGGCCAGGAGTTCGAGACCAACCTTGCCAACATGGTGAAACCCCGTGTCTACTGAAAATACAAAAATTAATGGAAGTGGTGGAGTGTGCCTGTAGTCCCAGCTACTCAGGAAGCTGAGGCAGGAGAATCGCTTGAACCCAGGAGGTGGAGGGTGCAGTGAGCCGAGATCGTGCCACTGCACTCCAGCCTGGGTGACAGCACGAGACTCTGTCTCAAAAAACAAGCAAGCAAACAAAAAAAAATCACTCAGCCGTGGTGGTGCGTGCCTATGGTCCCAGCTACTCGGGAGGCTGAGGTGGGAGGATGGCTTGAGCCCAGGAGTTTGAGGCTGCAGTGAGCCACCATCGTGTCACTGCACTCGAGCTTGGGGGTTAGACCGATACCCTGACTCTAAGGGAAAAAAATGTAAGTGGAATTTGGGGGGTTTTAGAGGGGCGATCCGGAGAAGGGCAGGGGTGCAGGCTGAGCTGGACAGGCCCAGGAGTGTTTAAGGATGGGGATGTGGCTGGAGGCTGTCGGGGGTATGAGGGGAGTGGGGCTGTGGCCAGGACAGGGCGGCCACGTGCCTGGCTCTCTGCAGATCCTGGTAGCCCTGCCCGTGTACTGGCGGGGCACCCACCTGCTGGCCTGCTCCTGCCTGCGTGTGGTCTTCATCCCCCTCTTCACCCTGTGCGTCTACCCCAGCGGCATGCCCGCCCTCCGCCACCCCGCCTGGCCCTGCATTTTCTCACTGCTCATGGGCATCAGCAACGGCTCCTTCGGCAGCGTGCCCATGATCCTGGCAGCAGGCAAAGTGAGCCCCAAGCAGCGGGAGCCGGCAGGTGAGGACCGCGGGACATGGGGGTGGGGGCGTCCTCCCAGCAGCGCAATGCCCACCTTGCGAGGAAACCCAGGCCAGACCACAAGAAGGTGCATTTGGGTTCCGGGTGTTCAGAACAGTCAATGTCTGGGAGGCCATAGGTGTGGGGACATTCTCAGCCACTTTATTCACTCATTTATTCGTTCGTTCATCCCACAACTACTTGGTGAGCCCCTCCTGTGGACCAAGTGCTTTTCAAGGCACTGGGGACATAGTGGCGACAAAACGGCGCTCCATGTGCTGTGGGACTGACTGTCCAGATGTGGAGGCAGCCCAGGCCGGGCACAGTGGCTCGTACCTGCAATCCCAGCACTTTGGAAGGGCAAAGTGGGTGGATCACTTGAGCCCAGGAGTTAAAGACCATCCTGGGCAACACAGTGAGAGCCTCTCCTCTCTACAAAAATGTTTAAAAAATTAGCTGGATATGGTAGCGTGTGCCTATGGTCCCAGCTACTCGGGAGGCTGAGATGGGAGGATCACTTGAGCCCAGGAGTTTGAGGTTGCAGCTGTGATCACGCCACTGCACTCCAGCCTGGGTGACAGAGCAAGATCCTGTCTGAAAAAAAAAAAAAAAGATCCCAGATCGGCGTGACTGGTTGAATGGCAGTAAGTCCTATGGGGAAAAATAAAGCAGAGAAACAGGAGTGATGGGATGGGAGAGTCAGGCTCAGGAGCCAGCAGTGTAAAAGGAGCAATCTGGGAAGACCTCACTGAGGAGGTGACTTTTGAGCAAAGACCTGGAGGAGGTAGCAAGAGAGATAGCCATGTGAGGATGCAAGGGAAAGGCATCCAGGAAGAGGGAACAGCATGTGCAAAGATCCTGCGGCACTGAGGCCAGGGGACAGAGCAGAAGAGGAACGGGGTTTGATGGTTGATAAAGCATCCCCCCAGCTGCCGTGGGCATGGAGGTGAGTGAGGAGCTACTTCACCAGTCCAAGCCCTTGAGAATGGGGCTCAAACCTGGAGGAGGTTGACGTGGCACTGGGAGGTGCCAGATTCCAGGTCTTGTTTGGACAGCAGCCCAAAGGACCGGCTGATGGGTTGAGAGGTAGGGTGTGAGAGAGGGAAGGGGGCTCCAGGTTTGGGGTCCACTGCTCAAGGCAAGAAGGCTGGCACTGGCACAGACTGAGATGGGAAGGGGCCTCGCAGGGAGGGGTTGGGGTTGGGTTTGGGACTTGGTACATTCAAGGTGCCCATCGGACATCCCAAATTGTCCCTGATAGGGAGGAAGCTGTAGGTCGGAGAGTGGAGTTTTTTTTTCTTTTTAGATGGAGTCTTGCTCTGTTCCCCAGGCTGGAGTGCAGTGGCATGATCTCAGCTCACTGCAACCTCTGCCTCGCAGGTTCAAGCAATTCTCATGCCTCAGCCTTCTGAGTAGCTGGGATTATGGATGCCCACCACCATACCTGGCTAATTTTTGTATTTTTAGTAGAGGTGAGATTTCACCATCTTGGCCAGGCTGGTCTCGAACTCCTAACCTCAGGTGATCTGCCTGCCTCAGCCTGCCAAAGTGCTGGGATTACAGGTGTGAGCCACCACACCTGGCTGAGACTGGAGATTAAAACGGGGAGGGTTGGGGCCAGGCGCACTGGCTCAGGACGGTGTTTTGGGAGGCCAAGGTAGGACTATTGCTTGGGACCAGCCTGGGCAGTATAGCGAGACCGAGTCTCTACAAAAAATTTTTTTACATTAGCCAGGCGTGGTGGTGCATGCCTGTGGTCCCAGGTACTCGGGAGGCTGAGGTGGGAGGATCGCGTGAGCCCAGGAGGTCAAGGCTGCAGGAAGCTATGGTTGTACCACTGCACTCTGGTCTGGGCAACAGAGCAAGACCTTGTCTTTAAATTTTAAAAATGGGGGCTTGGGGGACTCAGAGAAGCAGGCAAGGCCTGGAGTGCATAGCAGATGGCCTCGGGAAGAAGCAACGAGGAAGGACAGGATCTGGAGAGGGTGCTCCCAGGAGGAGCGATGGGGCAGCGGGTCCTGGAGGGGTGGCACGGTTCATGCAGGTGTCACCGCACCTCACACCCGAGCAGCCGTGGCCACCAGGTGGCCGCCCTGGCCCTGCTCCCCTCAGGCCAGTGTTGTCCACAGGGAACACCATGACTGTGTCCTACATGTCAGGGCTGACACTGGGGTCCGCCGTGGCCTACTGCAGCTACAGCCTCACCCGCAACGCCCACGGCAGCTGCCTGCACGCCTCCACCGCCAATGGCTCCATCCTCACAGGCCTCTGAGCCAGCCCCGCCCACTGCCAGGGACGCCGAGGGCCTGACCAGGGGCCCCGAGGCCTGAGGGCCCCTCCCCCATCCCCACCTCAGTGCCTGCGGGGCCCTGAGCCTCCCCCTGTGCCAGCAGCACCACTCCCTCAGGGTCCAGCCATCCCCCACCCTGGACTGAAGTTCTGCAAAGTCCTTTGAGGACCAGAACACGTTTCTGCGACCCGGGGCTCTGGCCAGCACTCTGTTCTGTGTTTGGTCTCATACCTGCGTCTACCTTCTATCTGTGTCCGGCGGCCCCAGCTCCAGCCCAGCCAGCACTCTGCAGGGTCATACGCACCATGTCACCACCCAGGACAGCAGACACCCGCCAGAGTGTGCGTGCCCAGTGACTGCACCCCGGCCCTCATCACCCACTGGCACTGATCAGGGCACCACCTGGCCCAGCCTCCATCAGGGACCCCTCCTCATGAACCCTGGAGCCCTGAGAGGAGAGGGGCAGTCCCCCACCTTGTCACCCTCAGGGCTTCCCCTTCTGTCCTCATTCTTAGAGACTGCTTCTCCCAAACAAAACGCGTTAGCCATGAAGGAGTCGGAGCCCTGGGTCCGAATGGACCCGCCTGCAGTCTGCGTCAGCCTCTGGGAAACCACAGCGGTGATGCCAGCTGGGCACGTCAGGACCTCCCCACACACCCACGTGATGCCACAGGTCGGGGGATGTGCCGGACTAGGGAGCCCTCCTATTGCCTTCCTGGCCCAGGATAGAAGAGGGGAGGTAAGTCTGGGGACTTCGAAGCCGGGCCCCCCACCCTGGCTGAAGTCAGCTTGACCTAGGTCTTGACCCTCATCCAGCAAGGGACCCGACAGACCCAAGGGTCCCTAGAATGTAGGGAGGGGTTGGGGGTCACTCCAGCCCGGGCCTCCCAGAACACCAGGCCCGTGTGGGTGGCACCCTGAGTTCAGGGAATCCTAAGGGTATCCTTCCAGAGACGGCGTTTCCAGGGGGAGGACTGCCCACCCTTCCAGATCCCCGGCCCCGGCTGTGACTGCCCTGTTTCACCCCTGCTGTGTCCCGTCACCCGTCTGTCCACTAACTGTACCACACCAGCCATTAAAAGATGAAGGCAGACGGCTGCACCGCCGCCTGCAAGCAGAGTTTGTGCATGGACGGGAGCTGGGACTGCCATCTCGGGATCCCGGTGGAACTTGGGCTGCCCCGGATAAGCCGGTCCTCAGTCTTCCCATCTGTGAGGTAGGCCGGGTGGATCAGGGAGCAGGAGGGTGTCCTCACACCGGGTAGGCTTGGTTTGTGGGCAGGGCTGGGTGGTGGGGTGAGAGCTGGGAGCACTTGGGGTTTGTCGCTCACCTTGATGACCGCCCCCCAGTCTTCATGAGGATCAGGGAGGATGGCCGCATGCAGCCCATTTGAAGGGGAAACGAAGCGGTCGCAGCTTGGCCCCTGCCCCTTGGGGACTGCACTGCATCCTAGGAGTCAGAGCCTCCTGGCCTCGAGCCTCATCTCTTTTGCTGATTTGTGCAATTTGGACAAAATCCTGCACTGTTCTGTGCCTCGTTTCTTTCTTTCTTTCTTTTTTTTTTTTTTTTTTTGAGACTGAGTCTTGCTCTTGTCGCCCAGGCTGGAGTGCAGTGGCACAATCTTGGCTCACTGCAACCTCCGCCTCCCAGGTTCAAGTGATTCTCCTGCTTCAGCCTCTCAAGTAGCTGGGATTACAGGTACGCACCACCACACCTGGCTAATTTTTCTTGTAGAGACCAGGTTTCACCATGTTGGCCATGCTGGTCTCGAACTCCTGACCTCAAGTGATCCACCTGCCTCATCCTCCCAAAGTGTTGGGATTACAGGTGTGAGCCACTGCACCTGGCCTGTGCCTCATTTTTGTTTTTTCTTTCTTTACAAGACAGGCTCTCGCTCTGTCACCAAGGCTGGAGTACAGTGGTGCCATCATAGCTCACTGCAGCCTCCACCTCCTGGGCTCCAGTGATCCTCCCACCTCAGCCTCCCAAATAGCTGTGAATACAGGCGCGTGCCAACACGCCTGGCTAGGTTCTTTTATTTTGTGTAGAGATGGGGTCTTGCTGTTGCCCAGACTGGTCTCAAAGTCTGGGCCTCAAGTGTTCCCCCTGCCTTGGCCTCCCAAAGTGCCAGGATTACAGGTATGAGTCACTGCGCCCAGACTGGTCTCAAATTCTGGGCCTCAAGTGTTCCCCCTGCCTTGGCCTCCCAAAGTGCAAGGATTACAGGTATGAGTCACTGCGCCCAGCCTGTTCTGTCCTTAGCTTCCCCAAGGAATGGGGCTGGTCCAGGTTTTGATGTGGGTCCCTTAAAGGAGGGCACGAGGGCCACCTGTGCTCTGGCAGGCATCCTCCCTGGGGTCCAGGTGGGCAGCCACTTGGGCCAAGACTGCGCCAGGTGACACCAGAGCATTTCCCAGAGCCCACGCCGGGCCCTTCCCTTGCCCGAGGCCGGCTGACTGCCCTCCCTGGGTTACCCTCTTTGCAAAGCCCCGAATGTCCTCTGCAGGCCACCCACACTAACCAGGTCAGTCACTGGGCAGCCAGACCCCCACTTATAGCTTCCCTAGGCCCCAGTGCAGAGATGCCATCCACCCCCATCTAGGTGAGGGCTTGGGGCCACTCTTAGCATTAGTATCATTTTCTTCTAGTATCATTTTGTGGTAGGCATGGCTGGGAATGTGCAGCTTTGCTTTTTTTTTTTTGAGGAGTTTCGCTTTTGTTGCCCAGGCTGGAGTGCAATGGCTCGATTTCAGCTCACTGCAACCTCTGCCTCCCGGGTTCAAGCGATTCTCCTGCCTCAGCCTCCCGAGTAGCTGGGATTACAGGCATGTGCCACCATGCCCGGCTAATTTTGTGCTTTTAGTAGAGACGGGGTTTCTCCATTTTGGTCAGGCTGGTCTTGAACTCCCGACCTCAGGTGAGCCACCTTCCTCAGCCTCCCAAAGTGCTGGGCTTACGGGCGTGAGCCACCATGCCTGGCACTGTTTTTTTGAGATGGAATCTCGTTCTGTCACCCCGGCTGGAGGGCAGTGGCGTGATCTCAGCTCACTGTAACATCTGCCGTGGGTTCAAGCGATTCTCCTGCCTCAGCCTCCCAAGTAGCTGGGATTACAGGCACGCTCCACCACACCCAGCTAATTTTTTTGTATTTTTAGTAGAGATGGGGTTTCACCATATTGGCCAGGCTGGTCTCGAACTCCTGACCTCAAGTGATCCGCCTGCCTTGGCCTCCCAAAGTGCTGGGATTACAGGCATCAGCCACCACACCCAGCCAACTTAACTTTTAATTTTTTCTCAGGTAAATTTGTTCAATTTCTTTTTTTTTTTTTTTTGAGATAATCTCTGTCACCCCCAGGCCAGAGTGCAGTGGTGCAATCTCAACTCATTGCAACCTCCACCTGCCGGGTCCCAGTGATTCTCCCACCTCAGCCTCCCGAGTAGCTGGGATTACAGGTGTGGGCCACCACACCTGGCTAATTTTTGTATTTTTAGTAGAGACGGGGTTTCACCACATTGCTCAGGCTGGTCTCGAACTCCTAGCCTGAAGTGATCCTCCTGCCTCGGCCTCCTAAAGTGCTGGCATTACAGGCGTGAGCCACCGTGCCCGGCCGAATAGCTCATTTAGATGGCTGCATGTGGTCACTGCCCCTGCACGGGTGGCACCCAACTTCCAGTCGAATCCTGCTTCTTGGTGCCCTGATATGGCAGAATGCCCCCAGACACCACCCCTACTCCAGCTCCTGAAATAAACCACTCCAGACAATTTTATTTTTCCAATTAAATCTTTTCTTTTTTTTTAATGAAAAAAGATCACACAGAATTTGCCAACAAACAAAATTCCAAAAGAAACATAAAAAAAAAAAAACAATAATTCCCCCAAAAAACAAACCCAAAGTCTGGCTATTCCTTCCCTCAAGATTGTCTGGTCGAGGCCTTGGTTTCCCTGGAAGGCCTGGGGCCTGGTTAAGTGCTTTCTGGGGCCCAAGCAGGGACCCTGGGCTCGGGCCGGCTCCTGCTCTCCCTAACACTTCTCTATCCTGGGGGGTGAGTACGGTACACTTGGCGGGGTGGGCGGGGGGTGTGCTGGAGACCGGGAGGCTGGTGAAGCCGGTGCTAGACACTACAATCTAATAGGAAATAAAAAATAATATTCTGCACATCAGAATGTGTTTTTTTTTTATAATTTTATAGCTATTTTTCAGTTTTAAAAAGTTTATATATATTTATATATATTTATCTTTATATATATAATTAAAAAGTTGACTCCATTTAAAGGCTTATGATACAGGGGCAGGGCGAGTCTCTTGGTACAATAAAACTGTACAGGTTAAGAAGTGCCACCTCCCTCCTGGGTGGGGAGGGGCCGGGCGTGGCCGGGCGAGGGTTTCAGCACCATTGGGGTTTTCTGTAGTGTGAGGGTTTGGACCAGGGTGGGCCTGTGCCGGGCCCTCTCCACCTGGTGCCTTTGATACCCCGGGCTGCAACCCCACCCTGCTGTGTTCCCCAAGTCTAGGCCATCCTGAGAGGGTGGGGGCAAGGCCCCTGGCACAGTCAGTAGGCCAGCTGGCATCGGGCCACCCCATCCCATGCACAGTGGGAGGCCTTGGGGTGGGCTCCATGCTAAGGGTGCCCGGGAAGCCCAGAGTGAGCGTCAGTTTGGTTCCTTAGAAGCGCCCCTCCCCACTGAATCCCCAGTCTGCATGGGCCTGGGGGCACCCGGGCCCCCATGCAGCAGCAGGCTGGAGGGCCGGCCTGGCCAAGTGCTTGCAATGTGCTGGGCAGGAAGGGCCGGTCCCGGCTGAGACTGCCCTGAGGGGGACAGCAGGGCCATACCCTGATAGCTAAGAGGGGCCCCTGTCCTGGGGGCACTGAGGGGTTGGAAGGTGGGGCTGGAAGCATGTGCACATGCATGCACACACGTGCATGCACACACGTGCATGCACACGGGCACACACATGCACAAACATGCTCACCCGGGCGTCCACGTGCACACCTGGCCCCATGCTCACGCCTGCAGGAGCGCTCGCATGCACACAACGCACATGGTCTCCAAACCATGGCAGTGATGGAGAGGGGTCCCTGGCCGCCCTCGGGGCACAGGTGGCCGGTGGCCAGCAGAGCCCGGCGGGCTCAGCAGAGCACGGGCATGCCGTCCGTGGAAAAGATCATGCCTGTGGTGGGCTCGTAGGTGCGCGCGAGGTAGTACAGGCCCTCGCTGTCCTGGTACTTCTTGGTCTTCAGCATCTGCGCATACTGCTCCAGGCCCACCACCAGGCACTTGTGCAACACCGTCTGCACGTCATTTTCGTCCACATGCGAGGACTGGTATAGCACGCGCTGCGGGCACGCGGGGACATCAGGATGGCAGGTAGGGGGCACAAAGGCCGAGGGAGCCCCAGGGAGCCACAGGGACAGAGACAGAAGCAGAGGGAGCGCCAGGGACTGAGACAGAGACCAGGTCAGAGACAGAGGCTGAGGAAGAGACAGACCAACAAAAGAGAGACAGAGACTGAGAGATGGAGAGCAAATGAGAGACAGAAGACAAGGAGAGACAGACCAACAAAAGAGAGACAGAGACTGAGAGATGGAGAGCAAATGAGAGACAGAAGACAAGGATAGACAGAACAAGAGATCCAAAGACGCAGAGAGACAGAGACCGAGACTGAGATCGAGAGACCCAGAGAGACACAGAGACTGAAAGATAGAGGTTGGGAGAGACCCAGAGAGAGTCAGAGGGCAAGAATGGCCAGAGACTCAGAGACAGACACTGGGAGAGCAGAGGAGACCCAGAGACAGAGATAGACGCAGAGACCGGGAGAGACAGAGAACAGGAGCCAGGCACTGAGAGTGGCAGGGACAGGAGGTCAGAGGCTGAGGGAGACCATGGGGGACAGAGCAGCAGATGCTGAGCTGAGCCCTGTCTGAGCTGCCCGGAAGGAGGCAGCCATCCCCAACCCACCCACCACCACCACCACCTACCTCCATGAAGTCCTTCCTCTGGCTGGAGACCTGCAGGGCCGCCGGGAGGCTGCGGCTGGACTTCTGGTCCCAGTGCTGTGTGGGGGAGAGAGGAGGGGCTTGGGTGAGCCCAGGGGCTGCTGCACCTGACCCCAGGCCCCAGGACAGGGCTGACCCACTGGGCAGGGCTGCTGATGCTCCAGCACCCAGAACGCCTCGCCCTCAGGTCTGCCCTACACCGCCTAGGACTGGGGGGCCCAGCCCGGGGGGCCGCAGCCGGGCTGCAGGCTCACCTGGCCCTGGTGGAACTGCTTGCCTGGGCTGGTCTCCTCGGGGTGGTAGAACCACTTGACGCGGACCACCATGTTGTTGCCCCACGACTCCCACATGCTCTGGATGCAGCCGATGTAGGGCAGGTTGGGGCGGCCGGCAGAGAGGAACACGGCACAGTCCCCAGTACGGATTATCTCCTTGCCGCACACGATGGCCTTGTAGAAGAGCTTGTGGGCCCTGCCCTTCATGCCACGCTGCTGCAAGGACACGTGTGTCACGGCACAGGCCCTGGCCCAGCCCTGAGGAGCCCGCCGCCTGGCAGGCTCTGCGCTTGGGACTCCAGGCCCTTGGCCTCTAAGTCAACCCCTATCCAACTCTTGGGAAAGGAGGAAGCCCCTTGTCTTGCTCCAAGTGGGGAAGCCCCTCTTCCACCTCTTTGATATGCTGGGTCTCCAAGAGGCGCTTCCCTTAATCTAAGGATTCTGCCACTACCAGACTTTTTATTTTTGAGACAGGGTCTCCCTCTGTTGCCCAGGCTGGAGCGCAGTGGCGCCATCATGACTCACTGCAGCCACGAACTCCTGGACTCAAGAAATCCTCTCCCACCTCAGCCTCTGAGGAGCTGAGAATACAGGCGCACAACATGCCCGGCTAATTTTGATTATTTTTGTAGAGAACAAGGTCTCACTATGTTGCCCAGGATGGTCTCAGACTTTTGGCCTCAAACCACCCTCCCACCTTTGCCTCCCAAAGCACTAGGATCGCAGTGTCAGCCACTGCACCTGGCCTTATTTTTCTTTTGAAAATTACTTTTTTCAGAGAAAGGGTCTTGCTCTGTCACCCAGGCAGGACTGCAGTGGTACTATCATAGCTCACTGCAGCCTCAATCTCCTGGGCTCAAGCCATCCTCCTCCCTCGGCCGCCTGAGTTGATGGGACTACAGGAATGCACGGCTAATATTTTCATTTTTGTAGAGATGGGGGTTTCACTATGTTGCCCAAGATGGTCTTGAACTTTTGGCCTCAAGTGATCCTCCCACATAAGCCACCCAAAGAGCTGGGATTACAGGCGTGAGCTACCACACCTGGCCTTTTTTATCTTTTAAAAATTGTTATTATTATTATTATTCTTTTTGAGATGAAGTCTCACTCTGTCGCCCAGGCTGGAGTGCAGTGGCACTATCTTGGCTCACTGTAGCCTCTGCCTCCCAGGTTCAAGCAGTTCTACTGCCTCAGCCTCCCAAGTAGATGGGATTACAGGCGTGCACCACCACACCTGGCTAATTTTTGTGTGTGTATTTTTAGTAGAGACGGGGCTTCACCATGTTGGCAGTCTGGTCTCGAACTCCTGACCTCAAGTGATCCTCCTGCCTGGGCCTCCCAAAATGCTGGGATTACAGGTGTGAGCCACTGCGCCCGGCTAAAACTATTATTTTTTTCAAGACAAGGTCTCACACTATCGCCCAGGTTGGAGTATAGTGGCACAATCATAGCTCACTGCAGCCTTGACCTCCCAAGCTTAAGTGATCCTCTCACCTGGGCCTCCCAAAGTGCTGGGATTACAGACTTAAGCCACTGCACCTGGGCAAGAGAGACTTGAAACTCCATTCTAGAGCAGCTTTGGAAATGCTGCCTGAGACACCACGGACCCCTACTGGAACATGCAGGTGCTCCTGCCCCACATCTACAGCACGTTGGGGGCTCCCTGCCAGCCTGCCTGAACCACCCTCACTTCTCACACTGGGTCCTGTCACGTGTATGTGCCTGTGTGTGCACATGTTCATCTGTGCATTTGTGCATGTGTGTTCATGCATGGATGCATGTGCATGCATGTATGTGCCTACACTTGTGCACATGTTCGTGTGTGTGCACGTGTGTTCGTGTGTGCACCCACGTGTTTGTGTGTGTATGCACATGTACTCATGTGTGCATGCACATGTGCATGGATGCATGTGCACGCATGTATGTGCCAACATTTGTGTACGTGTGCAAGAGTGCGTTTGGGTGGGTGTAGTGTATTTGTGTGCATGTGTGTGCATGTTCATGTTTACATGGTTCGTGTATGTGCCTGCATTCACATGTACGTCTGTGTGCGTGTGTACTTGCTTTTGTGTGTGGCTGTATGTGCATTCGTGTGTACATGTGCATGCATATGTGTGCATGTGTGCGTGTGTGCATGTGCCTGTGTTTTTGAGTGCACTGTGTGCAAGTGTGTGTGCATGTGTGTAGACAGCCACAGGTAGGCTGGAAGGGCTCCTTCTGAACAGCTAACCCACTGCTGCAGGCAGGGCACACGGGACCCCGACCTGGCCAGCCAGGACTTTGTTTTCCAGGCCATATTGATTCACTCAGGGGTGGGCACATGATCCTGGCCAGGCCAAGGAGCTTCAATCGTGGACTTTTGCTAGCAAACCCGGGAAGGAGGTACCTTCTGCTGGGACTGCCACACTAGTGGCCAGGAGCCCGGGGCATGGCTGGGAACACTAAAATGCCACGCACAACAGGCTGTCAGGCCCCGCACCTGGAATCCCAGCACTCTGGGAGGCCGAGGCAGGAGGATCACTTGAGCCCAGGGGTTCAAGACCAGCCCAGGCAACACAGTGAGACCCTGTCTCTACAAAAATATTTAAAAATCAGCTGGGTAGCATGGTGGCACACGTCTGTAGTCCCAGATACTCAGGAGGCCGAGGTGGGAAAACTGCTTGGGCCCAGATGTTCAAAGCTGCAGTGAGCTATGATGGCGCCGCTGCACTCCAGCCTGGGTGACAGAGCAAGATCCTCTCTCTAAAAAAAAAAAAGAAAGAAAAGAAAAAGCCAGGCGCGGTGGCTCACACCTGTAATCCCAGCACTTTGGGAGTCCGAGGCAGGCAGATCACTTGAGGCCAGGAGAGTTTGAGATCATCCTGACCCACATGGGGAAACCCCCATCTCTACTAAAAATACAAAAATTAGCCAGGCGTGGTGGCGTGCGCCTGTAATCCCAGCTACTTGGGAGGCTGAAGCGGGAGAATTGCTTGAACCCGGGAGGCAGAGGGTGCAGTAAGCCAAGATCACACCACCTCACTCCAGCCTGGGCAACAGAGAGAGACTCAGTCTCAAAAAAAGAAAAAGGAAACAATCCCAGAGGCCTGGAAAGCCCCTTCCACGTGGCGCTGACGCCTGTGGGTCTGTGCTGATCTTTGCACGTTTCCTTCATCTGGGCTCCACATGAGGGTGGCTCTGCCTCGCAGGACCAGAGGGCAGGACCGCTCTGCTCTGAAGGACTCAGGCATCGGAGTCCGACAGACCCAGGTGCCTGAGGACACTCTGAGACTCAGTGTACCCATCCATAAAGTGGGACGCCAGCCCTCCACCCTGGGGTTCTGGGAGGTTACCACACGCGGAGACACGGCGTGAAGCCGTGGGCCCAGCAGAGAGAGACAAGGCCCCCGGCCCCTCGGCCGTGCCCGGGCGCGAGCTTGCTCACCTGGGTGGGCTTGCCGAACCACTTCCAGAGCTGTCAGGCTGGCAGGAAGGCGGCAATCTTGGGCCGGTTCTCCACGGACGGCAGGCGCTGCCGCTTGGCCAGCTCCTTGGTGGTGGGGAGGTGGACGCCCTCTCTCTTCTTGGGTCGGCTCTTGGCCCCAGCCTGAGTCTTGGGCTGCAGAGGCTGTGTGGGCTGCGGAGGAGGCGCCTGGGGCTGGGGCGCGGGCGTCTTCTTGCCTGGGGAGTGGGCCGAGGGCCGCGCCTTGCCAGCCTGCTTGGTGGCCTTGGTGGGGAGCGCCGCCTGCGCAGAAGGGCCAGCCGTGGGGGCGGGGGCTGCCTCATCGTCCGAGCTGCAGGAAGAGTCCTCATCTGTGGTGGAGGAAGAAGAAGAGGAAGAGGAGGAGGAGGATGAGGATGAGGAAGAGGAGGAGGAGGAAGAGGAGGAAGACGAAGAGGAAGAGGAGGAGGAAGAGGAGGAGGAGGATGAGGAGGAGGAGGAGGAGGAGGAGGCCGGTGAGGTCGCCCTGGAGCTGGCAGCGCTGCAGTTACGGCCCCCGGCGCCACAGCCCCCGTCCCCGTTCTTGTCGCCTTCCTCCTCCCCTTCTGTCTCCGAGCCGCTGCTGCTGCTGCTGCTGCTGCTGCTGCTCTCGGACTCTTCGGCCCCGTCCTGCTCAGCCTGGGCCTTGTCCGGGCTCTTGGGGTTCCCAGAGTCCTCGAACGTGAGCCCCGGCCCGGGTTCCTGGGCGAGGTCCCGGTCGGTGGCCTTGGGCCAGGGTGCCTTGGGCTCGCTGCTGCCGGCCGCAGGGTGATAGCTGCCCAGGCTCAGGAGGCTCTTGGGCTCCTGCCAGCCCCCCGCCCCCGGATCCTCCCAGAGCAGCAGGGCCTCTTTAGCCTTCTTGCTTTTGGGTGACATGACACCCTCGTGATCCAGTTTGACAAGCAGCTCGGCCTCCTCCCCCGGCCTCCGAGGGCCCTTGGCACCCGACTCCTTGGCTGCCCGCGCCTTCTTGGGCTTGGGGCGTGTGGCAGGCATGGTGATGAGGGGTGCTGGGGCCAGGGTGGTGGCAGGAGCTGGCAGCTCCACAAATGGCTCGGGTGCTGGGCAGCTGGTGAAGGCGGGTGGTGCGGGACTGGGCTGCGGCAGTGCCCGGCGCACCTTGGGGGCCTTGGCTCGCTTGTCCACAGGCTCTGGGGGGCTCTTCTTGGAACCTGGGGTGCTGCTCGGCTCCAGGGCTAAGGGGGTACTGGGGACTTCGTCTGTTGGGTTCCCTTCCTCCAGGGTAGCAGCTCTGTCTGCAAAACAAAACAGATGAGAGGCTGGGGCGGGGGCTTCCTGGCAGAGATGAGCTGTGGCTTTCATCAGAAAGGCCTGCTTCTGTGAGTTTTGTTTTTGTTTTTGTTTTTTTTGAGATGGGGTCTCAGTCACCCAAGCTGGAGTGCAGTGGCGTGATTAAAGCTCATTGCAGCCCTAACCTCCCTGGGCTCATGTGAGCCTCCAGCCTCAGTCTCCCAAGTAACCTGAGGCCACAAGCATGCGCCACTATGCCTGGGGAATTTTTTGTATTATTATTATTATTTTTTTTTTGGTAGAGATACAGTTTTGCTCTGTTGCCCAGGCTGGTCTTAAACTCCTGGGCTCAAGCGATCCCTGTGCCTGGGCCTCATAGAGTGCTGAGAATAGGTGTGGACCACTGCGCCCAGCAGAAAGGCCTGGTTTCAATCCTGGCCCTGCTACTTCTTGAGTGGAACCTGGCTGCAGCCTTCTTAGGCCTCCTTCGGCAGTTCCCCTATAACAACCTTAAGTTGTGTTGGCCCCAAAGCGGGTCCTCCTCTGCTTTCAGCCTGCATGAAGCATTTTCTCTGGATTCTGGAAAGAAACACAGGCCAGCTGCAGCTCAGCTCTGCCTCTGACAAACCAACCTGCCTCCCTCAGCCTCAGTTTCCTCATCTGTCACCTGGTCAGAACGGCCCTGCGGTGCAGGTGCAGAGTTCTCTTTTTTTTTTTTTTTTTTTTTTTGAGATGGAGTTTCGCTCTTGTTGCCCAGGCTGGAGTGTAATGGCGTGATCTTGGCTCACTGCAACCTCCAGCTCCCAGGTTCAAGCGATTCTCCTGCCTCAGCCTCCCACGTGGTTGGGATTACAGGCACTCACCACCATGCCCGGCTAATTTTTATATTTTTAGTAGAGATGGGGTTTCACCACGTTGGCCAGACTAGTCTTGAACTCCTGACATCAGGCGATCTGCTCGCCTTGGCCTCCCAAAGCGCTGGGATTACAGGTGTGAGGCACCGCACTCGGCTCAGAGTTCTTACAGACAGCAGGCAGGCACTTCGACAGGTTCCCAAGCCTGGAGTTTGGATGCACGAAGGAGCTCCGCCCACCACCCCTGCCCTGGGGACCGGGCCAACCTACCACCCCTGGCCTTGGCGCTGGGTTTCCACCCACGCCCACGGGCCTTGGCTCCTGGCTCCTCCGACCCAGCCGTGCCACCGTCTTTGCCCTCCCCGGTGTCTTTGCTGGTCTTCTGGCTGCGGCGCTTGGCACTTGGCACCAGGAGGGCCGGGGATGGCTCAGCACCTGTGGGGCAGAGGACAGAGTGGCTCGTCAGGCCTGGGGTCCCCAGCTTGGAGCTTCCAAGACCGTGGTCTGTCCCGGGGATCAGGGATGGGGGCGGAAGCAACTGACACCAGGTGTCTGACCCCGGGTGGGCTCCCACGACAGGCTGTGAGGTCCAGCAGGGGAAACCCCGTCTGCAGGGGGCAGCCAGAGGCTCCCGAATAATGAAGTAAAACAAAGCACTTTGTGGAACTGGGACAGGTGGATAAAGATGCTGACTTTTGTTGGTTTTTTTGTTTTTTTGTTTTTTTTTTTGAGACAGAGTCTCGCTCTGTAGCCAGGATGGAGTGCAGTGGCAGGATCTCAGCTCACTGCAACCTCCGCCTCTCAGGTTCAAGGGATCCTCCTGCCTCAGCCTCCCGAGTAGCTGGGACTACAGGTGCATGTCACCACGCCCGGCTAATTTTTGTATTTTTAATAGAGACAGGGTTTCACCATATTGGCCGGTATGGTCTCGATCTCTTGACCTCATGATCCGCCCATCTTGGCCTCCCAAAGTGCTGGGATTACAGGCGTGAGCCACCACACCCAGCCATTAACAATTTTTGATCAGCTTCCCATGGCCTGGGCCACTGGGCTTGTGCTGTCCTCATGGACCCAGGACCCGGGAACCCTGGGATCTCACAGGAGCCCATCCATGGATTCTGCTACTTCTATCACCTGTGGCTCCAAATGACTTCAGACACAGCCCAGAGCTGGGCTTGGAGGGCGAGAGCCTGGGTGGGCGGCCCCTGGCAGGAGCCCGGGTGTCATGAGCTTGTCACTTACATTGGATCTTATAGTCAGGGGGCAGGAGGCAGATATGTGAGAGGGGGATCCTGCCTGTGTCTCCGTTGTCAAACTCCACGGTGGTCAAGTCCCCATCCTCCTCCAGGTCCAGTAACCCTGTGGGAGGAGGGGAGGCTCAGGGGAGGCCCTCCGACCTCCAGCTCCCTAGTGAGGCACAAAGGTCAGGATGGCAGAAACTGGCCCCTGTGCAGCCCTGGTCTCTATGGTACAGCAGTGGGGACATGGGTGGAGGGTATACAGTGGCTCAGAATGTGGGTGTTAGAGCCAGGCCATCCGGGCAGGAGAAATGGGTCTCCCTTTCTTTTTTTTTTTTTTTTTTGAGACAGAGTTTCACTCTTGATGCCCAGGCTGGAGTGCAATGGCGTGATCTTGACTTGCCGCAACCTCCGCCTCCCGGGTTCAAGTGATTCTCCTGTCTCGGCCTCCCAAGTAGCTGGGATTACAGACATGCACCACCACGCCCGGCTAATTCTGTATTTTTAGTAGAGATGGGGTTTCTCCATGTTGGTCAGGCTGGTCTCAAACTCCCGACCTCAGGTGATCCACCCACCTCAGCCTCCCAAAGTGCTGGGATTACAGGCGTGAGCCACTGTCCCTGGCCTGGGTCTCCCATTTCTAGCTGACTTTGGGTGACACAAGACAGCTGAGCACATGCACCTGTGCCCGCTCATGCACAAGACCCTCCTGCAACCACAGCAAAGGAGGGACACAGGTGTCAACCCTGAAGGACATGAAGAATGGGAAAGGGGAGGGCGGCAGTGGGAGACGGTGGCATTTCCGGAGAGATGCCGGGATGAACGTGCAGGAGCGGGCTTTGATCTCCTAGGAGGAGGTGATACCCACGAGGAGGAGGTGGTTTTCCCAAGAGAATCCTGCCAAGGCTCGGGCTCAAGAGGCCCCAACCACCTCTGGAGGCAGGGCTGAGGGAGACCTCAACACTGAACAGGCTGAGGGTGGCCCAGCTGGCAGGAGCTGGGAGGTTCACCCTAGAGAGAGGCTCCAGACTGAAGGACACTGAGCGTAGGGAGGAGGCTGTACAGGCCCCCCAAAGGGTGATAGCCCAGCCCTCTTCCCAAACGCCAGATGCTGGGACTATATCCCCAAGGATGTGAGTCTTGCAGAATCTGGGCAGCCCCCTAACAAAACCTTCCTGTCCACCCACTATGACAAAGACTCATGAGTGCACAGAGTTCCCATCAGCTTGATAATGTTCCCTTCATTCAGGGTCCCCAGATGCCTAAGAAGTTCTAACCAGAGGAAGAGCACAGCACCAGCAAACAGAAGGAGGGGGGACTGGGAAGAGAGAGGGAGCTGCAGAAAGCTAAAATGAGGCCAGGTGCAGTGGCTCACGCCTGTAATCCCAGCACTTTGGGAGACCAAGAGAGGCAGATCACCTGAGGTCAGGAGTTCGAGGCCAGTCAGGCCAACATGGTGAAATCCCGTCTCTACTAAAAATACAAAAAATTAGCTGGGCATGGTGGTGCATGCCTGTAATCCCAGCTACTCCAGAGGCTGAGGCAGGAGAATCACTTGAATCCGGGAGGTAGAGGCTGCAGTAAGCTGAGATCACTGCACCGCACTCCGGCCTGGGTGACAGAGCAAGACTCTGTCTCAAAAAAATACAGAAAGTTAAAATGAAAAACAATCCTCTGAGAAAGTTTAAAAAGAAATGTGTTGATAAAACAAAAAAAAATTTAAGGAATATTCAGAGAATAAGAAAGAACTCTTAAGGATTTTTTTTTTTTTGAGACAGGGTGTCATTCTGTCACCCAGGCTGGAATGCAATGGCGCAATCATAGCTCACTGAAGCCTCGACCACCCAGGCTCAGGTGATCCTCCCACTTCGGTCTCCCAAGTAGCAAGGACAACAGGTGCACACCACCAAGCCTGGATAATTTTTTTTTTTTGAGACAGAGTCTCACTATGTTACCCAGGCTAGAGTGCAGCAGTGTGATCTCGGCTCACTGCAACCTCTACTTCCCAGGTTCAGGTGATTCCTTCCTGCCTCAGCCTCCCGAGTAGCTGGGATTACAGGCACCCGCCACAACGCCCAGCTTATTTTTGTATTTTTAATAGAGACGGGGTTTCACCATGCTGCCCAGGCTGGTCTCAAACCCTGACCTCAGGTGATCTGCCCACCTTGGCCTCCCAAAGTGTTGAGATTACAGATGTGAGCCACCACGCCTGGCCCACGCCTGGCTAATTTTTGTATCTTTTTGTAGAGACATGGTCTTGCTATGTTGCCCAGGCTGGTTTCGAACTCCTGGGTTCAAGTGATCTGCCCGCATCAGGCTCCCAAATTGCTGGGACTACAGATGTAAGCCACTGCCGCTGGTGGAGAATTTTTTTAAATGACAGCAGAAAATTTTAAAATTCAAGAAAACAGAAGGGGTTAGAAGATAAAAGTAGAGAAAATCTCTCCGCAAGTTGAACAAAATAAGAAAATATTAACAGAAAAAAAGACACACACACCAGGGGCCATGGGACCTAGCCCAAGTTCCAGGGAAAACATGAAATTCACAAGAGAAGTTAACCAAGTTGTGCTACAAGTAGAGCTTCCAAGAATCAAGGAAATTTGCTTCAAAATCAAAGCCTCCCTCTGCAGATACCAAGCATGATGAGAACACACACACACACACACACACACACACACACACACACACACACACACACGAAATTCCAGATCTAGGGACAGTGAGAAGATCCTAAAAGTTTCCAGAGATAAAAAAGCAGGTCTCCTACAATGATTTTGGAATCACAATGTTGAATGTCTTCAACATGGGAAGCAAGAGAAAAATAGAAAAATGTCTTTGAAATGGTGAGGGGAACTATTTCCAGTTGTGAATTTATACCCAGCTCAACTATCTCTAAAGAATAAGGGTACCCAGCTCAACTATCTCTAAAAAATAAGGGTAGAATGAAGAGATTTGCAAATACACAAGGATGTGAGAAATTTAACTCCCACAGACTCTTCCTCAGAAAGCTACTCAAAGATCCACTGTTTAAAACAAGGAGCTGAACCAAAAAAAGAGAAAAACATGCAACACAACAAAAGTGGTTCCCAGGATGAGGGACAGGGAAGGCCCAAGAATCCAGAATGATACCCATGAGGCAGGCCTAGAACACAGCCAGCACCTCCCAGTACAGGGGGACAGCGTGTGCCAGGAAATCCGAATCTAAGGCCAACTTCTGCTTTATTAACAGCACTTTCAGAATTTGGATGATAAATGAGTGACTAATACAATGGAAAAAACTAAGTCTTCTGGCCTGAGATCCTCTACTCAGGCTGGACCAGTCATCTGTTGTTTTGCTGAGCTGGCATTGGCTTCCATCTTCTGGGTATGAATGGATTGTAGGCCAAGCAGTGGACTGTATTTGGCATGTGAGTGGGCTTTTTTTTTTGCACAGGCGGGGAATGTCTAATCCACATCCATACCCCCTCTCTAGGATACATTGCTTTTGCAAAAGCTAAGGGTTGGACCATTTGACTGTCTTTCTTGCCTGTCTGATATCCACACCTAAATTTCCTAGGTTACCTGTTGTTTTTCTCCATCCAGCCCCCATTCTTTTTTCTTTTTTTGAGATGTAGTCACACTCTGTCACCCAGGCTGGAGTGCAGTGGTGCAATCTTGGCTCACTGCAACCTCTGCCTCCCAGGTTTCAACGATTCTCCTGCCTCAGCCTCCCAAGTAGCTGGGATTACAGGCGCCTGCCACCATGACCAGCTAGTTTTTGTATTTTTAGTAGAGATGGGGTTTTACTACGTTGGCTAAGCTGGTCTTGAACTCCTGACCTCGAGTGATCCACCTACCTTGGCCTCCCAAAGTGCTGGGATTACAGGCATGAGCCACCACACCCAGCCTCATTCTCTCTTATTCTAACAACATGTCCACTTTGCAGGGGAAGCCACCCTCCCATCTTTCTCAGTCCACGAATAAAAGGGAGGTGACCTCACTCCTTAGCCCCAGGGATGAGAATCTGACCCAGGCCCGGTCGATCAGACTCACGGCGGTAGGATCAATGAAAACCATGTGGCCCAAGTCAGTTCACACTAGAACTTGTGTGGGAAAACCGGGACTGAGAAATCGTACAATGGTAAGATTTCTTAAGATGGTAAAATACAATCTCCAAGGAGCTAGTGTGAAGCCAGCACAGATGACAGCACTGCTGACAGATACTCAGAGCTGGAGTCCTGATGACATCGTTTAAATGGCACCTGGATCCAACCATGCCTGAAGGCCATACAGTTTTCAGTTATGTGAGCCCACACGTCTTTATTCTTAAGCAGTTAGAGTTGGGTTTTAGTAGCCAAACAAGTCCATACTGAGATGTTAGATGGCAGGGGAGAGTTGGGGAGGAGGTATCTCACCTCGGACCACGGTGCCTGGGTAGAGACAGCGGTACTGCTGGCTCCAGTAGGCTGCAATCCTGGTCCCTTGTGGCAAGAAGCGAGTGGCAGCTGGCCTCACATCGATAATCTAGGAGGGCATGGGATGAGTCCAAGGTGTGGACACAGTTGTGGCCGTGGCCTTGGACACCCAGCCCACCCCGAGCCTCCCGAGGCCCCGCCCCTCCCCCTCTCATCACCTCCTGCAGCAACTGCTCCAGACAGTAGATGTGGGGCTGGTTCCCATGCTCACCCTCCACCACCACGCGGTATCTGTAGGAGCAAACGAGGTGTGAGGTGGCAGAGGCCAAGACCTCCCCAGAGGGCCTCAACCCCACCAGCACCAGCACTGCCTCCTAGACCACTGGGAGGTGACACCAGGACTCAGAGGTTTGCTGACTTGCTGAATTTGGGAATTCTCCCCCTTTCTGGGTTCATTTTCTTCATCTGTAGGACTAGGGGTTGTAGAGCACACCAGGCTGGCACAGTCCAGATCCTGAGAGAGGCCAGCACGCTCTCTCACCCCTTCCCACTGTGGCTCCTGCCATGGAGCAGCCGTGCCCAGCCCCTGGGAGGGTTCACCTGGTACTCCCTCAAAGTGCCCAGGGCCTCCCCGTCAGCTCTGAGCCCACTCATGCCCCTGCCCTGTGCCTTCGGGGGAAGCCACAGCCGAGAAAGGAGAAGCAGCCGGGCACAGAGGCGGCCAGGACACGGGGCGGGTATGGGACACAGGGCGGGTATGGGACACGGGGCTCTGCGCCGGACCTCCCACCCCACTCACATGTCTGGTGAGTGCACGGTCTGCACGTGCCCAGCCTACAGCAGCTTGTCGTCCAAGGGGATGAGCACACGCAGGCCGTCCTTCAGCTCGTCCTTGTCGATGATGCAGGAGCGAGGGGCTGCAGGGGTTGGATCGTGAGGCAAGACTGAAGCCAGGGGTGTCTGCGACACCTCTCCCTCCTCCTGTCACCCCCAAGTCATCCCCTTGGAATGGAGGCCCTGGTGCTGGGTGGGCCTGTGGATCTGAGACATGTGCACTCCTTCGTCTGCCTGTATGTGTACCCGTGCAGACCTGTGTGTACCAGTGGGCACGCACAGGGTGCCGTGGCCAGCCCCTCTCCTCCCCTCTCCTCCCCTCTCCTCTCAGCCCCCTCCCCGGCCTGGCCCCAGATGTCTGCAAAGACCCCAGGTGGGTGTGAACCCAGGGATGAAAGCCTGCACGTGCTGTCTCTTCCCACCTCAAGACCAGCAGCCTCTGGGCCTGGCATGAAGCTCTGGGTTCCAGCCATCACCGGACACTCACAGCGACCATCCTCCATCATGACGTCTGCCCTCACCTTACTGCTGCCCTCAGCCAAACTTCTAGGACTTTCTTTTTATTTTATTTATTTATTTATTTATTTTTGAGATGGAGTTTCAATCTTGTTGCCCAGGCTGGAATGCAATGGCATGATCTCGGCTCACTGCAACCTCTGCCTCCCGGGTTTAAGCGATTCTGGTGCCTCAGCCTCCCAAGTAGCTGGAATTACAGGCACCCGCCACCACGCCTGGCTAATTTTTGTATTTTTAGTAGAGATGGGGTTCCGCCATGTTGGCCAGGCTGGTCCCGAGCCCCTGACCTTGGGTGATCCACCCGCCTCAGCCTCCCAAGTGCTGGGATTACCGGTGTGAGCCACCGTGCCCGGCCTCTTTTTTTTTAATAATTTTTTCAGGCCAGGTGCGGTGGCTCACGCCTGTAATCCCAGCACTTTGGGAGGCTGAGGCGGGCAGATCACAAGGTCAGGAGATCAAGACCATCCTAGCCAACATGGTGAAACCCTGTCTCTACTAAAAACACAAATATTAGCCAGGCATGGCAGTGCATGCCTGTAGTCCCAGCTACTTGGGAGGCTGAGACAAGAGAATTGCTTGAACCTGGGAGGCAGAAGCTGCAGTGAACCAAGATCACGCCACTGCACTCCAGCCTGGGTGACAGAGAGTGAGATTCCGTCTCAATAATAATAATAATAATAATAATAATAATAATCTTTTCAGAGACAAGGTCTTGCTCTGTCATCCAACCTGGAGTGCAGTGGCAAGATCGTAGCTCACTGCAGCCTCGAACTCCTGGGTTCAAGTCATCCTCCCACCTTAGCCTCCTGAGTAGCTGGGACTATAGGTGCACACCACCATGCCTGGCTAATTATTTTTTGTAGAGACAGGGTCTTGCTACGTTGCCCAACTGATCTTGAACTCCTAGTCTCAAGTGATCCTCCTACCTCGGCCTCCCAAAGCACTGGGATTACAGGTACATGTGACCACACCCCACCTACCTCTGAGACTTTCCATCCACTTTTTCTTTCTGGTGGAAATGAATGCCCAGGGGCAAACTTCCCTAAGGCGGTCACCTCTCATTGCCCCAACTCTCTGCTCCCTCCCTCTCCCTGCCCCTGCCGAGACACTTGGGCCTGCCCTTCCTTCTCAGTGGGACCTTTCACCTGGTCTGTCCCCGACATTCCCATTACCCAGATGACTCGCTGGGAGAGGGATGGTTGGGACCACCCTATCCCTGCCTGTGCCTGCACAGAGCCCTCACGTGGCCTCGTCACAGACAGAGTTGACTTCCCACGCCTTGACGTTGGGCTTGGCCATGTGGCTCTCAGAAGTGGCCGGGGCCCAATGCTGAGCCTAGGCCTTGAGAGAGCTCTTAAGCCCAACTTTTCCTCTTAAGCCACGGGTCTGGCAGGATAAACAACGCATGCAGAGAGGACCACAGACCTGGAGCAGCTGACCCCTGGCCAGCCCATCACCGCAGGAGCGAGGCCACTGGGGGTCTGCATGGCCACCCAGCAGCCCTACGTGCCCCTGAGATGCACACAGGTGGCGGCTGGTTGTCACATAGCAGCAGGTGACCAATGCAGCCTTGGGGCGGCCGACTCCTTCTCACTCGCTCCCCCATCCATACCCACGATCTCACCTCTGGGCTACAGACCCCTGGGTCCGAGCCTGGGCATGACTTCCCAATAGTCATCAAACCCCAGCAGATGACCCTCCCTGACCTGGGTCTCAGGGACAGGGCCTCCGCCCACCCCCACACCTGTCCTCACCCTTCCCTTCCCCTCTCCTCTGCCTGCACCCCCGACCCCACCTCCCATCCACTCTCCCTCCTAATGTGTGCACCCTGCCCCGCCTCCTTCCCTGCTGCCCCCACGGCAGCCCCAGGCTACAACCCACTCTCGCCTGGACAGCACAGCCTCCTAACTGGACTCCCTGCCTTCCCTGGGGCCCCCACTCATTCTCTGTGCATCACCAGACAGCTTTTTTTTTTTTTTTTTGAGACACAGTTTCGCTCTTTTTGCCCAGGCTGTAGTGCAATGGCATGATCTTGGCTCACCGCAACCTCCGCCTCCTGGGTTCAAGTGATTCTCCCGCCCCAGCCTCCCGGGTAGCTGGGATTACATGCACCCACCACCACACCCAGCTAATTTTTGTATTTTCAGTAGAATCAGGGTTTCACCATGTTGGCCAGGCTGGTCTGGAACTCCTGACCTCAGGTGATCTGCCCAACTCGGTCTCCTAAAGTGCTGGGATTACAGGCATGGGCCACCACGCTCGGCCCAGACAGCTCGTTTTAAAGCCAATCTGACCATATCACATCCCCACATCTAACCTCAGAGAGCTTCTCATTTTCCTTAGGGCCAACACGGAACTCCTTCCCAAGCCCCGCAGGACCTGCCTCCTCCCTGGTCCCAAGGCGGCTCTCTTGCCTCATCTGCAGTTGACTAAGCTGCAGCCAGTCCAGCCTTCTCATCCACCCGGGTAACAGCCTCAGGATCTCTGCTCCTGCGGTTCCCTGGCCCCAGCTAGCCCAGCCCGTCCGTCTCAAGCCTTGCTCAGATCTGCCTCCCCCAGGGGAGGCTCCAGCAGCCCCGCCCGGCACATGTGGCATCATGGCCACTCACCCGGGGTCAGCGGCCGCTCCGCAGCCCCGCCACGTGGCAGGTGCTCGTCCTCAGAGAAGCTCGAGTCTTGGTTGGGTTCAAAGTCCTCCTCGGCTGCCATGCTCTCCATCAGCTTGCTCACAGCGCCCCCCTTGCTGAGGTTCTGGGGACAGAGCATGGCCGACAAATGACTTAGGACCTGAACGGGGGTCCTGCCGGGCTGGGGACCCTCTCTGGAAACCTGGAGCCACAGTCAGGCCACAGGGGGAATCTGTCATGTGCATGGCAGGGATCCCAGTTAGGGGCACCCCAGAGGCCAGGGGGAGGGTGAAATGGGCCCAAAACCCAGCTGGCCCATGCTCAGTACTTGGTGCTCAATACTCAGTACTCTGTGCTCAGTATCAGCACTCAGCACTCAGTACTCACTACCATACCTCTGTTCATCACTATGGCAGGTGCCTCCGTTCCCTTCTTAGAGAAACTTCAGCAGCATCTCCAGCATTTCCACCCAATGGGCTTGAGGAAAAACCACTTGGGCAGGGGCTAGCAGGTGTCGGGAGTGGGCATGCCATCATCTGCCACTTGGGCAGATTCACCCAAGCCTGAGGGCCCTGTAAGGACCTGGTGCTGGGCTGAGGGCCTGTCACCCAGGTCTCCTGGTCTCTGTTCCAGTGTCCCTCGCCCCCGCTAGAGCAGACATTTCCTGAGGACAGGAGCAGAGTCCCCAGTATCTCCTTATCCCTGGAGCATGGGGACAGCCACGTCACCCTCGTCACCCGCAACCTCTCTGAGCCACAGCTACAGGGGGGATGAATACAGAGCAGCAGGTGGAGCCCCTGGCCCCGACCACAGGAGCATGGCTCAGCCCCCCACAGCCCCCCACCAGGGCACGGTGAGCCTCACCTCCTTCTTCACCTCCTTCCCTTTGGCCTTGGCTTTGCTCCTTCTGGCAGCAGTCAGGGAGATGCCGTGAGGAGCCCTGGCCTCAGAGGGCAAGGCGGGAGCTTGGGGTGGCAGCAGCCCAGCTCCTGGCATGGCCTCTTTCCCTTTCTTCTTCTGAAGGAGGAAGCAGCAGAGAGGATCCATGAAATAGCAGGGAAAGTGCAGGCAGCACTCCTGTCCCCCTGACTCACTCACTCCCAAGTTCTGTGCCACCCCAAGTGTGCCCTCCCAGGAGGAACAAAACGCCCCTTCTCTCTCTCCCTGCAAGTTTTTTTGGTTTTGGGGTTTTTTTTGTTTTTTTTTTTTTGAGACGGAGTCTCGCTCTCACCCAGGCTGGAGTGAAGTGGTGCTATCTCGGCTCACTGCAAGCTCCGCCTCCCGGGTTCACGCCATTCTCCTGCCTCAGCCTCCCGAGTAGCTGGGACCACAGGCACCCGCCACCACACCCGGCTAATGTTTTTGTATTTTCAGTAGAGACGGGGTTTTACCGTGTTCGCGAGGATGGTCTCAATCTCCTGACTTTGTGATTCGCCCGCCTCGGCCTCCCAAAGTGCTGGGATTACAGGCGTGAGCAACCGCGCCCGCCCGGCTTTTTTTTTTTTTTTTTGGAGACAAGGTCTCGCTCTGTTGCCCAGGCCAGAGGACTGTGGCACCATCACCACTAAATGCAGCCTCGACCTCCCGTGCTCACGTTATCCTCCTACCTCAGCCTCCTGAGTAGCTGGACTACAGGTGCACACCACCACACCCAGCTAAGTTTTTATTTTTTATTTTTTTAGAGACAGGGTCTTCCTATGTTGCCCAGGCTGGTCTCAAACTCCTGGCCTCAAGCAATCCTCCTGCCTTGGCCTTCCAAAGTGCTGGGATTACAGGCTGTTTTTAATGTTTATTATCTTATTACTAGTATATATTACTTGTTGCCCCATCTGCCCAAAAAAGACAACACTGAAGTGTATATATGTTGCAAGTTCCTCTCCAGTGACCCTCCTACCAACTCCACAGAGTCAGCTACTAGTAACAGCATGGTATATCCTTCTAGAACTTTCCACAAGCACACACAACCCTGTAAATATGAAGGCTACGCAGACACAACCATGCAGACACAGTATTTAAAAAAAAAAAGTGGGAATTTACCAATAGTCCTGCTTTGCAACGTTTCCCCCCTAACATGACTGATACATATAAAAGGAGCTTCATTTTAACAGCAGCCTATTGAGCCAAGGTATGGAGAAACCGTAATGCACTTACTTTAACCACCCCCGCGATGAGAAGGGCCTGTAGGCTGCCTCCGTTTTCTCACTCTCTGTTTTGTTGTTGTTTTTGAGACAGGTTCTCGCTCTGTTGCCCAGGCTGGAGTGCTGTGGTGCAATGACAGCCGACTATAGTCTCAACCTCCTGGGCTCAAGCAATCCTCCTGCCTCAGCCTCCCAAGTAGCTTGGACTACAGACATGTACCACCATGCCCAGCTAAAAAATCTACACTTTCTAAAAGGAACATGTCTAAAACAAATGGCCATTAGCTGGGCATGGTGGCGGGTGCCTGTAATCTCAGCTACTCGGGTGGCTGAGGCAGAAGCATCGCTTGCACCCAGTAGGTGGAGGTTGCAATGAGCCGAGATCATGCCATTGCACTCCAGCCTGGGCAAAAAAGAGCAAAACTCCGTCTCAAAAATAAAATAAAATTAAGAAAAAGAAGGCCAGGCGCGGTGACTCATGCCTGTAATCCCAGCACTTTGGGAGGCCGAGGCGGGCGGATCACGAGGTTAGGAGATCGAGACCATCCTGGCTAACACGGTGAAACCCCATCTCTACTAAAAATATAAAAAAGTAGCCGGGCATGGTGGCACGCACCTGTAGTCCCAGCTACTTGGGAGGCTGAGGCAGGAGAATCGCTTGAACCAGGAGACGGACGTTGCAGTGAGCCGAGATCGTGCCACTGCACTCCAGCCTGGGCGACAGAGTGAGACTCTGTGTCAAAAAACAAACAAACAACAACAACAACAAAAACAAATGGTCAAGGCCAGGAGAGGTAGAAAAGTAATAAATAAAGATAATAATGGTAAAATGTTACCAAGACAACAACAGAAGTCACAGTGTCCATATCCAAAATGAAAGTCAAAGCAAAGAGCATTAAAAGAAACAAAAAATGGCATGTTCTAGGGAAAAAGAATATACAGTTTAATCCCCATTTTGGGGGGGGAGACTATATATATGTATGTGTGTTTGTGTGTGTATGTGTGTGTCTGTGTGTTTTATTTTCTTGTTGCTGCTGAACTCTTTAATGCAAGTCATCCTTCTGGAATCAGAGGCATCTTAGGCGCTGAAGGAATGTTAGTGGCGCTGTCCCCTTATCTCTGGGATCTGTCATTAAGCAGATAGCTGCAGCTCCTGGTACATGTCCCTGCAGCTGTACCCACGGGGGAACAAAAGGAAATGACAGCAGAAAAAAAAAGGCCTGAATGGATTTTTCTTTTATCTTCCAAATTACTGTTATAATCAGATAAAACCAGTAACTGTTTCTTTCCCTTTGATCAGAAAACCCACGGCTGGGAGCCTTCCCCTACTTTTTTGTAAAAAAAAAAAAATAAAGTAAATAAGAAAATAATTTCCGATGTGATAGAAGTTCTGTAAGCAAAACAGAGACACTGCCTGCTTTGGTAATTATGACAGCAAAACACCATCATCACCCAAACCACCAACCGCCAGCAGGGTCAGTGGTGGGAGACAGGCAGGCAGTGGAATGGCATTCAACCATTTAAAAATACTGACAGCCAGGCGCGGTGGCTCACGCCTGTAATCCCAGCACTTCGGGAGGCCAAGGCAGGCAGATCACTTGAGGCCAGGGGTTCGAGACCAGCCCAGCCAACATGGTGAAACCCCATCTCTACTAAAAATACAAAAATTAGTCAGGTGTGAGGGCACGAGCCTATAATCCCAGCTACTTGGGAGGCTGAGACAAGAGAATCACTTGAACCCGGGAGGCAGAGGTTGCAGTGAGCTGAGGTTGCACCACTGCACTCCAGCCTGGGCCACAAGAGTGAGACTCTGTCTCAAAAAATAAAAAAAAATACTGATGTCCAGGCATGGTGGCTCACGCCTATAATCCCAGCACTGTGGGAGGCTAAGGCAGGAGGACTGCTTGAGCCCAGGAGTTCAAGACCAGCCTGGGCAACATAAGGAGACCCCACCCCATCTGCATGAAAATATTTTTTTTTAATTAGTCAGACGTGGTGGTATACACCTGTAATCCCAGCACTTTGGGAGGTCGAGGCAGGAGGATCACTTGAGCCCAAGAGTTTGAAACCAGCCTGGGCAACACAGTGAGACCACCTTTCCTGCTGCCGCTTTTTTTTTTTTTTGAGACGGAGTCTCGCTCTGTCACCCAGGCTGGAGTGCAGTGGCACAATCTCAGCTCACTGCAACCTCCGCCTCCTGGGTTCAAGCGATTCTTCTGCCTCAGCCTCCCGAGTAGCTAGGACTACAGGCGACTGCCACCACACCCGGCTACTTTTTTGTATTTTTTTAGTAGAGGTGGGGTTTCACCATATTGGCTAGGCTGGTCTCGAACTCCTGACCTCGTGATCCACCCGCCTCGGACTCCCAAAGTGCTGGGATTACACGTATGAGCCATTGCGCCCGGCTGAGACCACCGTCTCTTATTAAAAGAAAAATTAGCTAGGTGTGTTGGTGTGCACCTGTGGTCCCATCTACTCAGAGGAGACTGAGGCAGGAAAACTGCTCGAACTTGGAAATTCGAGGCTGCAGTGAGCTACAATCAGCACTGCACTCCAGACTGGGAAACAGAGCAAGACTCTTGTCTCTTATAAATAAATACAATAAAAATATTGATAGAAGACTGGGCATGGTGGCTCATGCCTATAATTGCAACACTTTGGGAGGCTGAGGTGGGCCGATCACCTGAGGTCAGGAGTTCAAGACGAGACTGGCCAACATGGCAAAACCTTGTCTCTACTAAAAATACAAAAATGAGCCGGGCATGGTGGTGAGCACCTGTAATCCCAGCTACTCGGGAGGCTGAGGCAAGAGAATCGCTTGAATCTGGGAGGCAGAGGTTTCAGCGAGCCAAGATCTCACCACTGTACTCCAGTCTGGGCAGTAGGACAGATTCTGTCTTTAAAAAAAAAAAAGATAGAAAATAAAAGTAAAAGCCCATCCCATGTGGCAGTACACATGATATAACACAGACTGAACTAAGTCTGAAAAGCAGAATACAGCCAGGCACGGTGGCCCACGACTGCAATCCCAGCACTTTGGGAGGCTGAGGTGGGCAGATCATTTGAGGTCAGGAGTTCTCTCTGGCCACCCTGCAGTTTGTTGTGAGTCTTCCCTCCTGCACAGGTGGGGAAGCCCTTCAAGGTCCACTCCACAGTTTTCTTGAGTGTGGGACACTTTACGATCCACAGATATTTGACAGGACCCGTGAATGGAAGGAAATAAAAGATTTTTTGTTCATTTTTGCAGACACAGTCACAGGATCCTAGAGGATGTATTTAGAATATGACATCTAAATATAATTTTCTCCTGGGTTTTTCAGAAAATTCCCATCATCTGCCATGCAGAACTGTGTAAACCCAATTTGCTCATGCAAACTCTGAACTCACTATTCTCACAGCCTCCCAAAGCCTGACCCTATCAGGTGCTCCCCTGTCTTTTTGACCAAGATTGCTTGTTTGATTTTGAACACAGTCATTTCCCAGGGAGCCTGGCGATTTTCTATCTCTTCTGTTTAGGCCGACACCTTCCTCACTGCAGAAATAGGCCTTGGGGGCTCTTGCTCCCCTGTGAGTGCCCTGCCGTGCTCCACAGCTACACTGTGTTTACTTTTTATTTATTTATTTTTTTGAGATGGAGTCTCTCCCTCTGTTGCCCAGGCTGGAATGCAGTGGCATGACCTCGGCTCACCACAACCTCCGCCTCCCAGGTTCAAGCGATTCTCCTGCCTTAGCCTCCCGAGTAGCTGGGATTACAGGTGTGCACCACCATCCCCGCCTGATTTTCATATTTTTACTAGAGACAGGGTTTTACTATGTTGGCCAGCCTGGTCTCGAATTCCTGACCTCAAGTGATCTGCTCACCTCGGCCTCCCAAAGTGCCGGGATTATAGGCATGAACCACAGCGCCCTGCCAGCTTCACTGTGTTAGCTAAGTCTTCAGGGACCCCCTCCCGTCATCGCTGTATTCCTTCTTAGTGGTTAGCAACTCAAATACACAGCCTACTGCCCCCTGACAAGGAGAGCGTGTGAACCAGGAAGACAGCCTTGGCTCCTCTGTCCTGTGTTCAAGTCCCCAAGATGACCAAGAGGAAGAGGAGGTGGCAAAGTGACAATAGCGAAAGCACCAATACTGAGAATGTGGCCATTTCTGGACATCAAGCAGTAAACAGTTCAAAAGCTTCAAGTGCAGACCAGGTATGGCGGCTCACACCTGTAATTTCAGCGCTTTGGTGGCTGAGGCAGGAGGCTCACTTGAGGTTAGAAGTTTGAGACCAGCCTGGGCAACATAGCGATACCTCATCTCTGCAAAAAACACAAAAATTAGCCGGGCATGGTGGTGCACACCTGTAGTCTCAGCTACTCAGGAGACTGAGGCAGGAGGATTACTTCAGCCAAAGATTTTGAGGCTGGAGTGAGCTGTGATTGTCCCATAGCGCTCCAGCCTGGGTGACATAATGAGACTCTGTCTTTTTTTTTTTTTTTTTTTGGAGCTAAGAGTTTGGGTCTGTCACCCATGCTGGGGTACAGTGGCATGATCTCAGCTCACTGCAACCTCTGCCTCCTGGGTTCAAGTGATTCTCCTGCCTCATCTTTCCGAGTACCTGGGACTATAGGTATGCACCACCACGCCCAGCTAATTTTTTTGTATTTTTGCAATTTTAGTAGAGACAGAGTTTCACCATGTTGGCCAGGCTGGTCTCAAACCCCCAGCCTCAAGGAATTCACCCACCTCAGCCTCCCAAAGTGCTGGGATAACAGGTGAGAGCTACCGTGCTCAACCAATAAAGCCTTTTTTTTTTTTTGAGACAGGTTCTCACTCTGTCACCCAGGCTGGAGTACAATGGCTCAATCCTAGCTCACTGCAACCTCCGTCTCCTGGGTCTAAGCGATTCTCATGCCTCAGCCTCCCAAGTAGCTGGGACTACAGGCGTGCGCCACCATACCCGGCTAATTTTTGTATTTTTAGTAGAGGCAGGGTTTCACCTTTTTGGCCAGGCTGGTCTCGAATTCCTGAGTTCAAGTGATCCACTAGCCTCGGCTTCCCAAATTGCTGGGATCATAGGTGTGAGCCACCACACCAGGCCTAAATAAAGCCATTTTGAAAAGAGAGAGTAAGAAGTAAACGAACACACTTCCTGGCCTTGGTCCCGCTTGGAGAGGATTATCCTGGAGCTGGTGGAGCAGGGTCCCCCTGGAATCCACTGAGTCAGCAGATGATGCTACGTTCCCGCCTTTCCCCAGGAGGGTGGTGTGGGGGCTGCTGTGAAACTGATCACGCAGATCTGGGTGGGCGGCCTGGAGCCCTTGAGCTACAGGGCCTGGGTGCTTCCCCACCACGACTATGGCCAAGGCCTGCCTGAGTGGTGGGGGCCGAGGCAGCTGCAGCCACGATAACAGCTGCTCCCAGAAGGCCCCGTCTCCTGGGCAGCCACAGTATCTATCCGACAGTTCCCATTCTGTGAGGCCCAGGGTGGATCGATGCAGACAGTCCATCTCATTTATCACTCACTTAAGTACCACCCAGCAGGGCCTCCTGGGAGCCTGCTGGCCACAAGCCCTGCAGGCCACAGCCGTGGCAAATCCAGACCTCGCCCTGAACTGCAAGGAGAAAACACACTCAGCCTAAGCCCCTGCCCCTCTGGCCACGCGGCTGCCTTGTCACCGTCGAGGAAGTGTGCCCAGAAGGAGCGGCCAGGGCTTTCCTTCCTCATCTCCTGCCCAGAGCAGCCCCTTCCAGGCCACAGGCTCAGAGCCTTAGCCTGCAGGCCGAGGGCAGGCCCGGGGACACAGTGAGGGGCCTGGGCTATTTGAACAGCAGGGAGAATTTTGCATGCAGCATCACAGAGGTAAGAGGCTCGATTCTTAGGGCTTCTTTCCAGTATTAAGGAGCTCAAGACCTGTGTCCACTCTGATTTGGTAAATCAGGGTTCTTTGAAGTCATGATAAAAATGCAGGGCCAGGTACTTTGTGAGGCCAAGGCAGGTGGATCACTTGAGCATGCTTGTAGCCCTAGCTACTCAGGAGGCTGGGGCAGGAGAATCGCTTGAACCCAGGAGGTGGAGGTTGCAGTGAGTCAAGATCACGCCACTGCATTCCAGCCTGGGCAACAGAGGAAGACTGCATTTCAAAAAAAAAGAAAGAAAGAAAAATGCAGAGACGAATCTCTGAAATTAAAACGTTTTAATTGGGTGGGGTGGGGTGGCTCACGCCTATAATCCCAGCACTTTGGGAGGCCGAGGTGGGCGGATCACTTGAGGTCGGGAGTTCGACACCAGCCTGGTCAACACGGTGAAACCCCGTCTCTACCAAAAATACAAAAATTAGCAAGGCGTGGTGGTGCACACTTTTAATCCCAGCTACTCAGGAGGCTGAGGCAGGAGAATCGCTTGAACCCGGGAGATGGAGGTTGCAGTGAGCCAAGATTGCACCACTGCACTCCAGCCTGGGTGACAAAGCGAGACCCTATCTCAAAAAAAAAAATAAAGAAAATACAGTGTTTTATTTGGGAAGACAGAACTGTAATTCGGGGCATTCACACTGACTAGGTTTGTCCAAGAACAAAATGGAGGTAGGAGGTTTTACAGAGAAAGAGAGAGAGAGAGAGAGAGAGAGAGAGAGAGAAGGGAAATGTTACGTATTGCTCTTAGAATTAATTTTTTTTTTTTGAGACAGGGTCTCACTCTGTTGCCCAGGCTGGAGTGCAGTGGCTCAATCATAGCTCACTGCAGTCTGGACTTCCCAGGCTCAAGTACTCCTACCGCCTCAGCGTCCCAAGTAGCTGGGACTACAGGCACGCACCACCATGCTGGCTAATTTTCTCTTTCTTTCTTTCTTTTTGAGATGGAGTTTCGCTCTTGTTGCCGAGGCTGGAGTGCAATGTCCCAGTCTTGGCTCACCACAAACTCCACCTCCCGGGTTCAAGTGATTCTCCTGCCTCAGCCTCCGAAGTAGCTGGAATTACAGGCATGTGCCACCATGCCCAGCTAATTTTTGTATTTTTAGTAGAGATGGGGGTTTCGCCATATTGGTCAGGCTAGTCTTGAACTCCTGACCTCAGGTGATCCACCCGCCTTGGCCTCCCAAAGCGCTGGCATTACAGGCGTGAGCCACCATGCCCGGCCCACGCTAGCTAATTTTCTTTGTGTGTGTGCGTGTGTGTGTGTGTGTGTGTGTTTTGTTTTTGTTTTTTTTGTGATGGAGTTTTGATCTTGTTGCCCAAGCTGGAGTGCAATGGCGCGATCTCAGCTCACTTCAACCTCTGCCTCCCGGGTTCAAGTGATTCTCCTGCCTCAGCCTCCCAAGTAGCTGGGATTACAGGCGCATGCCACCACGCCTGGCTAATTTTTTGTATTTTTAGTAGAAACGGGGTTTCACCATGTTAGCCAGGCTGGTCTCGAACTCCTGACCTCAGGTGATCCACCCACCTCGGCCTCCCAAAGTGCTGGGATTACAGGCGTGAGCCACTGCGCCCGGCCCAATTTTATTTGTTTTTGTAGAGATGAGGTCTCGCTATGTTGCCCAGGCTGGTCTTGAACTCCTGGCCTCAAGTGATCCTCCTGCTTCAAGGCTCCCAAAGTGCTGGGATTACAGGTGTGAGTCACCACACCCAGCACATACTGCTCTTTGAGAAAGATCCTTGGTGCTAGTGAGGTTCCCAGGAAGGGAACCTGGGAAGCTCTGATTGACAGGTGATAGAGGTGGGCAAAATTAGTCCTAGGGTTGCAGTGAGCTATCTCAGCAGCTGTACAGAAAACTGGCCTCAAATTACAGCAGCAGTGCCAGCCTTGGGGCTTGCGGAGAATGACATTTTTGGAGCATGGTTCTGTGTCAGTTTTTCCCCCCTGGCCTCTTGACGCTGTTTTAGTTGAGTATGACAAGAATGACCCAGTTCAGATGATCAATCTTCACAGTTCAAATCCCAACGCCACCACATGCCAGCTGGGTTAATGTCCTAGGACTGCCATGGCAAAGTATTGCAGACTGGGTGGCTTCAACCACAGAACTTGATTCTCTCACTGTTCTGGAGGTCAGAAGTCTGAGATTGAGGTGTCTGCCAGGGCCACCCACACTCCCTCCAAGGTCTCTGTGGGGATCCTTCCTGCCCCTTCCAGCCTCTGGTGGCTCCAGGTGTTCCTCGCTTTGAGGCTGCATCGCTCCAGGCTCTGTCTCCTCTCTGTGTCTCTGTCTTCTCCTCTGTCATTGGGTTTAAGGCCCACCCTAAATCCAATACAACCTCATCTCAAGACCCTTAACTAATTACATCTGCATTCACCCTATTTCTTTTTCTTTTTTTTTTTTTTTTGTGAGATGGAGTCAGGCTCTGTCACCCAGGCTGGAGTGCAATGGCGCAATTCTGGCTCACTGCAACCTCCACCTCCAGGTTCAAGTGATTCTCCTGCCTCAGCCTCCCGAATGGTTGGGATTACAGGCATGCACCACCACGCCCAGCTAATTTTGTATTTTTAGTAGAGATGGGGGTTTCGCCATATTGGCCAGGCTGGTCTTGAACCCCTGACCTCAGGTGATCCACCCACCTCAGCCTCCCAAAGTTCTGGGATTACAGGTGTGAGCCATTGTGCCCAGCCCATCCTTTTTTTTTTTTTTTCAATAGGGTCTCGCTCTAGCACCCAGGCTGGAATGCAATGGTGCAATCTCAGCTCATTGCAACCTCCGCCTCCCAGATTCAAGCGATTCCCCTGCCTCAGCCTCCCTAATAGCTGGGATTACAGGCACGTGCCACCATGCCCAACTAATTTTTGTATTTTTAGTAGAGACGGGGGTCTCACTGTGTTGGCCAGGCTGGTCTCAAACTCTTTTTTTTTTTTTGAGATGGAGTTTCGCTTTTGTTGCCCAAGCTGGAGTGCAATGGCGCGATCGTGGCTCACTGCAACCTCTGCCTCCCAGGTTCAAGCAATTCTCATGCCTCCACCTCCCAGGTTCAAGAATTCTGGTGCCACCGCCTCCCAGGTTCAAGCAATTCTCGTGCCTCAGCCTCCCGAGTAGCTGGGATTACAGGCATGCGCCACCATGCCCAGCTAATTTTTTATTTTTAGTAGAGATGGGGTTTCTCCATGTTGGTCTCAAACTCTCGACCTCAGGTGATCCGCCTACCTTGGCCTCCCAAAGTGCTGAGATTACAGGCGGGAGCCACCGCACCCAGCTAAAGATGGCATCTTTTTTTTTTTTGAGACGGATTCTCACTCTGTCACCCAGGCTGGAGTGCGGTGGCGAGATCTCAGCTCACTGCAAGCTCCGCCTCCCGGGTTCACGCCATTCTTCTGCCTCAGCCTCCCAAAGATGACATCTTAACATATGTCCCTGAGTTGTTTTTCAGAAACCTGGACCCCCCCACCAAACGATCTGTTGACAGGCCTAGACCTCAGGGGGAGCTGAGGACAGAACTCTGACCCCTGTTCTTTGTTCTAAATTATTTCCCCACGGGCCGGCAGGAGGTCCTGTCCACAGGCCAGAGCTAACATTCTTTTCTACTGATCCCAGATTTTTAAACAAAGCTTCACCTGCTTAAAGCAATTGCAAATTAGAAAATCTTCAGGTCGGGCGCGGTGGCTCATGCCTGTAATCTCAACACTTTGGGAGGCCAAGGTAGGCAGATCATGAGGTCAGGAGATCAAGACCATCCCGGCCAATATGGTGAAGCCACGTCTCTACTAAAAATACAAAAATTAGCTGGGCATGGTGGTGCATGCCTGTAATCCCAGCTACTCGGGAGGCTGAGGGAGGAGAACCGCTTGAACCCAGGAGGTGGAGGTTGCAGTGAGCTGAGATCGCACCACTGCACTCCAGCCTGGCAACAGAGCGAGACTCCATCAAAAAAAAAAAGCATTTCAAATCTTCCTATGACCTGTGGGTCCCTGCTTCGAGATATCCCACTTCTATTTATTTATTTATTTTTGAGATGGAGTCTCGCTCTGTCTCCCAGGCTGGAGTGCAATGGTGTGATCTTGGCTCCCTGCAACCTCCACCTCCTGGGCTCAAGCGATTTTCCTGCCTCAGCCTCTGGAGCAGCTGGGATTACAGGTGCGCGCGCACCACCACACCCAGCTAATTTTTTGTATTTTCAGTAAAGAGAGGGTTTCACCATGTCGCCCAGGCTCGCCTCGAACTCCTGGCCTCAAGTGATCCACCCTCGTCGGCCTCCCAAAGTGCTGGGATTATAGGCGTCAGCTGCCGTGCCCAGATCCTCCCCACCTTTAAAAACCCTTGCCCACAAGCCATTGGGAAGCCGTCAGGGAGTCTGGGTTTTAAGCACGAGCTGAGCTGCCCAATTCTCCCTGTTTGGAGTCCTGCACGAAACGCCTCATTTTCTCTTCACTGCAGCCCTGATGTCAGAATTAGGCTTTGCTGTGCGAGGCGGGTAGACTCTGGTTTGGTAACAACAGTCCAAAGGCATGTACCCTCTGTTGCAGAAGAGCTGATGGAGGGGGGCTCTGTGGGCAGTGGGGATATTTTAGGTGGGGCTTTGTTCCCTGCCCCCAGCCCCGAACTCCAGGCCTCATCTCTCCTGATGGTGGCGAAACCGAGAACCTGACTCTGGAATTTACTATCTCTGTCCCTCGCAGTTGGTGTGGGGGCTGCCTTCTGGGGGACTCATATTTGCATAAGCCAGGGGAGGGTTTGGCTGCAAAAGAGCCACGAACGAACGAAGGATCACAAAAGCAACACAAATGCTCCGAAGCGCTTAAAATAAAACCCAGCAAAGAAGCAGGCCAGTTAAGAGAAGGTGCGATTACCTAGTAGTCATTTTAAATTCACGCTCGGCCCTCCAATCTTCTTAAGTGGTGGCCTGACTTTGCGTTTCAGCTGGACCTGGAATACATTCGGTATTCACTTTTCAGAAGCGACGCACCAGCCTACGGTCCCAGCTCACGTCTGGGGGGGTAGGCACCATTATTTCTGCGCTGTAAATGGAAAGGCTGCCGTCAGAGGTTATGTGGGAGGGTGAGAAAAAATGTGGAGGGTTTTAGCAACAGAAATGTACCAGGTGGATACAGATCCCCCAGCTATAAACACATGGCTGAGCTCAAAAGAAAGAGAGGCGAATTCTCAAATGTGAGAGCAGGAAGGCTGTCTTATGGCACCTGGGGCCAGGAACGTGGACCCCAGATCCAGGCTCTAGCTTGGGGCTGCAGTATAATATCCACACCAGTTGCGACTTGACCTTGAATTTGTTTGAGATGCAAGAAAAGAGACGGCTCAAAATGCAAATCACTGGCCAGACACGGCGACTCACTCCTGTAATCCCAGTACTTTGGGCTGCCGAGGCAGGTGGATCACCTGAGGCCAGGAGTTTGAGACCAGACTGGCCAACATGGTGATACCCCATCTCTACTAAAAAATACAAAAATTAGCTGGGACTTGTAATCCCAGCTACTCGGGAGGCTGAGGCAGGAGAATCTCTTGAACCCAGGAGGTGGAGGTTGCAGTGAGCCAAGATTGTGCCATTGCACTCCAGTCTGGGCAACAAGAGTGAAACTCCGTCTCAAAAAAAAAAAAAAAAAAAAGGAAATCATTGAAGAGCTGCTCAGTCAAGAGAGATTCCTGAAGAAGGCTCAGGATGTCTGGTGTATCCAGGGAGCTCAGGTGCTTGCCAGGGCCTGGGGGAGGTTGAAATGTGGAGGGTTTGCTTCATGGGTGGAGAGCTTCTGTTAGGAATGGTGAAAAAGTTATGTAATCAGATGGTTTGCACAACATCGTGAATGCACACGATGCCGCTGCATTGTTCACTTAAAATAGCTGCAACAGTCACTTTTATATTGTGTATATTTCCCCACAATTAAAACCAAAAGAGGCGGGCGTGGTGGCTCATGCCTGTAATCCCAGCACTTTGGGAGTCCGAGCCAGGCAGGTTGCTTGAGTTCAGGAGCTCAAGACCAGCTTGACCAATGTGGTGAAACCCTGTCTCTACTAAAATATAAAAAAAATTAGCTGGGTGTGGTGGCAGGCACCTGTAGTACCAGCTCCTTGGGAGGCTGAGGCACAAGAATCACTTGAACCCGGGAGGTGGAGTTTGCAGTGAACCGAGATCGCGCCGTTGCACTCCAGCCTGGGCAACAGAGTGAGACTTGGTCTCAAAAAAAAAAAAAAAAAAAAGAATGCTCAGCTGTCCGGTTATGAAAGTAATATTCGTGAATCAATTTTTTTTTTTGAGACGGAATCACTCTGTCACCCAGGCTGGAGTGCAGTGGCATGATCTCAGCTCACTGCAAGCTCCACCTCCTGGGTTCAAGTGATTCTCCTGCCTCAGCCTCCTGAGTAGCTGGGATTACAGGCGCCCACCACCGCACCTGGCTAATTTTTGTATTTTTGTAGTAGAGACGGGGGTTTCACCATGTTGGCCAGGCTGGTCTTGAACTCCTGACCTCAGGCAATCCACCCACCTCAGCCTCCCAAAGTGCTGGGATTACAGGCGTGAGCCACCACACCTGGCAGAATCAATCATTTTCTACATGCCAGCAATGATAGATTAGAAAAAACAGTGGTGGAGGGGAGACACCACAAGACTGGCAGGAAATCACTCACAATAGCAGCAAAGACATAAAACACTGAGTAATTAATTAAATGAAATTAATACAATTTATATGAAAAACAGCTACAGTATCTGGAGTGGCTCAGGAAATATTTGTTAGCAAATGAATAATTACAAATTTTATAGGGATATAAAAGAAACAAGAAAAAAAAGAAAATATTTACCACTTTTTTATAGGAAAAAAAGGCAGTAACAATCCAAGACATTGGAATAAGCCTATTGGTATAAAGACCGATTATTGGCCAGGCACGATGGCTCATGCCTATAATCCCAACACTTTGGGAGGCCAAGATTTGAGGATTGCTGAAGTCCAGGAGTTTCAGACCAGCCTGGGCAACATAATGAGACCCCCATCTCTATAAAAAATTGTTTTAAGTTAGCCAGGTATAGTGGCACACTCCTGTAGTCCCAGCTACTCAGGAGGCTAAGGTGGGAGGATCGCTTGAGCCAAGGAGGTGGAGGCTGCAGTGAGCCATGATTGTGCCACTGCACTCCAGCCTGGGCAATGAGTGAGACTGTCTCAAAAAACACAAAAACAAAAAAAGACTTGACTATTAAAAAGAAATCGAGGCAATGGGTAATGACTCATTTGGAATGGCTAAAAACGATGTGTCCCTACTAGTAAAACTCTTGCATCAATAATGAAAGGTAACATTCTCAACAACTAGTGAAAACAGGTGAAGTGCCTGCAGGGGTTCATCATGCTGTTCTTCTAGACATGTTGTGACATTGAAAAATTTCACAACAAAACGTTGTAAAGTTCATGAAGCAATTGGAAACATTTGAGCACTGATTGGATGGTCAATGCTGTTAAGGAAACATTGTTAATTTGTTTTGGGGGATAATGGGGGATAATGGTATCATGAGATGGTTTTCTTTTTTTTTTTCTTTTTTTCTTTTTTTTTTTTTTTTGAGATGGAGCCTCCCTGTGTCGCCCAGGCTGGAGTGCAGTGGTGCAATCTCAGCTCACCACAACCTCTGCCTCCTGGGTTCAAGCAATTCTCCTGCCTCAGCCTCCCGAGTAGCTGGGACTACAGGTGCCCACCACCACACCCAGGTAATTTTTGTATTTTTTTTTTTTTTTTAGTAGATACAGGGTTTCGCCACGTTGGCCAGGCTGGTCTTGAGCTCTCGACCTCAGGCGATCCATCTGCCTCGGCCTCCCAAAGAGCTGCGATTACAGGCATGAGCCACCACACCCAGCCTTATGGGATGGTTTTCAAAGGCATCCTTTTTTAGAAGTAGATTCTGATATATAATCGGACGGTATGATATGATATCTGGGATTTTCAAAGTCTGGAATGTGGAGGGGAGGAGGCACAGGTACAGGTATGGATGAAACAAGCTCACCCATGAGTTGACAATTGCCAAAGGTAGGTGGTGAGGACATAAGGGTTCATTGTTTTATTCTCTTGGCTTCTGTATAATTTGAATTTTTCAATAACACAAATATTTCTAAAGCCAATGACTTCATTATTGTTCCAAGATGACATGATTACCTATATGGAAAATTACAAAGAATCAACACAGAAACTTCCTGGAACTAATAAGCGATTATAGCAAGGTTGCAGGATACAAAGTTAATTTACAAAGGTCAATTGCTCTCCTAAGTCCCAGCAATGAACAATTGGCCTTACATTTAAAACACAGGCCGGGCACAGTGGCTCACACCTGTAATCCCAGCTCTTTGGGAGGCTGAGGCGGTTGGATCACGAGGTCAGGAGATCGATACCATCTTGACGAACATGGTGAAACCCCGTCTCTACTAAAATACAAAAAATTAGCCTGGCGTGGTGACGTGTGCCTGTAATCCCAGCTACTTGGGAGGCTGAGGCAGGGGAATCGCTTGAACCCAGGAGGCGGAGGTTGTGGTGAGCTGAGATGGCACCTCTGCACTCCAGCCTGGCAACAGAGCAAGACACTGTCTCAAAAAAAAAAAAAGAAATTTAAAACACAGTACCATTTATATTAGCACCTCAGAACTGAAATACCTATGAAACTAACAAGATATATACAGGATTGATATGGGGAAAATTATAAAAGTCTGATGAAATAAATCAAAGAAGAACCAAATAAATGGAGAGATATTCCATGTTCATGGATAGGAAAACTTGATATTGTCAACATGTCAGCTCTTCCCTACTTGATCTATAGATTCAACACAATCCCAATCAAAATCCTAGCAAATTATTTTGTGGATAATGACAAACTGATTTTCAAGTTTATATGGAGAGACAAAAGAGCCAGAATAGCCAACATAATATTGAAGAAGAAAGTTGGAAGACTGATTTAATATTTACTATAAAACTACAGTAATCAAGGCAGAAGCCAGGCACAGTAGTGGACACCCGTGGTCCCAGCTATATGGGAAGCTGAGATGGGAGAATGGCATGGGCCCAGGAGTCCAAGGCTGCAGTGCACTACGATTGCACCTGTGAATAGCCACTGCACTCAAGCCTGGGTAATGCAGAGAGAGCCCATCTCTTAAAAAATAAAAATAAAAACAGGGCTGGGTGCAGTGGCTCACACCTATAATCCCAGCACTTTGGGAGGCCAAGGTGGGTGGATCACCTGAGGTCAGGAGTTCGAGGCCAGTCTGGCCAACATGGTGAAATCTTGTCTCTACTAAAAACACAAAAATTAGCTTGGCATGGTGGCAGGCGCATGTAATCCTGGCTACTCGGGAGGCTGAGGCAGGAGAATCACTTGAACCCGGGAGGCGGAGGTTGTGGTGAGCCGAGTTTGTGCCACTGCACTCCAGCCTGGGCGACAGAGCGAGACTCAGTCTCAAAAAATAAATAAATATACAAATAAATAAAAATAAAAAAGGAGGTGGGGGAACCAGTACCGTGGCTCGCACCTATAATGCCAGCATTTTGGGAGCCTAATATGGGAGGATGGCTTGAGGCCAGGAGTTTGAGACCAGCCTGGGAAACACAGCAAGACTCCATCTGTACAAAAATGAAAAATAAAAAATTAGCCAGGCACTATGGTACACACTTGTAGTCCCAGCTACTCAGGAAGCTGAGATAGGAGGATCCCTTGAGCCCAGGAGGTCAAGGCTGCAGTGAGCTATGATTGCACTATTGCACTCCAGCCTGGGCAACAGAGTGAGAACTGCTGTCTAAAAGATAAATAAATAAAGACCCTGTGGAATTGGCAAGCAAACAGAGATGGATCAATGGAGCAGAATAGAAAGCCCAGAAATAGACACACATAAATATAGCACATTCCTTTGGAAAACCATGCAGCATATCTTGAGCTCTCCAGCAGGTTTGCATCAGTAATGGGGAGAAACTCCTTTTATAAAAAAAAAAAAATTGCAGGTCAGGCGAGGTGGTTCATCCCTGTGATCCCAACACTTCTGGAGGCCAAGGTGGGCCCGTAATCCCACCACTTTGGAAGCTCAAGATGGGAGGATTACTTGAGCCCAAGAGTTCGAGACCAGCCTGGACAACACAGTGAGACCCCCATCTCTACATTTTTTTTTTTTTGAGACAGAGTCTCGCTCTTTTGCCTAGGCCAGACTGCAGTGGTGCTATCTCGGCTAACTGCAAGCTCTGCCTCCCGGGTTCATGCCATTCTCCTGCCTCAGCCTCCCGAGTAGCTGGGACTACAGGTGCCCGCCGCCACGCCGGGCTAACTTTTTATATTTTTAGTAGAGATGGGGTTTCACTGTGTTAGCCAGGATGGTCTTGATCTCCTGACTTTGTGATCCACCCGCCTCAGCCTCCCAAAGTGCTGGGATTACAGGCATGAGCCACCGCACCCGGCCTTATTATTATTTTTTTTTTAATTAGCCAGGCATGGTGGTGCACGCCTGTGGTCTCAGCTACTCAGGGAGGCTGAGGCGGGAGGATCACCTGAGCCTGGGAGGTCGAGGCTGCAATGAGCCAAGATTGCACCACTGCACTCCAGCCTGAGAGACAGAGCGAGACTCTGTTATACGTATTTGCACAAAGAAGAAACAATAGACACCAGGGCCTACTTAAGGGTGGAGTTGGGGAGGAGGGTGAGGATCAAAAAAACTACCTGTCGGGTACTGTGCTTATTACCTGGGTGATAAAATAATCTGTACACCAAACTGCCATGACACAAAATTTACCCATGTAACAACCCTGCATGTGTGCCCTCAGTATCTAAAACAAGAGTTATTCCAGGCGCGGTGGCTCATGCCTATAATCCCAGCACTTTGGAAGGCCGAGGCAGGCAGATCACTTGAGGTCAGGAGTTCTAGACCAGCCTGGCCAACATAGTGAAACCCCGTCTGTACTAAAGAATACAAAAATCAGGCCAGGTGCGGTGGCTCATGCCTGTAATCACAGCACTTTGGGAGGCCGAGGCGGGCAGATCACGAGATCAGGAGATTGAGACCATCCTGGCTAACACGGTGAAACCCCATCTCTACTAAAAATACAAAAAAAAAAAAAATTAGTCGAGCATGGTGGCAGGCACCTGTAGTCCCAGCTACTCAGGAGGCTGAGGCAGGAGAATGGCGTGAACCCAGGAGGCGGAGCTTGCAGTGAGCCGAGATTGCGCCACTGCACTCCAGCCTGGGAGACAGAGGGAGACTCCTCCTCAAAAAAAAAAAATCAGCCAGGCATGGTGACACGTGCCCATAATCCCAGCTACTGGGGAGGCTGAGGCAGGATAATAGTTTGAACCCAGGAGGTGGAGACTGCACTGAGCCGAGACGACGCCACTACACTCCAGCCTGGGCAACAGAGGGAGACTCTGTCTCAAAAAAATAAAATAATTAAGTAAAATAAAATAAAAAATAAATTAATTAATTAAACATTTCATTTTAACAGGCTTTCCTATCTCATCACCAACTCAGGGCAGTTTCTCCAGGAACCTGGCAGGCCCCGCCACAGAGAGACCCTGCTTCAATCCGCCATGCCCAGCCCTTGCCTGGTGGCCACTCTCTGCAGCCCTCCCCAGGGGTCCCTGGCCCAGCTCCAGGCCTGCTCAATGCCCTGTTCCTAATGCTGACATCTCACAGCGACTGAGATCCGACCACAGTCCAGGCCCCACCGGAGATGCTTCACAGGAATCATTTCTGCCTCACAATGGCCCTTTGAGGAGGAGGCTTTTATTGTGCCCCTTGCAAATGAGGAAACTGAGGCATGGAGAGAGGTACTAACTCACACAATAGCAGGAGACCCTGGATGCAGCTGCAGGCAGTAGGCCCCCAGAGCCTGCTCATCTCAGGCCTGCCGGCTCCTCCACCTGCCTTTTCCAGTACCCTGGGAACCCCCCGAGGACAGGTGTCATCGGTTGCTTCATCTCACCATCCCTGGGCCCAGCACAGATCCAGGCACACAGTGGCTGCTCACGTAAGCTGAATGAAAGGAGTCATGGCTGCAGGGTGCCCTGGGCCTCCACCTTAGCTCCTGCTACAGAATGTCTCCAACACAAACATGCCTTTTTTTGTTTGTTTGTTTTGTTTTGAGACAGAGTCTTATTCTGTTGCCCAGGCTAGAGTGCTATGGTGCAATCTCAGCTCACAACAACCTGCATCTGCTGGGTTCAAGTGATTCTCCTGCCTCAGCCTCCCAAGTAGCTGGGATTGCAGGTGTGTGCCACCATGCCCCAGCTAATTTTGGTATTTTTAGTAGAGATGGGGTTTCGCCATGTTGGGCAGGCTGGTCTTGAGCTCCTGACCTCAGGTGCTGGGATTACAGGCATGAGCCGCCGCTCCCAGCCACAAACACGCCTCTTTATTATTATTATTATTATTTTTTGAGACGGAGTCTCACTCTGTCGCCAGGTTGGAGTGCAGTGGCGCGATCTCTGCTCACTGCAAGCTCTGCCTCCTGGGTTCATGCCATTCTCCTGCCTCAGCCTCCTGAGTAGCTGGGACTACAGGCGCCCGCCACCACACCCAGCTAATTTTTTGTATATTTAGTAGAGACGGGGTTTCACCGTGTTAGCCAGGATGGTCTCGATCTCCTGACCTTGTGATCCACCCGCCATGGCCTCCCAGAGTGTTGGGATTACAGGTGTGAGCCACCATGCCCAGCCTCCGAGACCCTTCTTAGCAGAAGTGATCTGGGAGCAGGAAGCCCCAGAAGGGGTGTGTCCCCAAAGCAACCCTGAAGCAAGCGTGCAGGCAACCTGAGAAGGGCTGTGGGTCTGGGCAAGGCTGTTCTTTAGGCAGCTGGAGCCTCGGTGGGCAAGAGGAACTCAACCCTCTTGGGAGCCCCTGGGCTGCTGTGGCTGTCCCAACCCAGGCACCAGGAACCCCGAGTTTATCCACCAGCCGCCACCCATCATGGGCGAGGGCCGCTCCTAGGGCCAGCCCCAGCTGTGCACCTGCACCGGGAATGCCCTCAGGAGGAAGGTGACTGGCACCTGCAGGGGGACATGTTGGCTGGCACCCACCTTTTGGGGCAAGACAGGCTGAGGGGGCTGGGCGTAGTGGCTCCCACCTATAGTCCCAGCACTTTGGGAGGCCGAGGCAGGAGGATCACTTGAGCCTAGGAGTTCAAGACCAGCCTGGCAACACAGTGAGGCTCCATCTCTACAAAAAACTAGCCAGACATAGTGGAATGCACCTGTGATCCCAGCTATGTGGGAGGCTGAGGCAGGAGGATCACTAGAACCCAGGAGTTGGAAGCTGCAGTGAGCTGAGATTGTGCCACTGCACTCCAGCCTGGGGGATGGAGCGAGACCCTGTCTCAAAAACAAAAACAAAACAAAAAAAAAGGGCAGAGGGGAATCACGAGGTCAGGAGTTCGAGACCAGCTTGGCCAACATGGTGAAACCCTGTCTCTATTAAAAATACAAAAATTAGGCCAGGTGCAGTGGCTCACGCCTGTAATCCCAACACTTTGGGAGGCCAAGATGGGTGGATCACCTGAGGTCAGGAGTTAGAGACCAGCCTGGCCAACATGGTGAAACCCCATCTCTATTAAAAATACAAAAATTAGCCGGGCATGGTGGCAGGCACCTGTAGTCCAAGCTACTTGGGAGGCTGAGGCAGAAGAATCGCTTGAACCCAGGAGGCGGAGGTTGCAGTGAGCCGAGATCGTGCCACTGCACTCCAGCCTGGGCGACAGAGTGAGACTCCAGGGCAGAGGAGAAAAGAGAGGGAGAGAGGAAGGGTGGGGATCAGGATGAGGACAGGGAGAGAGACAAGCAGAGAGAGGAGAGGGCAATGTCACAGCAGCCACTAGAACCAAGACCTCCACTGTCCTGGTTCTGTCCTCCTTCCGGTCAGCAGCAACCTGCCATTGGTCATTCCCTGGCCACTTGTGCCCGGTACAAACAACATGTCTGCCCTCCCGAGGCTGGGCCTGCTTCCTAGAGTCTGGGAGTGGAAGACATCACTTGACCAGCTAGGACCCCCTCCGCCCACCACCGTGGTTCCCTGCTTGGGGCAGAGCTGAAACAACTCCCATCCAGCCACATATGCCTTGAATCTTCCCCACAGCTGCCAGGGCCATGGTATCCAGGAGGAGCGAGCATTCGGCCCTCACTGCACTCAGCCCTTCCTGCCTTGCCCAGGCCTATGAAGATGGCCTGTTTCTCCCTCCTTGATGGGGAACGAACCTGCTGGAGACGGGCGCACCTGCTCCCAAGTTCATTGAGAGTGCCAGCGAGGCAGGGGCTTGGACCCAGACCCCTGTGCGCCAGGCCTGCACCCCTCAAACACAGGCTCTGAGCATGTAAGCTATTTTTGTACGCACAGCGAATGTTCATTTTCCTCCTCCGAGGCAGGGCTGTTGAACCTTCTCTTCAGGTCAGGGACCCCTTAGAGAGTCTCATAAGAGCCACTTCCCGGGAAAAATCACACTCGCTCGGCCAAGAGGGGCCCTGCACTCTGAGAGCCTGTGATTTCCTGAAGCGTGAAGTGTTTGGAGGAAGATTAGCCTCTCCCTCCTCCAGAGGCAGAGCTGGGAGGTGGAGGAACCCAGCAGCGGATTCAGGCCTGGGCTGTGGGAGCCCCTCGACCCCCGAATCTCCACCTCCTCCCCTCAGCCCTGCCTGGGTGACATCCTTCCGGGAACCAGGACAAATGGATCAGTCACAGGGTTCCCACTTGGCCTCCCTGCTCATGAAACGACCCCACTCATTCTAATCTCCATCCTCCGGGCTTTTGGGAAGGTGAGAAATGTCTTCTGCCTCTGAAATCTCAGAAGAAATTATTTCCACTCCAGCAGCAGGAAACCCTTTGAGGGAAGAGACGGCTCCATCAGCAAAGAGGCCACAGGATGGAATTGGCCCTGGGGCAGGGGCCTGCCCAGACTCCTCCCAGGCCAGAGAGAGGTGGGCCGGAGGACAACGAGTCCACTCCACAGGGCCCCTGTACTGCATGAGCCGGTGAACAGGCTGCTCACAGACCAGGACCTTGTATCTGTGACCCAGCCAGCAAAGGGTCCCTCAGGGCCCACCCACAGCCATGCATGAGCCTGGGAAATAGGAGCTCCAGCCCAGACTAGGGGGACAGGGTCATCCCCTGGCCTCACCCCAGTTCAGATCACAGCCATATGTAGAGTAAACTTGGGGTACAGGCAAGGCCCTGAGCCCTTCCCAAAGCTGAGGGGAAGTAGGTTTGGCGAGGAGATGCAGGGAAGGTTCTGGAAACCTGGAAGCACACCTCTTGTGTCCTCTCCTTTGGAGACAGTTTGTGGAATCTCTCTGGTAATTTTTTTTTTTTTTTTCTGAGACAGAGTCTCATTCTGTCATCCAGGCTGGAAGGCAGTGGCACGATCTTGGCTCACTGCAACCTCCGTCTCCCTGTTTCAAGCGATTCTCACGCCTTAGCCTCCCTAGTAGCTGGGATTACAGGTGCACACCCCATCACGACTGGCTAATTTTTGTATTTTTTAGTAGAGACAGAGTTTCACCACTTTGGCCAGGCTGGTCTTGAACTCCTGATCTCAGGTGATCCTCCCACCTTGGCCTCCCAAAGTGCTGGAATTACAGGCATGAGTCACCAAGCCCGGCCTCTTTTTTTGTGTGTTTTTTGTTTTTGTTTGTTTGAGACCAAGTCTTACTGTTGCCCAGGCTGGAGTGCAGTGGCAAGATCTTGGCTCACTGCAACCTCTGCCTCCCAGGTTCAAGCAATCCTCCTGCCTCAGCCTCCCAAGTAGCTGGGATTATGGGCATATGCCACCACGCCCTGCTAATTTTTGTATTTTTAGTAGAGATGAGGTTTCACCATGTTGGCCAGGCTGGTCTCAAACTCCTGACCTCAGGTGATCCACTTGCCTCGGCCTCCCAAAGTGCTGGGACTACAGGCTTGAGCCACCGCACCTGGCCAATTCTTTTTTTTTTCTTTTTTTTTTTTAAGAGTTGGGGTCTCGCTCTGTCACCCAGGCTGGAGTGCAGTGGTGCCATCATACCTCACTGCAGCCTAGATGTCCCAGGCTCAGGAGACCCTCCCCCCTCAGCCTCCCAAGTAGCTGGGACCACAGGTTCACCACCACCACACCTGGCTAATGCTAATGTTTAAAATTTTCTGTAGAGACAAGGTCTTGCTCTGTTGCCCAGGCTAGAGTGCAGTGGCATGATCACAGTTCACTGTTGTCTAGAACCCCTAGGCTTAAGCGATCCTCCCATGTCGGCCTCTCAAGTAGCTGGGACTACAGATGGGCACCACCATGCTCAGCTATAGCATGAACTCTGATGGTCAGAAGGGTGAGGAGCCAGAGGCAGGACCCTCCAGGCAGAGAGACCAGCCCAAGACACAAATCTGGGAAGCGTGAGGGACCAAGTCGTAGAGGGTGGGGGCCCTAAATTAGACCAGGGGACATACCCCACATCTTGCCCAAGAGCAGAAGAGTGCCAAAGGGCTGCCGACAGGCTGGTGGGCACACACCAGCTGTGGCCCTGGGGCTCTGGCAGCTGAACAGGTGTCTGTGCCAGCCCAGAGCCCAGACCCTAGGACCAAGCAGATGGTCACAGAGCACTCTCTCTTCTGTGCAAGGCCAAGCCACCACCGGGTACCAGGCTCCATGTGGGGGCACTCCCAAATGACCACCCATCCTTCCATCAGCCCTGGGTGGGCTTTTGCCATTTTACAAGAAATGGGAGGCTCACAGAGGTTGAGAAATGTGATCAAAGACACACAGCATAGCCAGGGGTTGAATCCAGGACTGCTGGGACACCAGGGAAGTGACAGTTTTCAGCAGAGCACACGTGTGTGTGTCTATTGTTGTGAGTGTCTGTGTGAGCCTGGCAGTGGCCACAGGTGTCAGAGCCGACTCCTCCCAGCTCCAAAGACGACTGTGTGCCCTGTCCCCAACTCTGACCTCATAATGATAGCTGGAATCCGGTGGGAATATTGACACCATGGAAATTAGCAACTGCTACAAGTCAGAACGCTGGGTGTGTTAAATACTGACCAGTCCAGCACTGACTGACAAGTGTGTGCATCTACGTGAGATTGAGTGTGTGTCTTTGTATGTGTGTGTCTGGGTCTGTCCATCTGTGCGGTGCCTTTATCTCCTGCTTTGCTCATCTGTCTATCCCTATCTGAATCTGTGTGCACGCCTCTGTGTGTCTGAATGTGTCTGTGTGTGTCTGTGGCTGAGTGTGCTTCAGTGTGTGTGTGTCTTGCATGCATGTGTATGTCTGTGTGTGTCTATGTGTGTGTCCAAGCACATATGCATTTCTGTGTGTGACAGTGTTTTGGGGGTGTTTGTGTGTGTGTGTGTGTCACTGTGTCTGTGTGTGTTCATGTGACTGTGTGGCCTCTCAAACTGAAGATGATGGTTTCAACTGAAATTGAGGCTGACGCTCTCCACTACAAAGCTCAATTTGCTTGCAAATGTCCTTCAAGAGGCAGAGGAGACAGGAGCAGAGGGGGCGGGAGGCAGGAGCCAGACAGACGCAGCGACCGGCAGCAGAAATGACATCACCCGGCAGATTCCAAGAGCGCCCCAAGACCAGTGGGGTGTCACCCACCTGGAGGCACTGTGGATCCTAGAGGAGACTCTGGCAGGCCCCAAACACAGCCCTTGAGGAAGTAGTCATTTGGGAGGATTCGGAGTGATAAAAATATAGTTTGTTGCTTGCGAAAATCACTTGTGACTTAAAAGCGTCTCCCGTTGTCATGGAATTGACAATACCATTGAGGATCAAAGGGACAAGAATAGACGAGGAGCTCTGTTTCCCACTTAACTCCTGGAAGCCTTTTCTCCCAAGCTTCCCACTCTCTCCTCCCTCTGAAGAAGACTCTAGAGGCTGTAGTGCAACCCTCCATCACTCAAAAGCTGGGACGCTCTCTGTTCTGGACAGACACCCCTTGTCAGGAAGAGCCCCACCTCCCCAACCCCAGCCACATGGCTGCCGTCCTGCTGCCCCACCCTCCTGGCCCCGGGCAACCATGTGACCCAAGTTGGGCCAATCAGATTCTCCCCTGGGATTTTTCATATTGAAACCAAGGGAGAAGGGTTGGGCCCTCCTGGGAGATAAAAGTGGGTGGCTGTGTGGGTGGTGGCTGATGCCTGTAATCCCAGCACTTTGGAAGGGCGAAGTGGGAGGATCACTTGAAGTCAGGAGTTCGAGAACAGCCTGGACAACATGGCCCATCTCATAGACTTGATGGCCAAGGCCCCAAGAGGAGGCATGACTTGCCCAAGGCCATACAGTGCAGGGTGCCGGGCGATAAAGTCCCAGAGACACTCTCTTCCTCCTGCAGGTCAAAGCACCAGAATCCAAAGCGCCCTCCGCTCCTGATGGCTCAGAAGGGAGCCACCCCATCAATTATTAAATGTCCTTACAAGCCCAAGAAAACTGAGATGGGACTGGATCAGAAGCCATCAGACCACTCACAACCTTTGGCTAAAAAGGAAAAATTAAGGCCAGGCGCAGTGGCTCACACCTGTATTTCCAACACTTTGGGAGGCTGAGGTGGGTGGATCACTTGAGGTCAGGAGTTCGAGACCAGCCTGGCCAACATAGCAAAACCCAGTCTCTACTAAAAATACAAAAATTAGCCAGGCGTGGTGGTGGGCACTTGTAATTCCAACTACTCGGGAGGCTGAGGCAGGAGAATTGCTTGAACCCGGGATGCAGAGGTTACAGTGAGCTGAGATCACACCACTGCACTCCAGCCTGGGCGACAAGAGCAAAACTCCATCTCAAAAAAAAAAAAAAAAAAAAGGAAACATTAAGTTCATGGGGAGTTAATCCACGTATTGCAGAAGGCAGGAATTCTCAGTGTTTTGGCATCCCTGGGATAACGACAAACTTCGCTTAGAACAAGATGTTGGGAGCCACAGAGCAGTTTCCACGTAGTCCCTTTGACATCTTGGGGGAGTGGGGAGGGTCCTGTGAAATGTGACTCTCACACTCACCTCAGCTCCACAGGCAAGTGCTCCAAGACTTCACAGTTGAACTTTTAGCTAAGGACAGAGTTCTTTCCCAATCTCCCCCATATGCATATTTATTTCACCCAACAAAACCTGACTTTTACACACATTTCATAAAGCAACGCGCATTCTGCATTCCCACGGAATGTTATATTGTGTGCATTGCTTCATCTCACCAGGCTTCCTTTTTAAGAACTTCCCTCTGCCCGAGCGTGGGTGGCTCATGGCTATAATCACAGCACTTTGGGAGGCCAAGGCCGGAGGATGCTTACGTTCTTTATGTTATTTAGCTTGGGCAACATAGTGAGACCCCATCTCTACAAAAACAAAAAGTTAACCAGGCGTGGGGGTGCATGCCTGTTAGCTACTCAGGAGGCTGAGGCAGGAGGATAGCTTGAGTCCAAGAGGTCAAGGCTACAGTGCAGCGAGCTATGATCGCACCACTGCACTCCAGCCTGTGCAAAAGAGTGAGACCCTGACTCTTTTTTTTTTTTGGAGACAGAGTCTAGCTCTGTAGCCCAGCCTAGAATGCAGTGGCAAGACCTCAACTCACTGCAACCTCCACCTCTTGGGTTCAAGCAATTCTCATACCTCAGCCTCCCAAGTAGCTGGGATTACAGATGTGCACCACCACACCCAGCTAATTTTTATATTTTCAGTAAAGGTGGGGTTTCCCTACGTTGGCCAGGCTGGTCTTGAACTCCTGACCTCAAGTGATCTGCTCACCTCGGCCTCCCAAAGTGCTGGAATTACAGGTGTGAGCCACCATGCCCAGCCATACCCTGACTCTTAAAAATGAAATAAAATAAAGTTAATGTTGTAAACATGAAATATGCTGCTCTCAAGAATTGATGTTCAGGCCGGGCATGGTGGCTCATGCCTGTAATCCCAGCACTTTGGGATCCTCCCAGCAGGATGATCACTTGAGCGCAGGAGTTTGAGACTAGCCCAGGCAATATGGTGAAAGCCCATCTCTACAAACCCCACAACAATTAGCCGCGTGTGGTGGCATGGACCTGTGGTCCCAGATACTCGGGAGGCTGAGGTGGGAGGATCACTTGAGTCCAGGAGTTCGAGGCTGCAGTGAGCTATTATGGTACCACTGCATTCCAGCCTGGGAAACAGAGCAAGACCCTGCCTCAAGGCAAAAAAAAAAAAAAAAAAAAGGATGCTGTAGGAGTTAGGACCAGAGAGATGTTGTGCTGTTTTAGGTGAACTTTCGTGTTACTGATGATGAAGTAGAGTATCCAAGAGTGACTCTGCACACCCGAGAAATACCCTGAGTGTGTCCCGTCTCCTGGCAGCTCAGTACCCTTTCTGCTCCACCCCAGGGTCTACGTGGTCATCCCGGGGCCACCACGTTTTATTTGATCATAAAGTTTTTTGGTGGCTCTCGCCTCTCTGAGACCTCAACAGAAAACAGCAGATTGAGATCAGGGTAATTCAAGGAGGGTTATTTACAAAGGGATGGTTCACACGAGGGAGGACAGGGGGTCAGGAACCGCCTGGCACTATGGTGACCTGGGATAGCAGAAAAAAGAGCTGTGACCAGCTGGGCGCAGTGGCTCAAGCCTGTAATCCTAGCACTGTGGGAGGCCAAGGTGGGCGGATTGCCTGAGCTCAGGAGTTTGAGATCAGCCTGGGCAACATGGTGAAACCCCATCTGTACTAAAATACAAAAAAAACAAATTAGCCAGGCATGGCGGCATGTGCCTGTAATCCCAGCTACTCAGGAGGCTGAGGCAGGAGACTTGCTTGAACCAGGGAGGCAGAGGTTGCAGCGAGCCAAGATTGCACCACTGCACTCCAGCCTGGCAACAGAGCAAGACTCCATCTCAATTAAAAAAAAAAAAAAAAAGAGCTGTGGCTGCCCCTAAGCCCAAACCAGTAGGGAAGGACCAGACACCAGAATCTTTTTTTTTTTTTTTGAGACGGAGCCTCACATTCTCACCCAGGCCGGAGTGCAGTGGCGTGATCTCGGCTCACTACAAGCTCCGCCTCCCAGGTTCACGCCATTCTCCTGCCTCAGCCTCCCGAGTAGCTGGGACTACAGGCGCCCGCCATCACACCCAGCTAATTTTTTGTATTTTCAGTAGAGATGGGGTTTCACCATGTTAGCCAGGATGGTCTCAATCTTCTGACCTTGTGATCCTCCCGCCTCAGCCTCCCAAAGTGCTGGGATTACAGGCATGAGCCACCACACCTGGCCTGCATTAGGCTATCTTTGTCTTTTGCTACAAGGAGCTCAGGAGGAGTGTTTTAGACTTTGCTTATTTTCATTACAAAATGTTAAATTATTTCTTCCTTTCAGATATTTCCTGTCGGTATTTTTTTTTTTTTGAGATGGCGTCTCGCTCTGTCACCCAGGTTGGAGTGCAGTGATGTGATCTCAGCTCACTGCAACCTCTGCCTCCCAGGTTTAAGCAATCCTCCTGACTTAGCCTCCCTAGTAGCTGGGATTATAGGCCTGCACCACCATGCCTGGCTAATTTTTGTATTTTTAGTAGAGACGGGTTTTGCCATGTTGGCCAGGCTGGTCTCAAACTCCTGAACTCAAGTGATCTGCCTGCCTTGGCCTCCCAAAGTGCTGGGAAATACAGGCGTGAGCCACCACGCCTGGCCCAAGACACCAGAATCTAGAATGAGAGAGAGGGGCCTTGGGAAGCCGTGACCTATGTCAAGGAACACTCTAGGCAGGGTGACCTCACGGGGAGGGAGTCAGGAGAAGATATGGTTGACTTCGAATCCCTTTCTCGCTCCCTCCAACCCCCTGTTGGTGTCTTCCTTCCATTAGCCAAATCTCACTGGAAGACAGAGGCAGGGAGTCCATTGATGTGGCTCATACAGGGCAGCTCCCCAGGGCACTCAGCAGGGTGGAGAAGGGCAGGGGGAAAACAGAGGATGAAATTTGCAGTCTGGTGACGACCCCTCCCGGGTTATACTGGCCAGTGGCTGCTGAGAGATTTGAGCACCAGGAGCCAGAAGAAACCTCCCGCAGGGCTTGTCTTAGTCCATTTGCTACTGCTACAACTGAATACCTGATGCTGGGTAATTTTTAAAGAAAACGGCGGGGCGCGGTGGCTCATGCCTTTAATCCCAGCACTTTGGGAGGCTGAGGCGGGTGGATCACGAGGTCAAGAGATCGAGACCATCCTGGCTAACACAGTGAAACCCCGTCTCTACTAAAAATACAATAAATTAGCCAGGCGTGGTGGCGGGCGCCTGTAGTCCCAGCTACTCTGGAGGCTGAGGCAGGAGAATGGCATGAACCTGGGAGGCGGAGCTTGCAGTGAGCCCAGATTGTGCCACTGCACTCCAGCCTGGGTGACAGAGCGAGACTCCGTCTCAAAAAAAAAAAAAAGAAAAAAGAAAACTATTTATTTCTTACAGTTCTAGAGGCTGGGAAGTCCAAGGCTGTGGGGCTGTGTCTGGTGAGGACCTTCTTGCTAGTGGGGACTCCTGTCTGCAGAGTCCCAGGGAGGCACAGGGCATCCCATGGTGAGAGGGCTGAGCATCCTATCTCAAATCTCTCTTCTTCTTATAAGGCCACCAATCCCACTCCCATAATAACCCATAATTAATGAATGGATTACTCCATTCGAGAGGGCAGAGCCCGCATGACCCAATCAGCTCTTAAAGGCCCCACCTCTCAATACTGACACATTGGGGATAAATTTCAACATGAGTGTCGGAGAAGACAAACATTCAAACCATAGCAGGGCTTCTTAGTCTTTGGGGGAATCAAGGAGAATTTGATGAAATCCATCGATTCCTCTTCCTGGAAACAGGTACATCCACACTCCTTCAGTTCCAAGTGGCAGAAATGCCACTCATACAGCTTTATGCTAAAAAGGGAATTTACTGGCCCACAGAGTAGGTGTCAGGTAAGGCTAGATCCAGGGTCTCAAGTAACGCTGCCAGGGCTCTGGCTTCATCTGCTGTTCTGTTTGTCTTCATGAACTTCATTCTGCACATAGGTGCTGGGCACATGGCGGACAGGTGTCTATGGCAGCTTGATCTTATCTCCCCAAATTGAGGTGCCATAAAATAAACCCATCCAGGAAGACCTCATAAAAGTTCTAAGGAAGGCTCTGACAGGCCAGGTTCGAGACATATGCCCTTCCCTGACCAACCTCTGTGTTCCAATGGATACTGTCCCATGACTGGCCTCAGTGATGCTTTGGTGACTCACAGCCCTACCTCCCCCCAGGGCGGGTGGGGTGGAAGCTTCCCAAACCAATACACATTATAGCCACTTTGGGAGGCTGAAGCGGCAGATCACAAGGTCAAGAGATTGAGACCATCCTGGCCAACATGGTGAAACCGCCCCCCCTACTAAAAATACAAAAGTTAGCCAGGCGTGGTGGTGTGCACCTGTAGTCCCAGCTGTTGTGTGCAGCCCTCCCCTAAGACACACAACAGCACAGGGACCACAGGCCACCACTCACCCCTTTTCTTTGCAGGTAGAGAAACGGAGCCACAGATCAAGGTCACCCAGTGAGTGAGAAGCAAAGTCTGGAGCTGAGGCAAGTTTTTCAAATTCCTCTTCCAAGGCTTTCTCTTGGAAAGCCCAAAGCTTATTAAATCCTTAAAGGGCATTATCAACGGGACGTGCATTGAGTTTCCTTAATCCTGCAAGAGGATTAGGAGAATTCAGCCAAGATAAGCTCCTTCAGGGACAAACCAGCCGCCTCTCACCAACCCGTGCTCTTAGCGGGCTGGGACAAGCCCCCTCAAGGAGCCTCGACCTTGGGACGCATCCCCACCTCATCAGGCTCACAGCCCATAATTATAATAACCACAGCCGTGTTCAGACAGCCCAGGAAGGCTTCCAAGGGGACTGGTGTTTTTTAGAAGACAAAACAGCAGGAACAAAGATACATAGTCTGAGGCTGGGTGCAGTGTCTCCTGCCTGTAATCCCAGCACTTTGGAAGGCTGAGGCAGGAGGATCACTTGAGCTCAGGAGTTTGAGACAGGGCTGGGCAACATAGTAAGACCCTGTCTCTACAAAAAAATTTTTAAATTGTGTAGCTGGAACTACAGGCATCGTGGCATGTTCCTGTAGTCCCAGCTACTCAGGGAGGCTGAGGCAGGAGAATCACTTGAACCCACGAGTTTGAGGCTGCAGCGAGCTATGATTGTGCCACTGCAGTCCAGCCAGGGCCACAGAGCAAGAGCTTGTCTCTAAAAAGAAGATATGGAGGCTGGAACTTGAGGTCATACCTACCCCTAAATATACAAGGCCTGGGATGAGGGCCAAATTATGAAAGGCTCACACATCATACCTAAGAGTTATAAATCAAGCGGAAAAACTGCTAGGCAAATACATTCTGTCTCATACTTTTCTTTTTTTAATTTTTTTTTTAGAGACAGGGTCTTGCTATGTTGCCCAGGCTGGATTCAAACTCCTAGGCTCAAGCAATCTTCCCAACTCGGCCTTCACCTGAGTAGCTGGGACTAGAGGCAGGCACCCAGCTCCTGTTTCATATCTTTCTTTTTTTCTTTTTCTGTTTCTTTTTTTTTTAATTTGAGATAGGGTCTCGCTTTTGTCATTGGGGCCAGAGTGCAGTGGTACAATCTCAGCTCACTGCAGCCTCTGCCTCCCAGGCTCAAGCAATCCTCCCTCTTCAGCCTCCCAAGTAGCTGGGACTACAGGTGCACGCCACCACGCCCGGCTAACTTTCATATTTATTGTAGAGTTGGGGTTTCACCATGTTGCCCAGACTGTATTCAAATTCTTGGGTTCAAGCCATCCTCCCACCTCAGCTTCCTGAGGCTCTGGGATAAGAGGTGCAAACCACGGCACTGGTCCGTCCGTGGTGGATTTCAAGGTGCCAAGATGACATCACTGGACTTGGATTTGGGGAGAGAACGCAGCCGCATAGCACACTGTCATTTGGCGTTTCCATCCTACAGGGTACCAGGGATGGAAATAACCCGGAGAATGCAGACCCTAGTCACATAATTAGACAGTGATGAATTTTGAGTTTGTATTACCTTTGTATGTTTATTTCATTCCATTTTTAACAATGGCTGGCCAGGCGCGGTGGCTCATGCCTGTAATCCTAGCACTTTGGGAGGCTGAGGTGGGCAGATCACGTGGTCAAGAGATCGAGACCATCCTGGCCAACATGGCGAAACCCCGCCTGTACTAAAAATTCAAAAATTAGCCAGGCGTGGTGGTGCGCACCCGTAGTCCCAGCTACTCAGGAGGCTGAGGCAGGAGAATCACTTGAACCGGGGAGGCAGAGGTTTCAGTGAGCCGAGATCGCACCACTGCACTCCAGCCTGGCGACAGAGCGAGACTCCATCATAAAATAAAAAATAAATAAAATAAAATAAACAGTGGCTGAGTTTAACAACCTTCTCGCAATATTTCTTGAAAATGTGCTAATCGGCTCTCTGGAGCTGCTGGGAGCAGTTCCAGGACAGCACAGAGCTGTTCCCTCCAGCGAAGGAGCCCACGTCCATGTCCACGTCCACTCATGGACAAGGTGACATGCCCCAGCCTCACCAAGGGGCCCGGTGTGGCCAGCAAAGGCCCTGCGTGGGTCAATTTCCACCGAGCGGCCAGATACCCCAGGCGTTTTATTGATCCTATTGGCCACGGCAAATGGCCGCTGGACACCAATTCAGTGCCAGCCTAGGCTCAGGGACTGCCACACGTGGTCCATGTAACTCACAGTTATCCTGTGCCATGGTTACCCCACGTTACAGCTGAGGCCACTGAGGCTCGGCAAGACGAAGGCGCTTGTCTTAGGTCACACGGTTAGGAGGCGGTAAGACTCAGACTAGAAACTCTTCTTCTGTCCTGACTAGGGAAGAAGGGCAAGGTGGGGGAAAGGACACCTGTCCCCAAGGAGCCACCCCTGAGGCCCAGCCTCCAGGGACACTGATGAGGAGCTGAAGAGTCCCAGGTGGGGAGGAGTAATCTCTTTTTCCCTGTCTCCCTCTCTTTCTGCCCCTCCACTTCTCTCTCCCTTTCGCTCCTGTCTCCCTCTGTCTCTCCCTCTCTCTCACACCCCCACTCTCTTTTCCTATCTCTCCCTCCCTCTCTCTCCCTCCCCCCCATCTACCTCTTTTTTTGTTTTTTTGAGACAGAGTCTTGCTTTGTCACCGAGGCTGGAGTACAATGGCGTGATCTCAGCTTACCCCAACCTCCGCCTCCCAGGTTCAAGGGATTCTCCTGCCTCAGCCTCCTGAGTAGCTTGGATTACAGGCACCTGCCACCACGCCCGACTAATTTTTGTATTTTTAGTAGAGATGGGGTTTCACCATGTTGGTCAGGCTGGTCTCGAACTCCTGACCTCAGGTGATCCGCCTACCTCGGCCTCCCAAAGTGCTGGGATTACGGGCACGAGCCAACACACCCAGCCCCCGCTGCCCCTTTTTATCTCTCTGTCTCTGAAATACCCCAGTCAAGGATCCCACCCTGTGTATGGCCCACTGTGTGACCAGCTGCTTGGCAGGGCCTGGGCCGCTGCTCTCAGGGACAGGTGCCCGGCATAGGCGGGGAGGCGCTCTCTCTCGGTTTACTTTTCTACAGCATACATTTCTGGATTGGTGAAATATTATCTTTGTCTTTAGAGGGAACAATAAAGCTATTTTCAGCTTGGGAACAAATGCGTCCAATGGTAAATAAACCCCCAATGCCGGTGCTGGGCAGGCGGGTGCTGTCGTCACAGTGGAGGCCGCCAGCCTTCCTTCCCAGGAAGGGCTTGGTCTCAGGGTGGGGGCACAGAAAGGATGTACGGAGCCCAGGAGCAGAGGGGCAGGAGGGGAAAGGAGACAGGGAGCATCCTGGAATCACGAGGCTGGACAGACCCGCAGGTTTTACGGATCCAGACACTGAGGCCCAGAGAGGGTGAGCACCCTGCCCCAGGACACACAGCCTGCAGGTGCCTGGTCCCACTTCCTGGAGCTCTGCCGGGCACCACGGCTCCAGGGAGTGCTCCGGTGTTTTCCCAGCACTTGGCAACAGATGGCTCCAACTCTCACCCACGGACGCCAAACATTTTCCCTGGTTACCCTGCTAATTTGCTCACAGCCTCCTCTTGTAAATAGAGAGTACAAAGGCTCCTCCGAGTAGTGTGTATGCCGGGCAGACGCTGATGCCACGGGGAGAGGCCTTAGAAGGAGCATAGGAAAGTCCCAGGTAAGAACTAGGTAAGGCCCAGGTAAGGCCAGGATCCTTGGCTGACCTGGGGTCGTGGGAAGGACAGTGGCTCGGGGCCCAGGCAGACCTGGTTCAGGTCTTGGCTCTGTGCTCCCTTGGAGCCCGGCTGGGAATCTTGCACTGGCCTCAGGCCCTCTGGCATCAGTTTTCTCATCTGTGAAATGGGCACGTTAATGCCAAAGGCGTAAAACAGGAGCTATTATGTAGGTGCTCAGGGACTGGATGAATCTGTGGGAATCTAGCCATCCTTCCTGCCTTCATCTGGGGTCAACAGGGTGGCGGCTGCACCCTGGGCAGCATCCCTGCCCCTCCGTCCCCAACAGTAGTCCCTTCACCCAGCCCTTTTGACAGAATTCTTTCAACAACACTTATCAGGTCCTCCTCAGTACCCAGCCCTGTCACGAGGCCCAGAGAGGAGCTGATTCAAGCTTCCACACCGGGTGGCCTTGGGCAGCTGCCTTCACTTCTCTGGGCCTCATTCCCTTGAGCCTCCCACAGAGGTCACAGGGAGGATTCCATGAGATGATGTGTGCTCAGGGTGCTCAGAGTCACTCCTACCATGCAGCAGTCAGGGAAGGCTTCCTGGAGGAGGCAACACTAGTCCTTACACCTTACAGATGCATGGGCATGATTGGGTATGGCTGGTGCTTCCAGTGGGGGTTGGGTGGGGAGGCACCTCATAGGCTCAGGCAGGGCCTGGGGTGCCCAGCTGCATGGAGGGGTTTGGAGCCGGCTGGAAAGGGGACTCCAGGCTGACCTCGGGTCCCTTGGGCCTCCCTTCCCCATAACCTCCTTCACAGCAGCCCAGCTGATAATGAAGTGCTCCTTCTAGCCGACAGCTCCTGGAGCTGGGCCAGGAGGCTCCTCCTGTCCTGGGCCTGCCTCCAGCTGCTGCCCACAGTCCCAGAAAGACTTTACCGCACCTCTCCGGCCTGGGGTGTCCTGGGGGATGAAGCTCCAGGAGGCCACCTATGGCTTGGGGCCCCAGTCCCAGAAGCCTGGCCTGGGGCGCACCTCTCTGGTCTTCAGGAAGAGGGGCCTGGAATGAGAGTGGGGGCGTCCAGTGGGGCAGCTTAACCGGGCAGGGCTGATGGGACCGCGGGCTGGGGAGGGACCGGGGCCTGGGGAGGAACCAGAATCTGCCTGGCCTCACTGTGTGACTTGGGTGAGCTCCTCTACCTCTCTGAGCCTGGGCTTCCCATCTGTCTGGGATGTCTCCCCTCCTGTAGTCACTGTGAGGTTCTGAGCAGAGGACACTCTTAGCCCAGAGCCTGGCGCATAGCTGGTGCGGTGAGCGCCAGCCCCTCCCTGTTCCTGCAGAGCCCTGCCGTTCAGCGCACACAGGCTGCCTTGCCCTCTCCAGAGAGGATCATGGGGCTTAATTTGTTGATTGAATTTGCTTGTTTGGCCCAGATGGTTGGGTCTCGTTTTCTTTTTTTCTTTCTTTTTTTTGGAGACGGAGTCTTGCTCCATCACCTGGGCTGAAGTGCAGTGGCATGATCTCGGCTCACTGCAACCTCCGCCTCCTGTGTACAAGCGATTCTCCTGCCTCAGCCTCCCAAGTACCTGGGATTACAGGCACGCACCACCATGCCTGGCTAATTTTTGTATTTTTGGTAGGGATGGGGTTTCGCCACGTTGGCCAGGCTGGTCTCAAACTCCTGACCTCAGGTGATCCACCCACCTCGGCCTCCCAAAGTCCTGAGATTACAAGCATGAGCCACCACGCCTGGCCGTGGGTCTCGTTTTCTCTTGCAAGTTTGACTCCATGGTGCCTGAATGCAGGGGAAGCAGGTGGTGTCCTGTCCCGGCAAAGGCAGACATGGGGCTGACACAGAACGGCCCAGGGACTCTGATCCTGGGGCTCAGCGAGTTTGCAAGGGGTGTTTCTGTCCATGGTCAGGCTTGCCAGCCTTGGTCCTTGGGCCCACCATAAGGTGGCCCAGTCCTGACCCTGTCTTGGAATTGCTGAGAGCAGAAATGCAGTAATGTGTCACCATGATGATGTCTGGTGTCATGCTATCAGACCCACCATTCCTCAGTGGGACCCCTGCCTCACCACTCACCAGCTGGCTCCCTGGTCTGCAAAAGGTGGTTCACTGGTACCCAGGTCCCTGTGCGAATGAGAGGAGCTGACTTCTATGAAAGCCACTCCCTGCACCCAGGGAGACTAAGGAGGTGGGAGGCTCTCGTCCCCTGAAAGCCCAGCCAGCCAGCCCCCTCTCCTTCTGCCTCCCCAGGGAACCGTGTCCTGAGCAGGGCCCTTCACCCCATCTCTGTCTGATCTCCACTGCGTGTACGGATTGACGGGAAAGATTCTAATGGGCTTTAAGTTAACAAGCTGGGAACGAATTAAGTTTGATCTCTGCCAGAAGCAGATGGCATAGCTTCCTGGCCTGGAACAGCCCGGCTGGAGCAGTGGCAGGTGGCAAGGGCTGGGTGGGGGGTTGCCCCACTGGGCTCTCTATTTTTCTCTCCTTCCCCCAACTTTTTTTTTTTTTTTTGAGACGGAGTCTTGCTCTGCCACTCAGGCTGGAGTAAAGAGGTATGATCTCGGCTCACAGCAACCTCTGCCTCCCGGGTTCAAGTGACTCTCCTGCCTCATGCTCCCAAGTAGCTGGGATTACAGGCACCCGCCACCACACCCTGCTGATTTTTGTATTTTTAGTAGAGGCGGGGTTTCACCATATTATGGGCTAGACTGGTCTGGAACTCCCGACCTCAGGTGATCCACCTGCCTTGGCCTCCCAAAGCGCTGGGATTACAGGCTGAGCCACTGTGCCCGGCCTCTCCTCCCCCCACACATTTTATTATGTTTTATTTTAAAGAGATGGGGTCTTGCTTTGTCTCCCAGGCTGGTGTGCAGTGGTGGGATCACAGCTTACTGCAGCCTCCGCCTCCTGGGCTCAAGCAATCCTCTCACCTCAGCTGCCTGAGTAGCTGGGACTACAGGAGTGGACCACCATGCCCAGATAATTTTTAAAAATTTTTTAGAGATAAGGGTCTCAGTATGTTGCCCAGGCTGGTCTCGAACTCCTGGCCTCAAGCAATCCTCCTGCCTCACCTTACTATGAAATTTTTAAACATAAAAAACAGTGGAAGCTGAGCATGGTGGCTCACACCTATAATCTTAGCATTTTGGGAAGCTGAGGCGGGAGGATCGCTTGGGGCCAGGAGCTTAAGACTAGTCTAGATTACATAGCAAGAACCCCATCTCTATTTTTTAAAAAAGGGCCGGGTGCAGTGGCTCGCACCTGTAATCCCAGTGCTTTGGGAGGCCGAGGTGGGTGGAACACCTGAGGTCAGGAGTTCGAGACCAGCTTGGCCAACATGGCAAAACCCCGTCTCTACTAAAAACACAAAAATTAGCCAGGTGTGGTGGCATGCACCTACAATCACAGCTATTCAGGAGGCTGAGGAAGGAGAATCGCTTGAACCCAGGAGGCGGAGGTTACAGTGAACCGAGATCGCACCACTGCACTCCAGCCTGGGTGACAGAGCAAGACTCCATCTAAAAAAAAAAAAAGAAGAAGGCGGCCAGGAGGTGGCAGCTCACCCTGTAATCCCAGCACTTTGGGAGGGAGAGGCTGAGGTGTGAGGATCACTTGAGGCCAGGAGTTTGAGACCAGCCAGGGCAACACAGTGAGACCTCATCTCTATTTTTTAAAAAGTGGAAAGAATTATACAGTGAACACTCACGTGCTCACTGCCCGCATTCTGCTCTCTGGTTTTTCTGATCCCTACCTATACATCTATCTAGCTCCCCATCTACCTGCCAATTCCAAATTTCCATGCATTTCAAAGTCAGTGGCAGACATTGGGGCACTTGGCCCTTAAACATGCATATCGTTAGCTAGAGGTCAAAATGTGGTATGGGCTTTGTTTAGTTTTGTTTTTAGGCAAAACTGATAAACAGTGAAATCCATAAATTTCTTTCTTTCTTTTTTTTTTTTTTTTGAGACGGAGTCTCACTCTGTCTCCCAGGCTGGAGTGCAGTGGTAAGATCTCAGCTCAGTGCAACCTCCGCCTCCCAGGTTCAAGCAATTCTCCTGCCTCAGCCTCCTAAGCAGCTGGGATTACAGGCAAGCACCACCACGCCCAGCTAATTTTTGTATTTTTAGTAGAGACGGGGTTTCACTGTGTTGCCCAGGCTGGTCTCAAACTCCTGAGCTCAAAGTGATCCGCCCTCCTTGGCCTCCCAAAGTGCTGGGATTGCAGGTGTGAGCCACTGCGGCCAGCAGGAAAGTAGAAATTCTTTAACAAATTTCCCCATGCCCTTTCCATCGTTCTGTTTAGATTTCTTTCTTTCTGATAACAGCATTTCTGCTTATTTATAGTTTACCAGAAAATCATTTTACCCAGTTTTTTCCTTTTTTTTTTTTATTTTGCACACAGTGGAAGGCATCTTTTGTATTTCCCTTTGCTGTTTCTGTATCCCCTAACGCTGTCATGCTGCCAGTTTTCCATCTTATTCTAAATCTTCTTAACTGCATAGCCTGGTGGTGACTTCAGATTTCTCTGCAGGGTTACATATTATTTCACTGATTGCTCTGGGTTTTTCAAATATAACAATCATGTCATCTGTTCCCCATGGCGAGCAACGTAAATCGGGGACTCGTCTTGGCCAAGGGGACCATTTGCAGTGTTTGGCTCTTATGACGAACGTCTTTGTATATAAAAACTTTTCTGCATTTAGAAATATTTCCTCAGGCCAGATTTTTCTGGACCAAAAGGTAAGCATGTCTTTTAAGCCAGTTTATGTTCCAAAAGGGTTGGTCCCATTTTCACTCCCACCAGCAACCCAGCAATGGGGAGACCTGGAAAAAAAAAAAAAGCCTTGTGGCGGGCGTGGTGGCTCACGCCTGTAATCCCAGCACTTTGGGAGACCAAGGCGGGCGGATCACCTGAGGTCAGGAGTTTGAGACCAGCGGTGAAACCCTGTCTCTACTAAAAATACAAAAATTAACTAGGCGTGGTGGTGGGTGCCTGTAATCCCAGCTACTCGGGAGGTTGAGGCAGGAGAATCGCTTGAACTGGGGAGGCATAGATTGCAGTGAGCTAAGATCGCACCACTGCACTCCAGCCTGGGTGGCAGAGAGAGACTCTGTCTCAAACAACAACAACAACAACAACAAAAAAGCATTGCTCCAGGGATTCCAACCCCTCACCATGGCCAACAAGACCCCCCCTTGGCTGTTTCCCTTCTCCAACCTCACCTCCCTTCTCCCCACTGCCCCTGTTCCCACAACAGTGGCCCTCCTTCTGTTCTTGAATTAAATGAGCTGTTTCCAGACTCAGCACTTTGCACTGGCTGTTCCCTATGCTGGGAACACCCTTCCCACTAACATTTCCATCATTCAAATCTCTCAATTCAGATATTGCCTTCTCAGACCACCTGGATACCAAAGCCCAGCCCTGTCCCCTAGTCACATGCTGGTGCCTGCTCCATCCCCATCTAGTCTTCCAAGCATTTGATGCTTCCGAAATTACTGTACTTGTTTATTGCCAGCACCCACCATTTAAGTGCAACTCCAGGGGAGCAGGGACCCTTGATGCGTCTCCTGCATCTAGAAAATGTCTCACATGCACCTAATAACGTTTTTATTATTGATTTACTTATTTATTTTTAGAGACAGGGCTTTGCTCTATTGTCCAGGCTGGGGTGCAGTGGCACGATCACAGCTCACTGCAGCCTCCACCTCCCAGGCTAACACAATCCTCCCGCCTCAGCCCCCCGAGTAGCTGGGATTACAGGCACACACCACCATGCCCAGCTTATTTTCGCTTTTTTTTCTTTTTTTTGTAGAGATAGAGTCTCTCTGTGTTGCCTAGGCTGATCTCAAACTCCTGGGCTCAAGCCATCCTCTCGCCTTGGCCTCTCAAAGTGCTGGGCTTATAGGCGTGAGCCGCTGCACCTGGCCCACCAAATAATTCTTATCTGGAACCCCCCCTCCACATCCAGGACAAGGCAAGAATCCCCGTTGAAAGCTCTAGGCTTACAGGAAGCACTGGAGCTCGTGAACTTTATTTTTATTATTTTATTTTATTTTTTCCAGATGGAGTTTCGCTCTTGTCACCCAGGCTGGAGTGCAGTGGAGCCATCTCGACTCACTGCAAGCTCCGCCTCCTGGGTTCAATCAATTCTCCCGCCTCAGCCTCCTGGGTAGCTGGGATTACAGGTGCCCACGACCACACCCAGCTAATTTTTGTATTTTTAGTAGAGACGGGGTTTCACCACGTTGGCCAGGCTGGTCTCGAGCTCCTGACCTCAGGTGATCAGCCCACCTTGGCCTCCCAATGTGCTGGGATTATAGGTGTGAGCCACCGCGCCCAGCCGTCATGAACTTTAAGATTAACTAGTTGCAGCAATGGACTGGGCCCCCCTGCAGTGGCACCCCCCACCTCCACCTAGACAGCAGCAGAGGAAGGAGAGGGGTGTCCCGCCCTAAAAGTGTGTCAGCAGCCCCCGCCACCAGGTGATTCCATTCACCTGGGAGAAAACGGAGGCTCCCAGGTGAGTGGAGTCACTTCACTCAACACTTCCTTATTCAGCTCCCAATGCAGTCTGCCCTTCAAGCAAATATTTGGCTCCTGCTGTATGCCAGCCTCTGTATGCCTCACTGAGCACTGAGGATCCAAAGAGAATGAAAGCAGGTCTCTACTTTCAGGGGGCTCCCAGTCCTTTAGAAGGGATGGGCAAGGCCTGGAGCAAAGGTGCTGACCCCATTGGTGGTGGGGCAGAAGAAACCCTGGGGGCTCCCTGGAGCGCTGACAATGGAGATGTTGCTTAAGGGGGAGAAGGAGCTGATCTGGTGGAAAGTGAAGGAAGGGCCTCCGGTAGGAGTCTGGGCAGGCACCTGTATCCATCCCACCTGGTGGCTCGGACCTGGAGGGTCTCTCCTGATCCCCATAGACAGGCCCCCACAGGGACCCAGGACAGGTGTGATTCCCACCTGGTTCCTGATTTCACCTTGAGGCTGGACCCTTCTCCCAGCCAGTAACACTCGCAGCCCCCCAGGGCTGGCTGATGTTCTATGCCTGGGCCCCCTGGGCTCTGCTGTCTGCCCTAGAGCCAGGCTACAGGTGAGTAGAGGGAGAATAGGGCGGGGTCATGATTCCATTCACCTGGGAGAAAAACAGAGGCTTCCAGGCAAAGGGAGTCATGGGAAGCAACCTAGCCAGTTCTGATCCCAAGCTGGGAGGAGAAAGGGAGCGGGTGGAGGTAGGAACCAAGTGAGGGCAGGGCATGACTGAGGGTCGGCCACAGCCCCCACTCCTGGCTGGACTCGCTCTCTGCACCTTCTCCAGCACGTGAACTCCTACCCATCCTTCAAAACTTTCAATCTGGTCACCCAGTGGCCTCGTGACTGAACCTACCCACCCACTGGCGGCGTTGCTGGCCTCCCAGGCGAGTGGACCTGTTTAGGGGGCGCTGCCTGGGCACCAAGGCTGAGGGGTGGGCAGCGGGGGTGGTGGGCTGGGTCAGCCGCAGGTCACCTGGGTCTCCCGGGGCCACCATGCCACACCCTGGTGTGTTGGGGATCCTGATTTCAGCCTCAGCCTGGGCCTGTCCCCTGCACAGCCCAGCTGGATGGAAGGGTGGGGGGAGGGAGAAAGGAAGAAAGGAGATGGGAGCAGAGGGGAGGAGGGGGAAGATGGAGGAGAGGGGAGGGAAGAGGAAGGGGAAGGAGAGGGAGGGAGGAGGGGGAGAAAAGAGGAGGATGGAGGAGGAGTGAGGCTGGTAGAAGGGAGGAGGGAGGGAAGAGAGAGGGAGGACTGAGTAGGAGAATGAGGAAAGCGGAGGAGGGAGGGAGAGGGAGGAGGGGAGAGACAGGAAGGGAGGAAGAGTAGGGAGGAGAAAGGGAGGAGGGTGGAGAGGAGGGGAGAAGGGAGGAGAGCAGGAGGAGGGTAATGGAGGACTTTGGAGGAGGGGAGGGGTGGGAGGAGGGAGAGGGAGGGGGAGGGAAGAGAAATGGGGAGGAGTGGGAGGGAGGAGGAGAGAAAGGGAAGGGGAAGAGAGGAGGAGGAGTGGGGAGAATGGAGAGGAAGGGGAGAGGAGGGAGAAGGGGTGGGAGGAGGAGGGAGAGGGAGGGGAAGAGGAGGAATGGGGAGGAGGGAGAGACACGAGAGAGGAGGTAGAAGGGGAGGGAGGAGGGGGGGAAGAGAGGAGGAGTGGGGAGGAGGGAGAAGGGGAGGGAGAGGGAGGAGAAGAGAGGAGAAGGAATGGAGAGGGAGGGGAAGAGAGGAGGAGGAATAGGGAGAAGGAGGAGGGAGGAGAGGAGGGTAAAGGGAGGAGGGAAGGGGGGAGGAAGGAGAGGGGAGAGGAGGGGTAGGGAGGAGGGAGGAGCGAGAGGGTTGAGGGAGGAGGAGGAAGGAGGAGGGCGGGGCGGGGCGGGGCCGAGCGCGGGGAGGCGGGGCGTGGTGGCCTGGGCTGTGCTCGTCGCCGCGCTCCTGGACCGGGGCCGGGCGGACTCGGGGACCGGCGGAGGACGCCGGGCGCGCCCGGCCCGAGGCTGGGGGAGCGGGGCGCGGGCGCGCAGGGTCAGGCGCGGGGCGGCATGGCGGGCGCGCCGAGGACCCCAGGCCGGGCCGGGCCGAGGGAAGCGGTGGCCGCGGGACGCGGGGAGACGCCGGCGGGGACCTGTCGGAGCCTTTGTCTGCGGCGCGCGCGGCCCCCCCCCCCAACCGCCTGCCCGGGCGCTGCCCCCTCTCCCCAGCCCGCCCCTGTCCCGGGAACCCGAGGCCACCCCGGCCGCGTCCTGAGCGGCCCAGCCCCCCGCGCCCGGCGACAAGCGCCGACCCGGACCCCTGGGCCCTGGCCATGGAGGGGGTCGGCGCCACTGCCTCCCCGAGCACCGCGCGGGGGTCCTCCCGCACGAAGCTCCTCCCCGGACCCCCCCGCGCCACCCCATCGCTCCCCTGCCCCCGCCGGCCCCTTCCTCGTTCTCGGAAAAAGCGGCTGGGAGAGGCGGGGCCTGGGATCCAGGGTCACCTCGGGGCGGCCCAGGGGGTCTGTGCTTTGCCTGGGGGCACAGGTCCGCGAGCCAACTTTGCAGTTGATGAGGCCGGGCAGGCGTCAGAAAGGCGCGGCGACCCGGGCCGGGGAGGGCGGTGGGTCCGGGGACCAGCCTGTGGCCCCTGCATGCATCGGTCCCCGGGGGGCTGCAGGAAGGGGGTGGCTGGAGGGGCTTGAAACCCACCCCCACAGGAGTTGGAGCAGCTTAGACCGCTGGGCTGCGGAAAGGGCAGCAGAGACATCGTTAGCCCCAGTTAACGGGGACCAGAGGTGTACCAGGCATCAACTAACCAGGGCTGGTGACTGAGCCAGGAGTGCGAGCCCAGGCCGGCTTTACAAGTGGAATTCGGTTCCCCTGGTCCTTCCTGGCTGGCCGGAGGAGCGCGGCCCCAGAGTGAGGCGACTGGCTTTGGGGTCCCGACGCCCAGTGCTTCCAGCTGCCCTGGGCCACTTTCAGGACCCCTGTGCACTTCAGGCCCCGTGGAAATGGGAGGAGCCGGAGGGGGTCACTGGGCCAGGCTCCAGTCTGAGCTGCATGACCCCCCTACCCCCGACTTGGCCTCTCTGTGCCTCAGTCGCCCTCCCTGCAAAGTGGTGAGGGGCCTTGGCCAGAAGCAGTGGCTCACTCCGGTAATCTCAGTTCTGGGAGGCCGGGGCTGAGGGATCACCTGAGGCCAGGAGTTCAAGACCAGCTTGGGCAACAGAGCAAGACCCCACCTCTACAAAAATATAAATTAAAAAAATAAATAAATGGGGGAGAGGGGTGGGAGCCCTGCTTTGCCCATAGCAGTGTTAAGTGGCAGCTTGTGCAACTGTTGAATGCCTACTGTGTGCAGCTGAGCCTACCCCACCAGCCACCCACCCAGTCCCTGTTTGTGACTTACTCTCACCTTCTTCTTCCTCTACTGAGTTGTGAGGTGGGGAAACTGAGGCCTGAGGGGTGGCCTCAAGGCCAAAGAAATGACCTGTGTCTTCTCAACGGCCCCCTGGGGCGGGCATCGAGGGGTCACGGCAGCTCAGAGTGGAGGAGCAGGGCCAAGCCTCGTAAACACTGGGGTTATTAAGCCAATGTGCATGTCGTTAAATTTTAACTAACGGGGGACAGGGCAGGAGGCCCTGGGCTGCCTTCCCCGGGGGTTGGGGGGGGGGCAGTAGGCTTGGACGTGGGGGGCCGGGAAGGACAGAGTTGGAGGCCTGTGGCCCAGGAGAGGTGGGGGCGAGCGGCTGCAGCAGGCTCCCCACCCCCTCCACCATGGGGACAGTAGCTGGCCAAGTCGGGCAGTGTGGGTGGCAGCTGCCCACTTTGCCGACTGAGCCAGAGGGGACAGCAGCCGCCTCCTGGCTGGATGCCGAGCACGTCCACCTTCCTGGGTGGCGTGGCCTCCGGGCAAGGCAGAAACCTCGGCTTTCTGGCCAGGAGTGTTTGGGGCACTGCACGTCCAGGGGAGCATCTCGGGGGCTCTTGCTGAACACAGACCAGGCCTTTCTGGGTTCAGATGTCCAGCTGGGCTGGCATCCTGAGCAGGTGGCAGGAGGAGCATTCGGTTGTTGTAGACTGTCACCCTGACACCATCCCCTTCCCTGGCTCTGCAGGCTGAAGAAGGGCCCCGGGTTCTCTAAGCCTTTGCTGACTCTCTGGCACCTCCCAACGACTCTCAAGCTCAGGCTCATGTGTCCACTTCACAGGGGAGACAGGTGTGCGGAGCCCACCCAGGGCCACCCTCCTTCAAGCCCAGCCCAGCTCTGCTCTAAGCCTTGGTCGGCCCCCACCCCCCCCACCCCACCCCCAACCCCTCAGCTCCAGATGTGGCAGGAGGGCCAGGGCTGATGAGGGGCAGTCAGGAGAGCCTTGAGCCTAGAAGGGGAGATACGCCGGGCTTCTCAGCCCCCAGAAGTCCGGGACCGCCTCTCCCCTGGTAGTGGGTACCAATTACCTGGGTTGGCCCCCAGCTGTCAGGGACTGAATCTCCCCAGCCCCCAAGACCTGGAAATGGGAAGGCTCTGGCTTCAAAGCCCCAGTGAGGCCCCAGGCCCCCTTTTAGGCCCCAGTTAAAATTCTGTAGTGAGCTAGAAGAGGGGGACATCGGGTCACAGGGAGGTGCTTGGTAACTGATCATCAAAACCTGCCTAGAGGCTGGGAAGGGAGTAAACTGAGGCAGGGGAGCTGGAGGAAATGAGACCCAGGAGATGGGACAAGAGCAGGCAGAGGTGACATGAGTCAGCCCCAGAGAAAATCAGGATGGGCTGAGGGCAGTGGCTCATGCCTATAATCCCAGCACTTTGGGAGGCCAAGGTGAGAAGATCACTTGAGCCCAGGAGTTCAAGACCACTATGGGCAACACAGTGAGATCCCATCTCTACAAAAAAGAAAAAAATTAGCCGGGCCTGGTGGCACACACCTGTTCCAGCTACTTAAGAGGCTGAGGTGGGAGGATCACTTCAGCCTGAGAGGCAGAGGTTTGCAGTGAGTTGTGATCGCGCCACTGCACTCCAAGCCTTGGCAACAAAGCAAGACTCTATCTCAAAAAAAAAAAAAAAAAAAAATCAAGGTTCCTCTGGGCCTGTGGGACCCCATGGGGTGGGCTTCTTCCAGCCTTTTCCATGGCTCTCCCACATATTGGGGAAACTGAGGCACTACATTCAGCGCTCAGTGCTGTGCTGTCCTCTCTTAGCCTCAAACTCCCTACGGTGAGCACAGATCCTTTCTGCATTCAGATAAATGAATACACATTATTAGAAAAAGAAATCATTGGCTGGACGTGGTGGCTCAGGCCTGTAATCCCAGCACTTTGGGAGGCTGAGGCGGGCAGATCACAAGGTCAAGAGGTCGAGACCATCCTGGCCAACATGGTGAAACCCCATCTCTACTAAAAATACAAAAATTAGCCGGGTGTGGTGGCAGGCACCTGTAGTCCCAGCTACTCAGGAGGCTGAGGCATGAGAGTCGCTGGAACCCGGGAGACGGAGGTTGCAGTGAGCCAAGATTGCGCCACTGCACTCCAGCCTGGCGACAGAGCAAGACTGTCTCAAAAAAAAAAAAAAAAAGAAAAGAAAAATCATTTTAGGGGAAAAAGCTAGCCTGCCCCAGGCACACACAGGGCTGCCCACACAGTGCAAGCGTCTCCGTCACAGATGACTTAGCTCCTTCCTTTCTTTCCGAAGGTCAGGGCTGGCAGATCCAAATTGAAGCAAGAAGCACTAAGGCAAGATCACAGGAAGAACTTCCCGCCATGAGGGTGATTGGCCCCAGGACCAAGGGCCATGGTGGCTCAGAGTGCCACACAGACCTGGGTTGGGGTCTGGGTTCTCCCACTTTCTGCCTGTGAGACCAAGGGTGTTCTCACTTTCCTCAGCTGAAAAATGAGTGATAAAGGCAGCTTCCTCCCAGAGGACACTGCAGCACGGTGCAGGCACGCATGAGGCTCGCTCATGTCACCTGTTATTTCCAACTGCTCCCCAAGTCCTGGCATCACACCGCCAGAGTATTCCTTCACTCCATCTATTTCTCACCGTGCCCGCTGCCACCATGCAGGCCACCTTGGTTGCTTCCTGGGGCAGCAGTCTCTGAGCCATTCTCCTCCCCTCTGACCCCTTCTCCCTAGATAGCAATGAGGATGAGCATCCTGAGACACACCAGGTGAGGGCTGGGCACAGTGGCTCAGTGGCTCACGCCTGTAACCCCTGCATTTTGGGAGGCCGAGGCAGGACTTGGAGTTGGAGACTAGCCTGGGCAATGTAGTGAGACCCCAACTCTACAAAAGAAATTTTTTTAAAATTAGCCAGGCATGGTGGTTCAAACCTGTGGTCCCAGCTACTTGGGAGGCTGAATCAGGAGGATCCCTTGAGCCTAGGAGGTCGAGGCTGAAATGAGTGATGGTTGCACCACCATACTCCAACCTGGGTGACAGAGTGAGACCCTGTCTAAAAAAAAAAAAAAAAGAAAAGACCAGGTGACATTGCTTATCTGCTTAAATTAATGTCCTATGGATGGACAGAAAGGACGGTCCCCCCAGGGGATACAGTCCCAGTCGCATGGCATCAATGTAGTGAAACTGAGGCTCAGAGAGGTTTAGGCCCTTGCCTAAGGTCACACAGCTGGGCTGAAAACCCAGGTCTTTGAACCTCACATCCAGTCCTGTTCAGGCACTTTCCTGGCTCCCTTGCAGTGAGGCATAGCTTGCTTTGGCCAATGAGTGTGACCAAAGTGACATGTGTCACTCCAGATAGAAGCTTTATGGGTCAGTGCATGAGCCATGGGTCCCTCACCCCAGAAGGGTGAAAAGACATGGAGTGTCTTCTCACCCTTCTTCCCTCACCTGCTCTCTCTGCTTTCTCCAAAGCACAGGCTGCCATGGGCTCTGTCGGGAGCCAGTGCCTTGAGGAGCCCAGTGTGGCAGGCACACCAGACCCGGGCATAGTGATGAGCGTCACCTTCGACAGTCACCAGCTGGAGGAGGCGGCGGAGGCGGCTCAGGGCCAGGGCCTTAGGGCCAGGGGCGTCCCAGCTTTCACGGATACCAGTAAGTAGGGGTGCGGGTAAGGTGCAGGTCTTGCCCCAAAGCAGGGTGGGCTGTGTGACCCCCGGTGAAGCCTTGTGGCATCGGGGAGCCATGGGTGGTCATGGAGGACTGGAGGTAGTGCCTGTCAGTGTGGATTAGACCTGCTGCATAACAAACACGCCCACCGTCTCAGTGTCTCCACCCTGATGCTGCGTGTCCCTGCTGGGGGCCCTGCCCACAGCCCCAGGCAGAGGAGGCTGTGTCTTAACATGGGCTTTTGTGCTCACTGGGTGGGTGAAGGGACCCATGGCTCATGCGCTGACCCATAAAGCTTCTTTTTTTTTGAGATGGAGTCTCGCTCTGTTGCCCGGCTGGAATGCAGTGGCGCAATCTCGGCTCACTACAAGCTCCGCCTCCCGGGTTCACACCATTCTCCTGCCTCAGCCTCCTGAGTAGCTGGGACCACAGGTGCCCGCCACCACGCCCAGCTAATTTTTTGTATTTTTAGTAGAGACGGGGTTTCACTGTGGTCTGGATCTCCTGACCTCGTGATCCGCCCGCCTCAGCCTCCCAAAGTGCTAGGATTACATGCTTGAGCCACCACGCCCAGCCGCTGACCCATAAAGCTTCTATCTGGAGTGACACATGTCACTTTGGTCACACTCGTTGGCCAAAGCAAGCTATGCCTCACTGCAGAGGAGCCAGGAAAGTGCCTGAACAGGATTGGATGTGAGGTTCAAAGACCTGGGTTTTCTGCCCAGTTGTGTGACCTTAGGCAAGGGCCTAAACCTCTCTGAGCCTCAGTTTCACTATGTTGAGGAACTGGGCCAACTGACTTTGAGATCAGACTTGCAGAGTGGACGGCCAACAGGCTTGGAGTCTGACAGGCTCGGGTTCAAGCCTGCCTCCCATCCTTTACCCACCAGGAGCCCCTGGTCAAGTCACTGTTCTTCTCTGACCCTCGGTCTCTTCCTTTGGAAGAGGGGGATGATACTGTGTCAATGTGGTTGCATCAGAATCCACAGAATCTTGCTTGGGCCTGTCCCTGGCACTCAGGAGGCACCCTGTAAGCTATAGTTCTTTTTTGGGGGAGCTGTTGTTTATGCTAGTACTTTAGGCTCAGAAACCTGGGCTAAGGCCGGGCACGGTGGCTCATGCCTATAATCCCAGCACTTTGGCAGGCTGAGGCTGGAGGATCGCTTGAGCCCAGCAGTTTGAGGCCAGCCTGAACAACCTGGTAAAATCTCATCTCTACAAAAAATACAAAAATTAGCCGGGCGTGGTGGCACACACCTGTAATCCCAGCTACTTTGGAGGCTGAGGCAGGAGAATCACTTGAGCCCAGGAGGGGGTGGTTGTAGTAAGCCAAGATCATGCCACTGCACTCCAGCCTGAGCAACAGCGAGACTCCATCTGAAAAAAAAAAAAAAAAGAAAAAAGCAATTGGCTGACTAAAGTGGGAGCTAGTTAAGCCAGGCAGGCAGTCAGGAAGGTCTTGGACAGTCTGGAACCCAGGGGCAGGAGCTTCTTGGAGTCTCTGAGCTCCAGGAAGGCTTCAAGTTCTCACCTGATTAGGTCAGACCCACCTGGGTCATTTCCCTTTTGATGAACTTAAAGTTAATGGAGAAGGGACTTTAATTGCAAAACGTCTTCACAGCAGCACCAGGGCTAGGGTTTGAACTGGGGACTGTACTTCAGCCTGTCAGGGTGACCATAAACAGACCATCACGGTCCCCCACTTGCCGATGTGGCTCCCATAGACATCTCCCTAAACCATGCCTCCTCTCCAGATAAAGGCAGTGACAAGGTCATACCGCCACTGAGCATGATACAAGAACCCTGTACAACCCCAGACATGCTGACCCCTTCCCCAGAAGGACAGGCAAAGGGTGTTCACTCTTCTTCCATATCCTATAATTTTATTTTTTATTTTTTTGAAAATAGAGTCTCGTGCTCTTGCCCAGGCTGGAGTGCAGTGGCGCAACCTTGGCTCACTGCAACCTCCACCTCCTGGGGTCAAATGATTCTCCTGCCTCAGCCTCCTGAGTAGCTGGGAATATAGGCGTGCACCACCATGCCCAGCTAATTTTTTTTTTTTTTTTTGAGACGGAGTCTCGCTCTGTCGCCCAGGTCGGAGTGCAGTGGTGCGATCTTGGCTCACTGCAAGCTCCGCCTCCTGGGTTCACGCCATTCTCCTGCCTCAGCCTCCTGAGTAGCTGGGACTACAGGCGCCCGCCACCATGCCCAGCTAATTTTTATTTTTTATTTATTTATTTTTTTTTGTATTTTTAGTAGAGATAGGGTTTCACCATGTTAGCCAGGATGGTCTCGATCTCCTGACCTCGCGATCCGCCTGTCTTGGCCTCCCAAAGTGCTGGGATTACAGGCGTGAGCCACCGCGCCTGGCCATTTTTTGTATTTTAGTAGAGATGGGGTTTCACTATGTTGGCCAGGCTGGTCTCGAACTCCTGAGTTCAGGTGATCTGCCCGCCTTGGCCTCCCAAAGTGCTGGGATTACAGGCATGAGCTGATTTCCTGTCCATCAAGCTGGTAGCTTCAGTGGCTGTGAGGGCGTGGGTGTGGTGGCCATAGCCACAGCATTTGGTGGCTTTGATAATGGCCAGATGACAGAGGTATCTGGAACAGAGGGGAGCAGGGGTCACAGCGATGGACAGTGGCCATGGTGATGGCGGCCGGGGTGGTGGACATCGCCCTGTGAGGTGGCCGTAGCCATGCATGGAGCGTGCCCTGTCTCACCTGGCGTCTCTTGCTTTAGCATTGGAGGAGCCAGTGCCCAATGACCGCTATCACGCCATCTACTTTGCGATGCTGCTGTCTGGCGTGGGCTTCCTGCTGCCATACAACAGCTTCATCACGGACGTGGACTACCTGCATCACAAGTACCCAGGTGGGTCCCTCCACGGTCATGCCCAGCCACTCAGCATACTCATCATGGCCTGGGGCCTCCCAGAAACCCCCGGCGGGGAGGGTCCTACCCAGAGACCTGTTTTATTCAGATCTCAGCTCCACTGTGAGCTGCTGAGTGACCTCAGGGCAGCCACTCACCCTCTGTGGGCAGCGAGCCCCTTCTGGGAGGTCGCACCCGGCAGGAGTTAGTGCAGAGGGTGGAGCCTCCCTGAGCACCCGCTGTCTCTGGTCCTCTGCAGGGACTTCCATTGTGTTTGACATGAGCCTCACCTACATCTTGGTGGCGCTGGCAGCCGTGCTCCTGAACAACGTCCTGGTGGAGAGACTGACCCTGCACACCAGGATCACCGCAAGTGCGCTGGGCCCTCCCATGGGACACCTGCCTGTCATGGCTCCCACCTGCCTGGCCGGTCACCCACTCACCCAGTTTCCCTGAGCCTCACTCCCCTCGTCTGTAAAATGGGCACACTTCCTAGGGCTGCCCTGGGGTCTGGTCTAAGACACCGTGGTGGGGCCTCTGTACCCCACGTCATGTCCCTGGGCCCTGCCCAAGCTCTTCCCCACACCCAGTGTGTTCTTCCTTTCCCATTCCTCTGCACGGCAACATCCAGCTTCGAGGCCTGGCTCAAATGGTGCCTCCTACAGGAAGCCCTCCAGGTGCCCGTTAGACTTGTAAAGCATCCCTGGCCCTCCTTAAAGGGCAAGGGCAGAGAAAGCCTCAGACCGACTCTGCAGGAGGGGCGAGGAGGAGGGGGACCCCACCCAGTTGGCTCCACCACTCCCCTCACTGGCCTCTCCCCCAACAGGCTACCTCTTAGCCTTGGGCCCTCTCCTTTTTATCAGCATCTGTGACGTGTGGCTGCAGCTCTTCTCTCGGGACCAGGCCTACGCCATCAACCTGGCTGCTGTGGGCACCGTGGCCTTCGGCTGCACAGGTAGGAACTGGGGCCCAAGGGGGAGGCCCTGAGTGCCCACTTCCGACCCCATCCCACCCCAGCCCTTGTCTCCTGCTGGTGGCATGTGACATGACAGGAGCTGGGCTGGCTGAGTGCCAGGTGTGTGTCCACCTGCATGCCAGCGTGCACACCTGCACACCGGCTCACACCCACACGAGCCTGTGTATGCAGTGTATGCACAGCGTGTAGCCACAGAGACTCTGAGGCAGACCCTGGTTTCCCTGGTATAAACAGGGCTTCAAAGACTGTTCTGCCTTTGTCACCATGTCACTGTTTATCTTGGGCAATGGCTTTCATCTGACTTTGTCAGCCAGGCTAGAGTGCAGTGGCATGATCATAGCTCACTGCAGCCTCAACCTCCTGGACTCAAGCCATCCTCCCCCCTCAGCCTCCTGAGTAGCTAGGACCACAGGCACATGCCACCAAGCCTGGCTAATTTTAAAAATTGTTTGTAGAGACAAACAATGTTGCCCAGGCTAGTCTTGAACTCTTAGCCCCAAGCAATCCTCCCACCTCGGTCTTCCAACGTGCTGGTATTACAGGCATGAGCCATCGTGCCTGGCCTTTCAAACTTTTTTTGAAAACTACTTTTTATTTTGCAAAAATTTCAAACCTACAGAAAGCTTGCAAGAATGATACAGTGAAGTCCCATACGAGCACTCTCTCCCCCTCTCCCTCCACCCCTGTCTCTCTGTACTTAAATTTCTCCCTAAGTATATATAAATATGAAATACATATTTCCCTTGCACCATTTGAGAGTTAGTTGTAGATGTCATCACCTTTCTTGCCTAATTACTAATACTTCAGAGTGTATTTTCTACCAGCCAAGACGTTTCTTTCCTTTTTTTTTTTTCTTGAGACAGTCTCACTCTGTTGCCCAGGCTGGAGTGCAGTGGCGCCATCTCAACTCACTGCAACCTCCGCCTCCTGGGTTCAAGCGATTCTCCTGTCTCAGCCTCCCAAGTAACTGGGATTACAGGCACCTGCCACCATGCCAGGCTAATTTTTGTATTTTTAGTAGAGATGGGGTTTCACCATGTTCCTCAGGCTGGTTACGAACTCCTGACCTCAGGCGATCAGCCCACCTCAGCCTCCCAAAGTGCTGGGATTACAGGCATGAGCCACCGCGCCCGGCCCCGATAACGTTCTTTATAGCATTTTTTTTTTCCTGACCCAACATCCTCTCTAGATTCATACCTTTCCTTTAATCCAGGATGGTCCTTCACCCACCCCTGTGTTTCATGGCAGTGACATTTTGCAAGGGTCCAGGCCAGGCTTTGTAGACTTTCTTTTTTTTCTTTTATCTTTTTTTTTTTTTTTGAGATGGAGTCTTTCTCTGTCACCCAGGCTGGAGTGCAATGGCACGATCTCGGCTCACTGCAACCTCCGTCTCCCAGGTTCAAGGGATTCTCCTGCCTCAGCCTCCCGAGTAGCTGGGACTACAGGCGCCCGCCACCACACCTGGCTAATTTTTGTATTTTTAGTAGAGATGGGGTTTCACCATATTGTCCAGGCTGGTCTCAAACTCCTGACCTTGTGATTTGCCTGCCTCAGCCTCCCAAAGTGCTAGGATTACAGGCGTGAGCCACTGTGCCTAGCCAGCTTGGTAGACTGTCAAACTCTTTTTGACCATGACTTCCAGGAAGAAAGAAATACATTTTATATTATAGCCCTGTAAACACGTGTGTGTATTTATAAATGACATCAAGCCTTCGTGATACTCCCAATACTACTGTTCTGTTTTGTTAAAAAACAAAAAAATGCTGTGACTAGATTTTATTTTTTTAGAGGCAGGGTCTCACTCTGTCGCCCAGGCTGGAGTGCAGTGGTGGGAACATGGTTCACTGCAGCCTCAACCTCCTGGGCTCAAGGGAGAGCCCAGGTCCCCCACGTAGCTGGGATTACATGCACAGGCCACTGCACCCAGCTAATTTTTAAAAAATTTTTGTTTCCATGCATGGTGGCTCATGCTTGTAATCCCAGCATTTTGGGAGGCTGAGGCAGACAGATCACAAGGTCAGGAGTTCGAGACCAATCTGGCCAACATAGTGAAACCCCGTCTGTACTAAAAAGACAAAAAATTAGCTGGGTATGGTGGTGTGCACCTGTAACCCCAGTTACTTGGGAGGCTGAGGCAGGAGAATCACATGAACCCAGGAGGCAGAGGTTGCAGTGAGCTGAGATCGCACCACTGCACTCCAGCCCAGACGACAGTGCGAGGCTCTATCTGGAAAAAAAAAAATCGTAAAGACAAGATCTCACTTTGTAGCCCAGGATGGTCTTGAACTCCTAGACTCAAGTGATCCTCCCTTCTTAGCCTCCCAAAGCACTGGGATTACAGGCGTGAGCCACCATGCCCAGCCTTGACCAGAAGATTTTAATTAGACAAAGACTGCCCCTGAGGCTACTTTCAGGCATGGATTTGCTAGACTCCAAGGTAGGGGCCTGTGCACTTTTATTTTCCCTAGATCCTGATGGATTTCTGGCTGTATTAGTTAGGATGAGAGGGGTTATTGCTGTATAACAAATTAGCCCAGAAATCTCAGTGGCTCCGTAGAACAAGCCTGACTTCTCGCTTTTGCTGCCTGTCCTCTCTGGAGGGTGAAGGGTGTTATGCTCCACACGGTCTCTCAGGGCCTCAGGCAGACAGTCCTCTCCCCACTCGGTAACACATGGCCTCTCCTGTCCCTGCCCATGGGAGAAAGAAGGGTTGAAAGTCCATGCAGACTTTTCACTGCCTTGCCCAGAAGTGACATGTCATTTCTGCAGACGTTTCATTTGCAAGAGCTTGTCCAGAGCTTGTCAATGACCCTGGCTGACCCCAAGGGCACACAGGCTGGTGTTCCTACTGCTCTGTGTCAAATCTCTCTGCCATTAATGATGTTAATGGCTGTTGACGCACCCTCGTCCACCAACACAGTTGTCTCAAGCTAGTGCATTTCACCCAAGTTGACAGGTGATAATGGTGCCTCTGGGTTTTTCCTCTCTCTCACTCCAAAACCCTCAAAGCTTGAGGGTTCTACATTTTTTTTTGAGATGAAGTCTCGCTGTGTCACCCAGGCTGGAGTGTGATGGCATGATCTCAGCTCACTGCAACCTCCACCTCCCAGGTTCAAGTGATTCTCCTGCCTCAGCCTCCCAAGTAGCTGGGGTTATAGGTGCCCTCCACCACGCTTGGCTAATTTTTGTATTTTTAGTAGATGGAGTTTCACCATGTTGGCCAGGCTCATCTCGAACTCCTGACCTCAAGTGATCCACCCGCCTCCGCCTCCCAAAGTGCTGGGATTACAGGCATGAGCCACCACTCCCGGCCCCACTTAGCAAAGTTTCTAAGTAAGGAAAACTAGAGAATCCGCGAAGAAGCCACTGCCTTCAAGGAAGGGTGTGGGATCCATAGAGTAGAAATGTGGCAGGGGATAGTATGAGATTAAAAGCCAAGATGATAAAAATAGCAACAAGCATTTCTATTCTCCTTGACTTTAAAAAACCCTTCCAAGTACATCTGCCATTCTGGCTGTTAACATCTATCTGAAAGGCTGTCTTGGGGAAGAAAGGTTAGCGTCTTCTCTCTGCCCACAGTGCAAAACCAGAATGAGCAGGTAAATGCTCCAGCACGGCAGATCATGGCTTAGACAGCAGGGAAGCCTGCCTGCAACAGGGCTGTTCAGAGGAAAAAGGTGCCGGCTGCCTTGCTCACCCCTGCTTCACTTGTTCCTTCACTCTGTCAGTAAAGTCATTTAAGGAGGTTAAGATGTGCTAGGCAGTGTTCTATCCCATCCTATGGGAGACAGAGATTCCTTCTGCTGCTCCCAAAAAGCTTAAGATGGGCCAATGCTTCCCTCCCCTACCTCCCTCAGGTAAATCCTGGTGGGGGTGTGCGGCAGGCTTCCTAGGGGATAAATGCCTACCTGAGATTTTTATATCACCATTGTTGTGAGTAGATAATATACGTGTACAATAAAAAAAATTGTAAATGTATAAAAACGTTCACATTCAGCAAGATTGGACAATGCAAGATCAATATATGGGTGTACCTTGAAGATAATGCAGGTTTGCTTCCAGACCACCATAAGCAAGTAAAAACGGACCAGGTGCGGTGGCTCACACTTGTAATCCCACCACTTTGGGAGGCTGAGGAAGGTGGATCACCTGAGGTCAGGAGTTTGAGACTAGCCTGGCCACCATCGTGAAACCCTGTCTACTAAAAAAAAAAAAAAAAAAAAAAAGCCGGGTATGGTGACACATACTTGTAATCCCAGCTACTCAGAAGGCTGAGGCATGAGAATCGCCTGAACCTGGGAGATGGAGGTTGCAGTGAGCCGAGGTTGCAGTGAGCCAAGATTGCACCACTGTACTCTAGCCTGAGTGACGGAGTGAGACTATTTCAAAAATAGAAAAAAAAAAAGGCAAATATGACAAAAAAAAAGCAAATATTGCAATGAATCAAGTCACATAATTTTTTTGGTTTTCCAGTGAATATAAAAGTTATGTTTATATCATAGTCTATTAAGTATGCAACAGCTGTATGTCTCAAAAATGTACATATCTTAATTAAAAATACTTTATTGCCAAAATGTGCTAACAATTATCTGAGCCTTCAGGGAGTTGTAATCTTTTTGCTGGTGGAGAGTCTTACTTCGATGTTGATGGCTGCTAGACTGATCAGGGTTGTGGTTACTGAAGGTTGGGGTGACTGTGGCAATTTCTTAAAATATGACAACAATGAAATTGTCTACATTAATTGACTCTTCCTTTAACAAAAGATTTCTCTGTATCATAAAATGCTGCTTGATAGCTTTTTACCCACAGTAGAACTTCTTTAAAAATGGGAGTCAATCCTCTCAAACCCTGCCACTGCTTTATCAGTTTGTGGAATATTCTAAATCCTTTGTTGTCATTTCAACAACATTCACAGCATCTTCACCAAGAGTAGTTTCCATCTCAACAAAGCACTTTTTTTGCTCATGATAAGAAGCAACCCCTCATCCATTCAAGTTTGAACATGAGGTTGCAGCAATTCAGTCACATCTTCAGGCTCCAATTCGAATTCTAGTTCTCTTGCTATCTCCACCACATCTGCAGTTCGTTCCTCCACTGAAGTCTTGAACCCCTCAAACTCATCCATGAGGGTTGGAATCCATTTCTTCCAAACTCCTGTTCATGATGCTATTTTCACCTCCTCCCATGAATCACAAATGTTCTTTATGGAATCGAAAATGGTGAATCCTTTCCAGAAGGAAAGGATTTCTATTTACTTTGCCTAGATCTATCAGAGGAATTACCATTTACAGCAGCTATAGCCGTATAAAATGTATTTTTTTTTTTTTTTAGATGAAGTCTCACCCTGTTGCCCAGGCTGGAATGTGATGGCGCAATCTCTGCTCACTGCAAGCTCCACCTCCTGGGTTCACGCCATTCTCCTGCCTCAGCCTCCTGAATAGCTGGGGCTACAGGCACCTGTCACCATGCCCGGCTAATTTTTTTTATATTTTCAGTAGAGATGGGGTTTCACTGGGTTAGCCAGGTTGGTCTGGATCTCCTGACCTCGTGATTCGCCCACCTTGGCCTCTCAAAGTGCTGGGATTACAGGCGTGAGCCACCATACCCGGCCCAAAATGTATTTCTTAAATAATAAGACTTGAATGTCAAAATTACTCCTTGATCCATGGGCTGTAGAATGCATGTTGTATTAGCAGGCATGAAAACAGTATTCATCTCCTTGTACATCTCCATCAGAGCTTTTGTTGACCAGGTGCACTGTCAATGAGCAGTCATATTTTGAAAAGAACCTTTTTTACGCCAGGCGCAGTGGCTCATGCCTGTAATCCCAGCACTTTGGGAGGCTGAGGTGGATGAATCACGAGGTCAGGAGTTTGAGACTAGTCTGGCCAACATAGCAAAAACCCGTCTTTACTAAAAATACAAAAATTAGCTGGGCATGGTGGTGGGAGCCTGTAATCCCAGCTACTCAGGAGGCTGAGGCAGGAGAATCATATGAACCTGGGAGGCGGAAGTTGCAGTGAGCCGAGATTGTGCCATTGCACTCCAGCCTGGGTGACAAGAGCAAGACTCCGTCTCATAAAAATAAAAAAAATTTAAAGAACTTTTTTTCTTCTGGGCAGTAGGTCTCAATAGTAATATTCAATAAACCATGCTGTAAAGAGATGCTGTGATCCAGGCTTTATTATTCCATTTCTAGAGCACAGGCAGAGTAGGTGTAGCTTAATTCTGAAGGGCCCTAGGATTTTTCAGAATGGTAAATGAGCAATGGCTTCAACTCCAAGTCGCCAGCTGCATTATGCCTTAACAATAACGAGAGTCAGCGTGCATTTGGAAGCTTCGAAGACAGACACTGACTTCTCTTTAGCTATCCAAGTCCTAGATTGTATCTTCTTCCAAGAGAAGGCTGTTTGCCTACACTGAAAATCTGTTGTGTAGTGCCATCACCTTCATTGATTGTCTTAGCTAGATCTTCTGGATAACTTGCTGCAGCTTCCAACAAAGCATTTGCTGCTTCACCTTGCACTTTTGTGTTATGGAGATGAATTCTTTCCTTAAACATCATGAACCAACCTCCGCTAGCTTCCAACTTTTCTTCTGTAGCTTCCCCACCTCCCTAAGCCTTCATAGAATTGAAGAGAGTCAGGGCCTTGGCTTGAGAGGATTAAGCCCCAATTAAGAGAATTAGGCTTTGGCTTAAGAAAATGTTGTCGCTGGTTTGATCTGCTATCCAGACCATCGAAACTTTCTCCCTATCAGAAATAAGGCTTTTTTAAAATCACTCATGTGTTCACTGGAGCAGCACTTTTCATTTCCTTCGTGAACTTGTCCTTTCCATTCACAACTTGGCTAACTGGTGCAAAAAAGTCTAGCTTTTAACCTATCTCAGCTTTTAACGTGCCTTCCTCGCTGAGCTTAATCATTTCTAGCTTTTGACTTAAAGTGAGAGACATGTGACTGTTCCTTTCACTTGATTACTTAAACAGGCCATTGTAGGATTATTAATTCACCTAATTTCAGTATTGCTGTGTCTCAAGAAATAGGGAAACCCAAAGACAGGAAGAGATGGGAAACAGCTGTTTGGTGGAGTAGTCAGAACACACACAATATTTATCAATTAAGTCGGCCATCTTATATGGGTCATAGTTTGTGGTGTCCCCAAACAATGGCAATAGTAACATCAAAGCTCCCTGACTGCACATCAACATATCAGACATAATAATAGTGAAAAATTAGAAATGTTGTGGGAATTACCAACATATGACAAAGAGACATGAAGTGAGCACCTGCAGTTGGAAAAATGTTGCTGACACACTTGTTTGACTCAAGGTTGCCATAAACTTCAATTTGTGAAAAAGCACAATATCTGTAAAGCATAATAAAGTAAAGCTCAATGCAACAAAGTATCCCTGTATAAAAATCAGTTGTCTTTCTATATGTTTGCAATAAATGATCTGAAAGTGAAAGTAAAAAAAATCCATTTATAGTAGCATCAAAAAGAGAATAAAATGCTTAGGAATAAATTTCGCAAAAGAAACACAAAACTTGTGCCTAAAAACCATAAAACACTGCTGAAAGACACTAAACTAAACGGAAGGATGCCCAATGTTCATGGAGTGGACGACTTAATATTTTTAAGATGGCAGTAGTCACAAAGTGGATTTACACATTCAAGGTAACGCCTATCAAAATTCCAGCTCTTTCTTTTTTTTTGAGACAGGGTCTCACTCTGTCACCCAGGCTGGAGTGTAATGTCACAACCTCGGCTCACTGCAACCTCCAATTCCCAGGCTCAACTGATCCTCCTGTCACAGCCTCCTGAGTGATGGAGACTACAGGAATGCACCACCATGCTTGGCTAATCTTTAAATTTTTTCTTGTAGAGATGAGGTCTCATTATGTTGCCCAGGCTGTTCTCAAATTATTAGGCTCAAGTGATCCTCCCACCTTGGCCTCCCAAAGTGTTAGAATTACAGGCAAGAGCCACTGTGCCTAGACCCAGCAGGCTTCTTTGCAGAAATTGACAAGTTGATTCTAAGATTCATATGAAAATGCAAGTGACCCCAAATAACCAAAATAATTTTGAAAAAGAAAAACAAGGTTGGAGGAGTCTCACTTCCCAATTTCAAAACTAAATACAAAGCTACATTGACCAGAACTGGTAGTGGCATAAGGATAAACATACAGATCACTACAGCCTAGAAAGGAACCCTCATATTATGATCAACTGATTTTTGACAAGAGTGACAAGACAAATCAATGGCAAAATAACAGTGTTTCAACAAATGGTACTGAGACGATCGGATATCCACATGCAAAAGAGCAAAGTTTGATCCCTACCTCACCATATGCAAAAATTAACTGAAAATAAATCAAAGACCAAAATGTAAAAGCTAAAACTATAAAACCTCTTAAAAGAAAACATAGGGGTAAACCTTTATGACCTTGGATTAGGGAATGGTTTCTTAGGTATGATGCCAAAAGCACAAATAACAAAAGAAAAATCAATAAATTGGATTTCATCAAATGTAAAACTTCTGTGCCTCTAAAGACATTACCAAGAAAGTGAAAAGAGGCTGGGCACAATGGCTCATGCCTGTAATCCCAGCACTTTGGTAGGCTGAGGTGGGTGGATCACCTGAGGTCAGGAGTTCGGGACCAGCCTGGCCAATATGGCGAAACCCTGTCTCTACTAAAAATATAAAAACTAGCTGGGTGTGGTGGCACACACAACTGTGATCCCAGCTACTCAGGAGTCTGAGGCAGAAGAATGGCTTGAACCTGGGAGGCAGAGGTTTCAGTGAGCTGAGATCACGCCACTGCACCCCACCCTGGGCAACAGGGTAAGACTCTGTCTCAAAAAAAAAAAAAAAGTGAAAAGACAACCTGCAGAATGGAAGTTTTGTTAAGGTACTCCAGAACATATAAAGCCCTCTTAAAACTCATTAAATGAAAAGACAATTAGCCAGGCACAGAAAGACAAACAGCTCATGTTCTCATGTATATGTGGGATATAAACATAAAAGCAATTTAACTCTTGGACATAGATAGTAGAAGGATGGTTGCCAGAGTCCTGGAGGGGTAGTGGGGCTGGAAACGGTATGGTTAATGGGTACCAAAAAAACCAGGAGGAATGAATTAAGACCTATTATATGATAGCACAACAGGGATGCGTACAGTCAATAACTTAATTGTTCATTTAAAAGTAATTAAAGAAGTATAATCGGATTGTTTGTAACACAAATGATAAATGCTTTAGGTGATGGATACCCCATTTTCCATAATGAGATTATTACACATAACATGCCTGTATCAAAACATCTCATGTGCCCCACTCCATAAATACATACATACATACATATATATATGTGTGTGTATATATATATCCCCACAAAAATTAAAAATAAAAAATTTAACAAAAGTAACTGAATTAGAATATGGGCAAAGGATCTGAATAGATATTTCTCCAAAGATACAAATTGCCAATAGGCACATAAAAGATGCTCAATGCCAATACTTATTAGAGAAATGCAAATCAAAACCACAATGAGATACCACCACAACACATCCACTGGGATGACTATCATCAAAAAGATAAATAATGGGGCCGGGCGCAGTTGCTCATACCTGTAATCCCAGCACTTTGGGGGGCTGAGGCAGGCAGATCACATGAGGTCAGGAGTTTGAGACCAGCCTGGCCAACATGGTGAAACCTCGTCTCCACTAAACATACAAAAAAATTAGCCGGGTGTGGTGGCACATGCCTGTAGTCCCAGCTACTCAGGAGACTGAGGCAGGAGAATCGCTTGAACCTGGGAGGTGGAGGTTGCAGTGAGCCAAGATCATGCCACTGCACTCCAGCCTGGGCAACAGAGCAAGACCCTGTCTCAAAAAAAAAAATGATGCTAAGTGTTAGAAAGGATGCAGCCACTTTGGAAAAGAGTTTGGCCACTCCTCAAAATGTTAAAAATAGAGTTACCCTATTAACCAGCAATTCTACTTCTAGGTACATAGGCAAGAATAAAAATGTTTAGCTGCACAAAAACTTGTATATGAATGTTCATAGAAGCATTATTCACAATAGCCAAAAAGAGGGGAAAAAAAACTCCAAATGGCCATCAGCTGATAATTGGATAAATAAAATATGGGACATCCATACAATGGAATATTATTCGGCCATAAAAAGAACGAAAGCAAGTACTGGTATATGCTAGAGCACAGATGAATATCAAAACATGGTTAAGTAAAAGAAGCCAGGAACAAAAAACTAATATTTTATTTGATTTCATTGATATGAAATGTTAAGAATGGCCAAATCTATAGAGACAGAAGGGGGAATCATGGTTGCCAAGGGTTGGGGTTGGGATGAATGAGGAGTGACTGCTAACAGGTAAGAGGTTTCTTTTTCTTTTCTTTTCTTTTTTTTTTTTTTTGAGACAGTCTTGTTGCCCTGTCACCCAGGCTAGAGTGCAGTGCAACAATCTCAGCTCACTGCAACCTCCACCTCCCGGGTTCAAGCGATTCTCTTGCCTCAGCCTCCCGAGTAGCTGGGATTACAGGCGCCCACCACCGTGCCTGGCTAGTTTTTGTATTTTTAGTAGAGACAGGGTTTCACTAGCTTAGCTAGGCTGGTCTGGAACTCCTGACCTCGTGATCCACCTGCCTCAGCCTCCCAAACTGCTGGTATTACAGGCATGAGCCACTGCGCTTGGCTGCTTTCTTTTTTTTTTTTTTTTTAGATGGAGTCTTGCTGTGTTGCCCAGGCTGGAGTGCAGTGGCATGATCTTGGCTCAGTGCAACCTCTGCTTCCTGGGTTCAAGTGATTCTCCTGCCTTGGCCTCCCGAGTAGCTGGGATAACAGGTGCCCACCACTATGCTCAGCTAATTTTTTTGTACTTTTTTTTTTTAGTAGAGATGGGGTTTCGCCATGTTGGTCAGGCTGTTATTGAACTCCTGACCTCAAGTGATCTCCCCACTTCGGCCTCCCAAAGGGTTGGGATTACAAGCATGAGCCACCATGCCCAGCCAGTATGAGGTTTCTTTCTGAGCTGATGAAAATATTCTGGAATTAGGGTATTGGCTGCACGACTTGGTGAATACACTAATAGTCATTTAACTGTTAAAAGAAAAGCAAAAACAAAGTTGATAGTGAAAAGTAGGTCTTTCTCCCGTCCACATCCACCTGTCATCCAGCTGCCTAGCCTGGAGGTAAAGATGGCCTTGGGCATCCTCCCAGAGATATTAATGCATTTACAAGCATCTATAGACATGCACTGCTTTCATTTTTTTTTTTTTTTTTTTTTTTTTTAGTCTTGCACTGTCACCTGGACTTGAGTGCAGTCGTGCAATCTTGGCTCACTGCAACCTTTGCCTCCCAGATTCAAATGATTCTCCTGCCTCTGATTCTCGTACCCTGAGTAGCTGGGACTACAGGGGCCTGCCACCATGCCCGGCTAATTTTCTGTATTTTAGTAAAGACGGGGTTTCCCCATGTTGGCCAGCCTTGTCTCAAACTCCTGAGCTCAGGTAATACGCCCGCCTCTGTTGGGGTGATCAGACCCAACACCAGGTCGTGGGGGCGACGAAGTCCAGTGGAGTCATAGGTATGAGAAAAAGACAGTTTGAGAGAGAAAGTGGGACCAGGGGGCCATCACGAGTGTGGAGGCTGCAAAGGCCCTGAGCTCTGGGAGCCCATGCTATTTATTGGTGCTCAAACAAACAAACAGGTGGTGAGGATGTGGGGATTGAAAGGAAACAGTGTATCAAATGAATAAGAAACATATGGCTGCTTGAGATAACATGAGTGCTAGAAGCAAGGAGCCAGCAAGTCTAGCAGACATGCAAGCCTCAGCTTCTCTCCCAACACTCAGCTTTTCTCCCAACACACCTCAGCCTCTCAAAGCGCTGGGATTACAGGCATGAGCCACCATGCCTGGCCCCATTTTTTTTTTTTTCAAATACAAATGATAGGCTATTACAGACTGCATCCTGTGTTTTGCAAACTTATGGCAAGTTTTAAAGAAGACAAAGATCATCTTTATTCGTGGTGGGAGGGACAGGGCTTCAGTGGGGAAAAGAGGGCTATTTAAAGACACAGAGACATGTTCAAACAGAGTGGCCTGTTCAGAGAAGGGCAGGAACCTGCCATGCCTTGGAGCAGAGGAGGTGACTGGGGAGATGTGAGGTGAGGAGGCAGGCAGGGGCCAGCCTGTGGAGGGAGGTGCAGGGGACCACATCTGAGGGTGGCAGCTTGATGCTGAAGGAGAGTCCCTGAGGATGTCAACTGAGGAGGGGCATGAAGTGATCACTTAGGACTAGATGGCAACTGGTGGTAGACAGACCAGTCCAGGAAAGGGAGGAGGCTGATTCCAGCGAGGTTAGGGAAATAGAATTCACAGGGTCATAGCGGACTGTGGTGGCATGCACCTGTAGTCCCAGCTACTCGGGAGATTGAGGTGGGAAGATCAGTTGAACCCAGGAGTTCGAGGCTGCAATGAGCTATGATGGAACCAATGCACTCCAGCCTGGGCAGCAGAGCAAGAGCCCAACACAATAATAATAGTAAATAAGAAGAAGAAGAAGGAGAAGAAGAAGTCACAGGATCTAATACTGAGCATGGCTTCTCCCAGAGTTCTGGCCAGGGTGACTTAGGGGCTGGTTACCGCTCCTGAAATGGGGCATGCAGAGGTGCCCGTGTTTACATGAGAAGTGAAGATTATTAGGTGCCCAAAGGGAGGCCTGACGTTGGATGACAGGCCCAGGCCAGAGGCAAAAATTTGGAACTGCCAGCCCCAAATGGCCTAGATGAGGTTACTCTGGAGTGTGGATGGGACAGGGATACAGGGAGAGCCCCAGAAGGTTAAATCCTCGAAGAGTACAGCTATTGAAGTGGTTAAAGGACCTGGAGGGTTCTATGATCAATAACTAGCTACCAGCTCCTATCCAGCACTGCTTTTATACCATCATCTTTAAACATGTGCTTGTCTCTGCTCTGCAAGAGAGATTTCCTGTTATATGGATGGGATAGAGAAGTGGACACGTGATATTCAAAGTCACGGCTGGCAAATGATGATGTCAGAATTCAAATCCAGATCTGACTCCAAGATTGGCGATTTGTCGGTTTGGTTTTCTCTGCTCCTCTAAGCAGGAACCCAAGAGAAAATTCGGGAGACTGTGAAAAGAAAAGCAGTGTCTATACTCTGGGAGTCTGCTCCTATACCCATGGGGTGTCCTGGTCCACAGTGGCGGCTCCTCAGTAGGGATGGCAGGAATGCTCCCAGCCAGACTTCTGAGCCCTCCTTGTACCTGCACTGGGACAAGACTGTGTTCTTAGAGCGATGGCCCTTATCTGCTGATGTGTGCTCTGTGAGGTTGCCTGGTCCCACATCTCAGGGCCAGACTTGCTCTCCTAAGTCCTCAATTACCAAGGGGCTCCCCGAAAAGCAAAGCTGTTTCCCAGGGTAGGACTGCAGTCATTCCTCCCACAGCCCTAGGTTCTCTCCCTTCCTATGTACCCATGGATAATTTCATGGGTTTCTCTTTTTCTTTCCTTTTTTTTTCCTTTGGTAGAGATGAGGTCTTACTATGTTGCCCTGGCTGGACTCAAACTCCTGGGCTCAAGTGATCCTCCTGCCTCTGCCTCTCCAAGTGCTGGGATTACAGGTGTGAGCTACCGCACCCAGCTGGTTTCTCTTTTCTTGTTATGCTGGAAGACAGTGTAATGTCACAGGGTTCCCCTCTTCTCCTACTTCTAAAGCAATTCCAAGACACTTTTCAGGCTTTACAGAATAAGCATGGGGTTTGGAGTTCGACATCAGAGTCCAAGTTTCCACTCAATGCTGACAAGCTCCAAGGAAGTTACTTGATCTTTCTGGGCCAATTTACTCCTCTCCACTCTGGGCTGAGCTGCTGTGCAGATGAAATGAGATAATGTAAGTGAAGTTTCTGGCATGCAGCTGGAGCTGAGGGATGTTCTTCTTCTTGTCCTCCTTCATCTGCTCAAAGGGCTGCGCCAAGAGTCTGCTGTGTTTCAGGAAATTTCTCTGAGTGAGTCTCTATTTCTTACTAGCAGTGAACCACAGCAGGCCTTTCCCAGCTCCTGCCCCCAGTACTGTTCCCTCTAGGTCCTTGTAGGTGGTCCAGGAAAGGAGGCAGGGGACAAGGCCAAAGAACAGCAGCAAAGCAGGGAGAGGCCTATTCCGTCCCCCAGTGAGGAGAGATCTCGGTGACCTCCGGCCCACCTGGCTGGAACTTAGAAGGCTCAGGAAATTTATACTTAGAGGGGAACAGGTGAAACAGACATGGAGCTCAGGTTTGTTTGTTTGTTTGTTTTGTTTTTGAGACAGAGTCTCGCTCTGTCACCCAGGCTGAAACAGTCAACATTAGTGATTTTATGCCAAATTCCTTTTATTTATTTATTTTTGAGATGGAGTCTCACTCTGTTGCCCAGGCTGGAGTGCAGTAGTGCAATCTCAGTTCACTGCAACCTCTGCCTTCTGGATTCAAGTGATTCCCCTGCCTCAGCCTCCTGAGTAGCTGGGATGACAGGCATGTCCCACCATGCCCAGCTAATTTTTGTATTTTTAGTAGAGATGGGGTTTCACCATGTTGGCCAGGCTGGTCTCAAACTCCTGACCTCAGGTAATTTGCCTGCCTTGGCCTCCCAAATTGCTGGGATTACAGGCATAAGCCGTCGTGCCCAACTGATTTTTTTTATTTGATTAATAGTGGTCATGTGCCCTTGTGTGCATGTATGTGTGTATGTGTATGTGAGAGAGTGGAAGGAATATTAGACAGAGTTCAAACACCTGGGTTCTATTACTACCACCCCTTCCAACGGAGTGACCCTGTTCAGTCTATTTCTGATCTCTCAGGGCTGTCCATGAGGCTTTTCTGTGCAGGGGACTGGACAAGCATGTGACCCCATCAGGCTAGGGACAGTTGTTGGAGGTGGTGGGAATACAGTGGCATGAGGGTGGCATATGCCTGGGCATAACAAGGTTCAAGGGAGCCAAAGATTTCAGGACAGGACCAGAAGAGGGTGGAGGGGAGGAGAGGCCGGAGCCTGGAGCTGGGAGCCCCTGCCTTGCCCCTTGGACTCTCTGCAACCCCTCTTGTTGGTAACTGAGAATGGCGATGATGCCCCCAGCACAGGGTGGTGAGGAAGAGTGAGTGAGATCATTGAAATGGTGCTTTGTGGATGTAAAATTCTGTGTAAAATATTATTAGCAAAGGGAGCTGTGACACCATTGGAAGAAAACTTGGGGAGGGACGAGACGTGGAATAGTCCACATCCAGCAACAAACTCCTCAGGGCTCTCAGCTGTTATCAAACTGCATCCTATGCTCCCTCCTCAGAACCACACACAGGAACGTGGGCTTCTTTCGGCCATCTGGTCCTTGGTGTCAGTTTCACTTAAGGAATGACTGTATTAAATTGATGGAACTTTAGTAAACTTAATTAACATCCACCATGCACCCTTCCTTGGCAGCCTGAACCCCAGGTCCAGAGCCCCATGTTCAGGAGCCATGCAGGCAGCTGGGTCCCTGGAGCAGGTCCCCCGGCAGAGATGCCAAATGACAGCTGGGAAGGCCCACCTTGCCTGAGTTCGAGCTGTAAACATCCAAGAAATCTACCAGCGGTTACTGAGAGGATGTTAAAAATAATTATCCACTGAAAATATTAGATTTGCTCTGGATTGTTCATTACATACAATGGCTTCATAGAACTTTTATCGAATTGTAATCGCTCCAGCTTGCCATTGTTTTCAAAGCTCCTAGTATATCACAAACATTTATTTCTGACCACAAAATTACATTTATTCAACAGAAAGCAGCTCTGGGTCTTTCAGAGGTTAACTTCTGGAGTGCTTGGCTGCGCTCCAGCCCGCATTGGAGGGGGCGCACGGGTGCAGTGGCACCAGGCAGTGGTGGCAGCACCGGGTGGGCAGCCATGATTAATAGAGTGCTGAGGGCACCCCTTTCCACAGGTGCATGGCTCCTGCCCCTGCTTCCATAGATCATGGACTTAGCCTCAACATATCTGACTGAAATTGAATTTGGCTTCTCTCTCAGCTGTTCAGTTCCTATATTATACAAGGTTAGATCCCTTTCTCTATGAGCAGAAGAACCAAACCATCTGCAGCTTCGGAGGAGAAAATGTGCTTTCAATTATGCACCTGGCCTGAATGTTGAGCCGCAGCTCGATGGGTCCCTAATTGAGCCATCATGGTGCGAACATACAGGGAGACACTGTGTGCATCAGGCCTGTGGGTTTTGCCCTAAGATAATGACAGTACAGCAGCCACATCACCACGGTGACCACCACAGCTGCCACCACTGTCACCTCCACCACCGCAGAAGGCCCAAGAGCCTGCAGACATACATGCTGGGTGAGAAGGAAGTTACCCAGCAAGGGTCCAGGGCAGCAGGCTGTGTTAGGGTCCCTGGAAAGCCTCCCTGTATCCTCCAGCCAGAATGCATCATCCTGTCCCCAGAGTGCCTGGCCTGCTCCACAGTCACCTGTCTGGCCCCAAACCCAAAGAAGACCCAGACAACCTCTCCCTACTCCCAGCAGGACACTGGCCTATTTTGCTTGTGGGCATCTAGAAACCAAACTAACCGAACTAGTTGCTCACACGCAGCACTCAATAAGTATTCATTTACAAGGAGAAGGAAAGAGGCAGGGGGAAGTTCAGCTAAGAATGTTTTACATAACCAGTTCCATAAGGCAAAGAATAGATAAAGCATCTAAGACGAGATACAGGCCCTCAAAGTGTGTGCAATCTCATAGAAGAGTGGGCTGGAAAGAGGGGAAAAGATAACAATGCAATAACAAGAAAACAAGCACCCTGATTAGAAAATGGGCTAAGGTGGCCAGGTGTGGTGGCTCACACCTGTAATCCCAGCACTTTGGGAGGCCAAGGAAGGTGGCTCACTTGAGGTCAGGAGTTCGAGACCAGCCTGGCCAACCTGGTGAAACCCCGTCTCTACTAAAAATACAAAAATTAGCCTGGTGTGGTGGCACACACCTGTAATCCCAGCTACTTGGGAGGCTGAGGTAGGAGAATCACTAAAACCCGGGAGGTGGAGGTTGCAGTGAGCCAAGATTGCGCCACTGCACCTCATCTCTCCAGCCTGGGCAACAGAGCAAGACTCCATCTCAAAAAACAAAAAAGAAAAAAAAAAGGAAAATGGATTTCAAAAGGATTTCAAAAGAAGACATATAATGCTTGGCACAGTGGCTCACACCTGTAATCTCAAAAATTTGGGGAGGCCTAGACAGGAGGATCACTTGAGGCCAGGAGTTCAAGGCTACAGTGAGCCATGATCACCCCACTGCCACCACTGTCACCTCCACCACCACAGAAGGCCCAAGAACCTGCAGACAGACATGCTGGGTGAGAAGGAAGTTCCCCAGCAAGGGTGGCTTACACCTGTAATCTCAAAAACTTGGGGAGGCTGAGACGGGAGGATCACTTGAGGCCAGGATCAAGGCTACAGTGAGCCATGATCACTCCACTGCACTCCAGCCTGCACAGCAGAGCGAGACCCTGTCTCTCTCTAAAAAAAAAAAAAAAAAAAAAAGACACGCAACACACAAACAGCCAACGGATATATGAAAAGCTGCTCAACATCATTAATCATCTGGGAAATTCTACCCAAAACCATGATGAGCTATCACCTGATACCTGTTAGAAGGGCTATTACCAAAAAGACACATGAGTACTAGTGAGATGTGGAGAAAAGGGCACCCTTGCACATTGTTGGGGGGAAGGTAAATTGGTACAGCCATTATGGGAAACAGTACGGAGGTTCCCCCCAAAATTAAAACGATCCAGCAATACCACAAAGGGACTTAAATCAGTATCATGAAGAGTTATCTGCACACCCACGTACATTGCGGCACTATTTACAATAGCCAGATATGGAAACAGCCTAAGCGTCCAGCAACAAATAAACGGGTAATGAAACTGATTTTATATACACACGGTCATTCCTTGGTACACTTGGGGGATTGGTGCTAGCACCCCCTGCATATACCAAAATCTGCACATACTCCAGGTCCCCCAGTAAAGGGTAAATGTTTTACTTATACAATAAAAGTAAGTTTGGGGTACCTAAGGTACAGCATGGTGACTATAGTTAATAATCTTGTGATCATATATATGACATTTGCTAAGGCAGTAGATCTCAAGTGTTCTCAACACACATACACACACACACACACACACACACAGACATGCAGTGACTGTGAGCTAATAGGTATGTTGTCAGTCTGATTGTGGAAATCACTTCATAATGCATGCATGTATCAAAACATCGCATTGGGCTGGGTGTGGTGGCTCACAACTGTAATCCCAGCAGTTTGGGAAGCCGAGGTGGGAAGATCGCTTGAGGTCAGGAGTTCAAGACCAGCCTGGCCAACATGGCAAAACCTCGTCTCTACTAAAAATACAAAACTTAGCCAGGCGTGTTGGCATGCACCCATAGTCCCTGCTAATCAGGAGGCTGAGGCTTGAACATGGCAGGTGGAGGTTGCAGTGAGCTGAGATTGTGCTGCTAGAGTTCAAGACCAGCCTGGGCAATGTAGCCAGACTTTGGCATTACTAAAATTAAAAAAATATAAAATTAGCTGGGCCAGGTGCCTATAGTCCCAACTACTTGGGAGGCTGAAGCAGGAAGATCACTTTAGCCCGGGAGGTCGAGGCTGCAATGAACCCTGATTGTGCCACTGCACTCTAGCCTGGGTGACAGAGGGAGATCCTGTATCAAAAAATAAAAACCCAAAACCATCACATTATGCACCATAAATATGTACAACTTTTCTTTTTAAATGATACTTTAATAAAGCTGAGGATAAAAAAAGAGGGAAAAAGTTAGAAATAGGTTGAGATGGTCAGGAAAATGGTCAAAGGAGACAGACTTTCGGTTCAGCTCTAAAGGATGGAAATGAGTTTTATAGGTAGGGAACAGCAAAAGGCTCTTAACAATAACAGAGGCTTCAGGAAATCAAAAAGTATGTTCAGGTGACTCATAATACACAGGCCAGTTCAGCCAGAGTAGAAGCCCAGGAATTTGAAGCTGGAAAAATATTTCAAAGGCAAGTCATGGAGCTCCTAACATACCAATCTAAGAAGCTTGAGTGGGCAGAACTAGTCACAGAACTTGATACCAGCAGAAAGAGCTCTTTCAGGGAACCAAGCCCAGTGGTTCCTATAACTAGCAGTGCATGAGCATCAGAGGTGGGCTTTGAAGAAGTACAGGTTCTAAGATTCCACCCCAGGCCTTCTACACCAGAATGTCAGGGTAGGAGCTGTATTTCTGGAAACACGTGAGCAATTTTCATAGGGCCAGTGCAGCACTGGTCTGATGCAGCAGCAGCTTTGGGAGCCACTGATCTAGTCCAACATTCTCTAATCCTATTTCACCCATGACACTTAATGCAGTACTAGCTAAGTACTGTCAAGATGGGGATGGAAATAGGTGCAAAGACACATACACACACACTCACACACACATTCACACACACACTCACACACACACACACATACCCTCCCTTCTACATGTTAGAAGCATAAGGCCTTGGTAAGTAACTATAGGGGCAGAATGTCTTCAGGCTCAAAACCAAAAGGGAGAGGGAGTGCTGAATCCTAACCACTAGGCAGATCACTTGAGATCAGGAGTTTGAGACCAGCCTGGCCAACATGGTGAAACCCTGTCTCTACTAAAAATACAAAAAATTAGCCAGGCGTGGTGGTGTGCACCTGTAGTCCCAGCTACTTGAGAGGCTGAGGCAGGAGAATTGCTTGAACTCAGGGGCTGGAGGTTTCAGTAAGCCGAGATCATGCCACTGCCACTGTACTCCAGCCTGAGTGACAGAATGAGACTCTGTCTAAAAAAAAAAAAAAAAAAAATTAAAAGGGAGGTATAAATGAAGCTGTCTCAGAGATCAGAAGAGGAAGAATCTGTTTCTGGCTATTTTGGGAAGACTTGGAGGATCTGGCATTTACAAGGATGGATAAGGCAGGGCATGGTGGCTCACACTTGTAATCCCAGCACTTCAGGAGGCCAAGGCAGGTGGATCACTTGAGGCCAGGAGTTCAAGACCAGCCTGAACAACATGGTGAAACCCCATCTCTACTAAAAATACAAAATTAGCCGGATGTGGTGGCACACACCTGAAATCCCAGCTACTTGGGAGGCTAAGGCAGGAGAATCACTTGAACCCAGGAAGCAGAAGTTGCAGTGAGCTGAGACTGCACCACTGCACTCCAGCCTGGGTGACAGAGAGAGAGAGACTCTGTCTCAAAAAAAAAAAAAAAATAGATAAGAGGTGACAATCTCCCTGGCAGGTGGTCATCCAAGCGATTCTCCTGTTTCAGCCTCCCAGGTAGCTGGGACTACAGGCACCCACCACCACACTTGGCTAATTTTTTTTTTTTTTGTATTTTTAGTAGAGACGGGGTTTTACTATGTTGACCAGGCTGGTCTTGAACTCCTGACCTTGTGACCCACCCACCTCAGCCTCCCAAAGTGCTGGGATTACAGGCATGAGCTACCGCGCCTGGTCAGCTTACCCTATTTTTGAACATATCTACATTGCTGGAAAACATCCTCTTTGGTTCTGCTGGCGATAGTCAACCAAAGTACTGCTCCAGTGAGTCTCATGAGGTTTCAGAGCTATGGAGCTCCTTGGGGGAGGATCTGGGTAACCCACTTGTTTTACAGATGAGAAAATTCTGGCAGAAAGAGGCCCCAAGACTCACCCAAGGTCACAGAGATGGTGGGCAGCAGCGCCTGGACCAGCTTCCTGTGAAATGCTCTTTGGAGTGAACCACATGGACACCTTGGCTTTATTCAGCAATATGCTTTAAATCTGAATGCGTAAATATGTTACTGCTCAGCAGATATGGGCTGCAAGATGGGAAGCAGACTTGTAGTTACTTTTAACTCAGTCATACACTGTTGTAGTTCACCCAACTTTCTCTATTTCCCCTATTATTTGATTAGACTCTGTCGAATCATCCTGCCAGTGCCCATGGGGTATTTGCTTTCTACTGTACCTGTTTGAAAGGGTCTAGTTCAAAGGGGAGACCAAAGGGTCTCCTTCAAAGAGACCTAAGGGTTCTGCCTACAAGGCCCTGTCATGACCCGGGCCTACTAACTTCCTTGGTATTGCTCCCTGACAGGCAAGCCCATCCCTGCAGAGCCCTGGCACTCGCTGCCCCCATCTTCCTGACGCTCTTGCCCAGCTCTGAGTGTGGTTGGTTCTCCTTGCTTCTTCCCTCTGATGTTCTGTTGTTCTCCCTGGAGAGGCCTCCCTGGATGACTGAAGAAGCCGCTACCATTTCTTCCCACTCTACCCCGAGACCTAGCATGTCTCCCTCACAGCACCTGGCACCATCTAACATTGCCTTTTGTGTTTATCATCAGTTTTCCTTCATTAGAATAGCAGGGTCCTATTCGATTGTATTCAACGTGACATCTTTAGCTACTGTTTGGCCCATAGCTGGAAGAAGGAGGCTCCCGAAAAGTTTGTGTTGAATGAAGACCAGAGAATAAAACCTAGCCTCTGAGAGCACGTCCTGCATGCAGCTCTGAATGTGGCCCAGCACACTGCATGTAAGGGAGACATTCAGCACAAAGGGAAATTTCAGATCATTCCTTGGTCCCTCCCTCAGGCCATGCCAGCGGGTGATACTGTGATGAAATTCACAGTTAACCTGGGTCCCACTCCTTCCAACGATGCAGATCTTGGTTGTAGCAAAATGCATGGACACAGTTATGGATGTCCACATGAGACAATGCACCAAGCTCCAGAATTTATCTAGGAGGGGCTGGTTAGAAGGGAAGTGGGCTCCAGGGAGGGTTTGCAGAGCACTGTGCACAAGATGAACATCAATCTTTTTTTTTTTTTTAATAGAGACAGGGTCTCACTCTGTTGCCCAGGCTGGAGTGCAATAGTGTGATCATAGCTCACTGTAGCCTCAACCCCCTGGGCTCAAATGATCTTCCCACCTCAGCCTCCCAAGCAGCTGGGACTACAGGTGTGTGATACCACGCTTGGCTAATTTTTGCATTTTTTGGTAGAGACGGGGTTTCACTATGTTGCCCAGGCTGGTCTGGAGGTCCTGGGCTCAAGTGATCCACCTGCCTCAGCCTCTCAAATTGCCAATCAAAGACTGGAGAGGTTGGCTGAGATCAGGGAGGGGCTGAAGGCATTGCTTCCTCCCCACTCAAGCAGTATCAGAGCACATCAACGTTAGCAATTCTGGGATGCCAGATGGCCCCAGAATCGAGGCCCACTCCTGCCATTATGACCTGTGTGACTTGGGGTCCTCTCTCAGGCTTAGTCCTTTTATCTGTAAGATGAGGATGATGCTTCCATCCACCCACCCAATAAACACTTATTTAATGCTTATGAGGGAGAGGCACTGGGTATACAGAGCTCATAACATTCAGTAAATAAATCCATATGCTTTTCTGTTATTAATCTTTTGTTACAACAAAGTGTTATCATCATATTCTTTCTTCTGTTGATGGCTGCCTGGGTTGTCTTCATATGTTAACTATTTTCAAAATTTCTCAACTGGTTTTCCAGGGCAAACCAGTTTAAGTTTATTTATCTCTTTAATTTTCTTTTGAAATAGGATCTGGCTCTGTCCCTCAGGCTGGGGTGCAGTGGTGCCATCAAAGCTAACTGCATTAGCCTCCAACTCCCAGGCTCAAGTGATCCTCCTGCCTCAGCCTCCCGAGTAGCTGGGACTACAGGTATGTGCCACCAAGCTTGGGTAACTTTTAATTTTTTTTGTACAGATGGAGGTCTCACTATGTTGCTCAGCTGGTCTTGAACTTCTGGGCTCAAGCGCTGTCCCCACCTCTGCCTCCCAAAGTACTAGGATTACAGGCATGAGCCACCATGCCCCGCATGCTTAAGTTTCTTTAGTGTATATATTTAAGAGTGAAATTGCCGCTTCAGGGTACAGGTGAGTCTTTAACTTTATCATCAGATGCAAAATTGGCTTTCAAAAAGGTTAAATCGACTTACGCTCCTATCATTTTTTTTTTTTTTTGAGACGGAGTCTCGCTTTGTCGCCCAGGCTGGAGTGCAGTGGCATGATCTCAGCTCACTGCAAGTTCTCCCTCCCGGGTTCATGCCATTCTCCTGCCTCAGCCTCCCGAGTAGCTGGGACTACAGGCCCCCACCACCACGCCTGGCTAATTTTTTTTTTTTTTAATGTTTAGTAGAGATGGGGTTTCACTGTGTTAGCCAGGATGGTCTCAATCTCCTGACCTGGTGATCCACCCACCTCGGCCTCCCAAAGTGCTAGGATTACAGGCGTGAGCCACCACGCCTGGCCTACACTCCTGTCTTGACTTTTTAATTTTAGTGAACTTGGTAGGGAGGAATCACTTGCAAATTAGTTATTTTAATCTGCATATCCCTGGCTATTATGGAGCCTAAACGTCTTTTCATATAGCTACTGACCATTCCGATGTTCTCTTCTGACAATTATGCTCATGACTTGTACTCATTTTTTTATTGTTTTGTTTCCCCCATTGATATGCGAGCATTTTGAATATCTTGTGAACATTAATTGTTAATTACAGGTGTGACAACTACCTCCTCCAGATTTGTAAATCATGGCCAAGGTACAACTGTGGAATGCACAGCCCTAGAGGGCACCCTTCACATCCTGGATGTTTGAATCTTTATCACGGCAAACATGGAGGTAAGTATGAATCTTTATTATGGCAAGTTTCCAACAGGTGATGTGAAATGTCTTGAAAAAGGCAGACCTTTTTTCTACTTCACATGAATATACCATGGAGTTAGCAGTGCACTGTCTTGTCTTTCCACATTTTTTTTTTGAGATAGAGTCTCACTCTGTTGCCCAGGCTGGAGTGCAGTGCCATGATCTCGGCTCACTGCAGCCTCCATCTCCCAGGTTCTAGCGATTCTAATGCCTCAGCCTCCTGAGTAGCTGAGAATACAGGCATGTGCCACCGCGCCCAGCTAAATGTTGTATTTTCAATAGAGACAGGGTTTCACCATGTTGCCCAGGCTGGTCTCAAACTCCTGACCTCAAGTGATCTGCCCACCTCAGTCTCCCAAAGTGCTGAGACTACAGACGTGAGCCACCACACCCAGCCATCTTTCCACTTTCTTTAGGGTATCTTTCCATGAAAAAAAAGGCTCCTACTTTAAAATTTTAATGTAGTTCACTGCAACAATCTCTTCTTTTATGGTTTTCTGTTTAAAAAATTCTACCCAGCCCAGGGCCGGGTGCTGTGGCTCACACTTGTAATCCCAGCACTTTGGGAGGCCAAGGCGGGTGGATCACTTGAGGTCAGGAGTTCGAGACCAGCCTGATCAACATGGAGAAACCCCATCTCTACTAAAAATACAAAATTAGCTGGGTGTGGTGGCACATGCCTGTAATCCCAGCTACTTGGGAGGCTGAGGCAGGAGAATCATTTGAACCCAGGAGGCGGAGGTTGCAGTGAGCTGAGATCATGCCGTTGCACTCCAGCCTGGGCAACAAGAGCAAAACTCCATCTCAAAAAAAAAAACAATTAAAAAATAAATAAAAGAAATTCTACCCAGCCAAAAGTCATCATCTTTTATATTTTCTTCTAAAAAGTTTAAAGCTTTGTCCTAAGACTTTCCTTGTAATTTGTGTTTCCACACAGTGTAAGGTAGGGCTCCAACTCTAGTTAATTGTTTTTCTGTCTGTTTGCTTGAGACAGGATCTTGCTCTGTCAGCCAGGCTGTAGTGCAGTGGCACGTGATCACAGCTCACTGCAGCCTCCAGCTCGTGGGCTCAAGCAATCATCCCACCTCAGCCTCCCGAGTGGCTGGGACTACAGGCATGTGCCATCACACCCAGCTAATTTTTGTAATTTTTTATACAGACAGTGTTTCGCCATGTTGCCCAGGTTAGTCTCTAACTCATGAGCTCAAGGAAACTGCCTGCTTCAGCCTTCCAAAGTGCTGGGATTACAGATAGGAGCCAATGTACCTGGCCTTAACTTCATTTAATCTATAAGGATTTGACAATTGTCAGGGGACCATGAAAAGTGCCCTCTTTCATCACTGATCCATACAATCTTTGCAATATATTCAGCTTCTATATATATGCATAGGTCAGATACTGGTTTCTTTTCTTTTTCTTTTTTTTTTGGAGACAGAGCCTCACTCTGTGACCCAGGCTGGACTGAAGTGGTGCGATCTTGGCTCACTGAAACTTCTGCTTCCTGGGTTCAAGCAATTCTCCTGCCTCAGCCTCCCAAGTACCTGGGACTACAGGAGCAAGTGACTGCATCAGGCTAATTTTTGTATTTTTAGTAGAGATGAAGTTTCACCATATTGATCAGGTTGGTATGGAACTCCTGACCTCAAGTGATCCTCCTGCCTTGGCCTCCTGGGATTACAGGTATGAGCCATCATGCTCTGCCAGATTCTGATTTTTTTTATTATGTTCCTTTGGTGTATTTATCTCACTTTGTGCCAACTACTGTAGCTTTAATAATCTGGTAGGGCAATTCCTCCAACTTGTACTGGTTCAATATTATCTTCACTTTTTTGTTTGTTTGTTTGTTTTGCTGGCTATCTCCAGTAGTATCCTTTTTAAAAATTACATTCTAAGTTTGCTGCTGATACAGAGGTATATAATTACTTTTGTATATTGATTTTGTATCTAGTAAACTGGTTAAATAATTGAGGCTCACTTGAAAAATGACAGTTTGATTTCTTCTGTTGCTGGGACTACAGGCAGGAGCCATCATACCAGCCTACTGTACTTTTATAAAGCTGATGCTTAGTTCATAGATTGCTAGTCTTTCATTTCTTCTCTGAGTACTCATGTTATTTCTTAAGAGGATTTTCTTCTCTGAGGACACTTTCTCCCCTACTACCAAGAGGTTCTCTGAGCCAGCTCCTCATCCCCTCAACCTTCCACACCATGACCCTTCTTAGGGAGAGAAGTAAGGATTGGCCAAACAAGGTAGAAAGACAGCATTTTCCTAGAGGGTGTGTGTATTACTTTGCTGAATGGATTGTCTAAATTATTGTTGGACTAGAATAAGCTTTAAATTGGACTGAATATTAAGGGTACACCTCCTCCACACCACCCGTCAATTTGTTGGGCTTGTGAAACACCCAAAATTAGGTATCAAAATCAATCAACTGATCATAAATAGCTCTAATTTCTGTGTGAGTTTCATTTTATGATTTTGTTATAATAATTATAAGTAATCATTAAATTATAATATCTCAAATTTTGTTTATTTATTTATTTATGTATTTAGGTGGAGTCTCACTCTGTCACCCAGGCTGGAGTGCAGTGGTGTGATCTCAGCTCACTGCAAACTCTACCTCCCGAGTTCAAGTGATTCTCATGCCTCAGCCTCCCGAGTAGCTGGGATTGCAGGCACACACCACCATGCCCAGCTAATTTTTGTATGTTTAGTAGAGACGGGGTTTCACCATGTTGGCCAGGCTGGTCTTGAACCTCTTGACCTCAGGTGATCCACCCACCTTGGCCTCCCAGAGTGCTGGGATTACAGGCTTGAGCCTGAGACGGGGTCTCACTATATTGGCCAGGCTGGTCTCTATCTCCTGGGGTCAAGCGATCCTCCTGCCTTGTCTTCCAAAGTGCTGGGATTACAGGCATGATCACCTTTTTAATAGCAACACATCATAATAAGAGGATGGAAGTAAAATATTTGAAAAACCACTTCCAGGCCAGGCATGATGACTTGAGCCTGGGATGTTGAGACAAGCCTAGGCAACATATTGAAACTGTGTCTCTACCAAAAATAAAAACAAATTAGCGGGAGGTGGTGGTGCACACATATAGTCCCAGCTATGGGGGGGGTGGGGGGGCGGCACTGGGGAGTGCTAAGTCAAGAGGATTGCTGAGCCCAGGAAGTGGAGGCTGCAGCGAGCCATGATGGCACCATTGCACTGCAGCCTGGGTTACGGAGTGAGACCCTGTCTCAAAAAAAAAAAAACAAAACTTTTTAAAATAGAAAATCATAAAACAGATGATGAATTGATAGACAGATCTATAGATAGACAGATTTCCAAATGTAATATGTGAACCTGATTGGACCCCAGTTGCAGGGAGGGCCGTTATAAAAGACATCTTAGGGATAATTGGAAAAATTTGATTTTAGATCAAATAGGAGATGACCTGGAATTACTGTGAATTTTCCCAGGTTTGATATTTGTGATTATTGAGGTAATGTCAGAGAATGTTAATGTTTCCTTAACTTTGGGAGCCTTCCATGTGCATTTGAGGGGCACAGTGCATGCTTCTGCAACTTACTTCCAAATGTTCTGCAAAAGTGGTGGGTGGGAAGGGGAGGGGGTAAGGTACATGGGGTAAATGTTAAGGACTGTGGATCTGAGTAAAGAGCATACAGGATGGCCGGGCACGGTGGCTCACAGCTGTAATCCCAGCACTTTGGGACAGATCACTTGAGGTCAGGAGTTAGAGACCAGCCTGACCAATATGATGAAACCCTGTCTCTACTAAAAATACAAAAATCAGCTGGACGTGGTGGCGCATGCCTGTAATCCCAGCTACTTGGGAGGCTGAGGCAGGAAAATCACTTGAACCCGGGTGGCGGAGGTTGCAGTGAGCTGATATCGCACCATTGCACTCCAGCCTGGGCAACAAGAGCAAAACTTTGTCTCAAAAAAAAAAAAAAAGCGTACGTGTGTTCACTGCACTAATCTTTCCATTTTTATACAGCTTTGAAATTTTTCAATAAGAAAGAAAAGCAAACACCCCAAAACCACACTGAACTCTTTGAGCTAGAGAACTAGGAAGCCAGTGGGTCTCTCAAAATCTACGGAATAGGTAACAGAACAGGTAAGAACAAATATGGGTAGGTGTCAGGTAACAGTTTCACTCATCAAGTGCCAGCTTGGAGATGAAGTTCGAGATAAAGACTGTTCAAGTCCATCCAAGCCCTGGGATGTGGGTGTCCTGCTGGCCGGACCAAGCTACCTGCATGGGGGCTGAATGAGGCAGGAAGAAGATCATAAGAGAGGAGCACTGTTCTACCCTCTAAAATTTCCAGCCATCACCAACCACTGTGTCTTCTTTCTAGGCTGGTCCCTTTTGAGGTCCTGAAATTGCCTCTCTGTCTCTGGCTACAATATCCCCAGCCTCCTTCATTTACTCACTCCCTGCTCTCGCTCCCAGCTGAAGAATTTCCCACATGGAAGCCCGACTGCTTGCCCTGGAGCTCTGGGCCCAGGAACCCAGCCTTCCATATAAGGCCCACATCACCTGTGTCCCAAAGGGAACCTATTATATCTTGCCACAGTATCTCTCTTGCCCCTTCCCCTATTTGTTCCCTGTGACTTAGTAGTTGCAAGAAAATAAAATCCCTGCCAGGCACGGTGGCTCACATCTGTAATCCCAGCACTTTGGGAGGCCAAGTCGGGAGGATCACCTGAGGTCAGGAGGTTGAGACCAGCCTGGCCAACATGGTGAAACCCCGTTTCTACTAAAAATACAGAGATTAGCTGGGCATGATGGTGTGCACCTGTAATCTCACATACTCGGGAGGCTGAGACAGGAAAATTACTTGAACCCAGAAGGTGGAAGTTGCAGTGAGCCAAGATCACGCCACTGCACTGCCGCCTGGGCGACAATGCAAGACTCTGTCTCAAAAAAAAAAAATCCTAAAACTGTACCAATATGGGGCTCTTTCAGGGGCTTTGGAAATGTCTCCTTTCCTTTTCTTATCAGCTTGGTATGATTCCCCATTCTGTTTTTCCAACGGAGAAGGTAAAGAGGTGAGATTCAGTAAATCCTCAACAGTATAATTTCTGGTTTACTAAACATCACTCAATCTTTACGCAAAGGGCTGGCAAGAAGTGTCACCCACATGGAGCCCAGTCTCCTCTGTGGCTGCTGTTCCCACTAACAGGTAGCCAGGGCAGATATCCCAGGTGATTTGGCACCCACGTGCCATCTGCCAGATGGCTCCGTCCTTCTCTGGAAGGATCTGTTAGAAACCGCTTCCTTTTACCGAGCTCAGACTTCCTCCTTGTGGTTTCTGCCTGATGCTCTGGGTTTCAAGCCTGCGATCAAGTGGCATCCCTGTGCCCCCGCCAGCCTCTCACCAAAGCACCACACTTACAGCACACACTCATGGCAGTGGCAGCCCCAGACCAGCTCAGGGAACAAGGCAACTTCCTGGAGGGGACGTAAGGGCTCCTAAAGGCTGTGGCACAAACTACCTGCCCATTGCCACCACATGGGGTGCTTCTGCTTGGAATCCACCCACCTCTGTATATTCTGAGCATAGGTTCCTTTTCCAGGAGGGCTTTCACCAAGGACCCAATGGAAAATCACATCACAGAGCACAAAATCTGCACCATGCTAGGTTGGAGCAGCCGGGAAAGCACCATCCGGGCAGGGCAGCACCTTTTGCCTGGAGCATTTCTTTAACATGAATGAAAAGATGGATTAGCCACAAAGGGTGGCTCAGGATAGAAAATGAATAGAAAAGCTTACCTCCATGGAAGCTCTTCAGCAGCGGTGCTACCTGCTTGCGCAAATCCTGGAGCAGGAGGCGGAGGTCAGGAAGCAGCCATTTGAGAAGGAGAAAGAAGGGAAACATTGGTTAAGACCTCCTAAAAACAGCGTGGCAGTCAGTGCTGATTATCATTATCTAAAGCAAGCCTGGGACCTTGCCTGTTCCTGCACTCCTAAAACATAGATAACGCCAACTGGCGCTCCAGGATTTAAACTTATTTAAGAATACGAGGTGGTTCTTTTTTGTTGTTGTTGTTGTTATTGTTTGAGACAGAGTCTCACTCTGTCGACCAGGCTGGACTGCAGTGGCACATTCCCGGCTCACTGCAATCTCTGCCTCCTGGGCTAGAGTCTTCCTCCCGCCTCAGCCTCCCAAGTAGCTGAGACTACAGGCATATGCCACCATGCCTGGCTAACTTTTGCATTTTTTTGTAGAGATGGGGTTTCATCATGTCATCCAGGCGAGGGTCAAACTCCTGGGCTTAAGAGATCTGCCCACCTTAGCATCCCAAAGTTCTGGGATTACAGGCATGAGCCACCCCACCCAGCCTACAAGGACGTTTTATTTCTACTAACTCCTGGTCACATATATCTCATTTTGAACATGCTACAGACTAAAGCTTTTGCTGATGTCAGTCTAAGTGAGAAAATTAATTTGCTTAGAATAAAATAGACAGGAATGGGGGTTTGACTGCTGTTTCTATCTGAAATGGACCTGGACCACTGTGCTGCATTTTAGCTGCCTTATTTTATTTATTTATTTATTTTTTGAGACAGAGTCTCGCTGTGTTGCCCAAGCTGGAGTGCAATGGCGCAATCAGAGCTAACTGCAACCTCTGCCTCCCGGGTTCGAGTGATTCTCTCACCTCAGATTCCTGAGTAGCTGGGACTACAGGCGCCCGCCACCAAGCCCGGCTAATATTTGTATTTGTAGTAGAGATGGGGTTTCGCCATGTTGGCCAGGCTGGTCTCGAACTCCTGACCTCAGGTGATCTGCCTGCCTTGGTCTCCCAAAGCGTTGGGATTGCAGGTATGAGCCACCACAGCTGGCCCTAGCTGCCATTTTAATGCACTGTTAGTGGGACATACAGCCTGTTTTGAATCCACGTCTGACAGAGTCACAATAAATTTTATCCCAAGCCACCAGTGCCCATTTTGAAACACCAGGACATCCCATAGGTGCTTGCGTATGATCTCATTCAGAGCATTTTATTTAAAATGAAGTAACTGAGAAAGTGCTTCAAATATTTTGAAAAGACTCAACTAAGATAATATCTTATTTACTGAAAATTTAGGCATTGAAACTGTATTTTGTTTTGTTTTTTTAAGACGGAGTCTCGCTCTGTTGCCCAGACGGGAGTGCGGTGGTGCAATCTTGGTGCATTGCAACCTCCACCTCCTGAGTTCAAGTGATTCTCCTGCCTCAGCCTCCTGAGTAGCTGGGACTACAGGTGCCCACCACCATGCCCAGCTAATTTTTGTATTTTTAGTAGAGGCGGGGTTTTGCAAGGCTGGTCTCAAACTCCTGACCACAGGTAACCTGCCCAATTCAGCCTCCTAAAGTGTTGGAATTACTGACATGAGCCACCACACTGGGCCTACATTGTGGTTCATGAAGCCTTCTGAGAATCTTGAGGAAAGCTACTGACCTTGCCCTCAGAAATAAAACTCTGCAAATTATTTTATCAGAGCCTTCCTAAGTACGACTTATCTCAAGAACCCAGGTGAAGAAGTCTTCTTATTCTATATCAACACATATAGCCATATGTGCTTATTTATATTTAAATACAACTTAGTTAAAATTAAGTAAATTTGGAAAATTCAGTTTCTGAGTTACCCTAGCCACATTTCAAGGATTCGGTAGCCACTTGGCACTGGGGGCTACTGCTTTCAACCATGCAAATACAGAACTTTTCCATCATCACAGAGGGACCTACAGGACAGACCTGTACTGCAAGTTTTTGTTTTCTTGAGACAGCGTCTTGCTCTGTCACCTAGGGTAGAGTGTAGTGGTATGATCATAGCTCACTGCAGCCTCAACCTTCTGGGTTCAAGCGATCCTCCCACCTCAGCCTCCTGAGTAGCTGGGACTACAGGAACCCACCATCAAGTCTTGCTAATTTTCTTATTGTTTTGTAGAGACAAGGGTCTTACTATGTTGTCCAGGCTGGTCTTGAATTCCTGGACTCAAGAGATCTGTCCATCTTGACCTCCCAAAGTGCTGGAATTACAGGTGTGAGCCACCACGCCTGGCCACTGTACCACAAGTTTTTTGACAAATATCACCAGCCCACATTATTTTGTATTGTGATCTCTTAGAAACATTTGGTCAAAGAAGCATTGTAATTTCCCTTTTAACTATATACTGTTCTAAACGATGCATTTCTAAATGTGATACCATTATTTCCTTGGGGAAGTCAGTCCTTTTACTTCCTCCACTAGATGATTTTCTGTATTTTTACACCAAGTTAAATGACAAAAAGTCATCAGATTCTTTACCAATCTGGTTTTTTTTCCCCCTAAGACAGGGTCTGGCTCTGTCACCCAGGCTGGAGTGCAGTGGCATGATCTCGGCTCACTGTAACCTCCGCCTCCCGGGTTCAAGGGATCCTCTCACCTCAATCTCCCATGTAGCTGGGACCACAGGCACATGCCGCCACACCCAGCTAGTTTTTGTAGAGATAGTGTTTCACCATGTTGCCCAGGCTGGTCTCGAACTCCCAAGCTCAAGCGATATGCCTGCCTTGGCCTCCCAAAATGCTGGGGATTACAGGTGTGAGCCACCATGCCTGGTCACCAATCTCTTTTTATATAAATAAGGCTATCTCTGGTCAGCACCAATAATAGTTTTCCAGAGATAACCACATCCTCATAGCTGGCACTTGTGAATACGTTAGATTGCAATGGTAAAAGGGGCTTTTGCAGATGGGACTACATTAGGGATCATGAGTCAGGAGATGATCCTGGATTATCCAGGCGGGCCCGGTGTAATCCTAGTGCTCCTTGTAAGAGAAGGGCAGGAGGCTCAGAGTCAGAGACTTAAAAAAAATACAAAATTAGCCAGGCGTGGTGGCGCATGCCTATAATCCCAGCTACTCAGGAGGCTGAGGCAGGAGAATCACTCGAACCTGGAAGGTGGAGGTTGCAGTGAGCTGAGATTGCACCATTGGACTCCAGTGTGGGCAACAACAGTGAAACTCCATCTCAAAAACAAAAAACAAACAAAAAAACTATTTGGTGACTCACATATGTAATCCCAGCACTTTGGGAGGCCAAGGTGGGAGGATTGCTTGAGCCCAGGCATTCAGGACCAGCCTGGGCAACATGGTGAAACCTCATCTCTAGAAAAAATACAAAAATTAGCGAGCATGGTGGTGTAGGCTTGTAGTCCTATCTACTTTGGAGGCTGAGGTGGGAGAATGGCTTGAACCTAGGAGTTTGGGATGGCAGTGAGCTATGACCCTGCCACTGCACTCCAGCCTGGGTGATAGAGCAAGACCCTGTCTCTAAATTGGAAAAAAAAAAATCAGATAATCAAGATTTTTCTGAACGTTTTTTTCACTGTACAGTAACTTGGATGCTTTCTGGGAAATAAGCCCAACTGCATTTAAGAGGGGCAACATCTCTTGGTGGTACCCCATCCTCTCCAGTGACAGCTCAGGGGTGGGACCCTTTCTCCTTTGGTGACAATGTAGTCTTCCCAAGAGCACTGGGGCAGGGTGGGGTAGTGAAGGGCTGAATTGGGTCACTTCTGAAAGACTTGATTCTGACTCTCACAAGGTTGCTGCCAACCATGCTAGAGGCAGGGACCCTTAGGGACCTGGCCCTGTGGCTTGGCTTGTTCAGTTGTCACCTTCTGTTTCAGACCTCTCCTGCCTGGGGTGATGCCCTGATCTCCCCTCTCCCCTGGTCTTAGCTCACATTCTCTCTCTCTCTCTCTCTCTTTTTTTCTGATGGAGTTTCGTTCTTGTCACCAAGGCTGGAGTGCAGTGGCGTGATCTCAGCTTACTCCAACCTCCACATCCCTGGTTCAAGCGATTCTCCTGCCTCAGCTTCCCAAGTAGCTGGGATTACAGGTGCCCACCACCACACCTGGCTAATTTTTGTATTTTTAGTAGAGATGGGGTTTCACCATGTTGGCCAGGCTGGTCTTGAACTCCTGACCTTGAGGGATCCACCTGCCTCGGCCTCCCAAAGTGCTGGGATTACAGGCATGAGCCAATGTGCCCCACCCCAGAGTCTTTTTTTTTTTTTTTTTTTTTTTGAGACGGAGTCTTGCTCTGTCACCCAGGCCGGAATACAGTGGTGCGATCTTGGCTTACTGCAAGCTCCACCTCCCTGGTTCACGCCATTCTCCTGCCTCAGCCTCCTGCGTAGCTGGGACTACGGGCGCCTGCCACCGCGCCCAGCTAATTTTCCAGTGTCTTTTTATAAGGCCCTGGTAGCACCAATGAGTGAACAGTAATTACTGGTGAAAAACAGATGTTCATAGTATTTGTTTTCCTGGATGTCATGTAAGATAGCTGTAAGTTTCCCTTATCAATGTAAGAGCTTAGACCAAGTACAGAGTCTTTAAAAACAAGACAGTATATATTATGTGATATGCAGACTGTAGACCTCGACTTAAAATGCAGTTCAGTGAAAAACGAAGTTTCTTTTGTCCAGGATACCGAAACCGTCACTTCCCATCTCATCTGAAGATGAACCATATAGCCATCAGTGCGGCGTCGTTCCTCTGGTTACTTTTATAGATGAACACATATTCCTTCCAGTCCTTGTGATAGAAAATGGTAATTTTAAATGGCATTGAAACTGAAGTATTAAATAAAAAAATATCTTTCTATACAACAGGAGACAGTAAGTATGTCCTGGCAATTTCTCAAAGATTTTAGTTCACAGGTCTGAGAAAAATTCTATTAGCTTTAATTATTTATCAGCAGTCAATTTAGATTACTGTTCTTGACCTATTTTTACAGTGTATGGGCCACCCAGAAATGAAATAAATGAATAGTCTTTTTCTACAATGGCTGATTTTCTGAAATAATAGAAATCTGGTTTAAAGGAGGAATAAAACCCCAAACATGTAGTTACCACAATATATAACCCACCATGCTGTTTTTGTAGTTGGATAAAATGAACATCTTTGTGAGTTTTTTGGTTATTAAATAAGAGTATCTTGAAAGGGTTAAACTCACTCCTGCTGTAATTTCTTCCCATTTAAATGTCTTTGTGCCATTTAAGACACGTTCTGTGTCCTGGCAGAAAGTCTCCAATGCTGATGCTGTGGCTTTCACGTGGTGCCTGGTATAACTCCACAATGGGAAGGGCTGGCTTTGGGGGACTGGCAGTATCGGGAGCTGAGATGAGGGTGTGGGGTTTCAATACAGGGTGCCTGCTGGGAAGCAGCAAGGGGATACCCTGAAGCCACAGGCAGGGACCTCTTGAGTTCCCAAGCAACAGGGAATGTGCAAGACTTGTCTGATGATGAGACCGGGCACGGTGGCTCATGCCTGTAATCCCAGCACTTTGGGAGGCCGAGGCAGGTGGATCACCTGAGGTCAGGAGTTCAAGACCAGCCTGGCCAAAATGGTGAAACCCCATCTCTACTAAAAATAGAAAAAAATTAGCTGGGTGTGGTGGTGTGCACCTGGAATACTAGCTACTCGGGAGGCTGAGGCAGGAGAATCGCTTGAACCCGGGAGGTGGAGGGTGCAGTAAGCTGAGATCGCACCACTGCACTCCAGCTTGGGCAACAGAATGAAACTATGTCTCAAAAAAAAAAAAAAAAAAGACTTTGATGATGAAAAATGGGAGTGAGGGTTTATCTAAGTTGTAATGCCCAAATGTGGACCGAGGAGGATAAAGGCTGAGGATGGTGCAAAGGACTTGGAAGAAAGGAAGATTTGAACTGCACAGAGGCCGCAATCTGGCAGCACATGGCCATGGCTCAGGAGCACTGGCGGAGCCTGGATGCCAATGCCTCTAAGCCAGTGATCCTCAAAGCAGGGTCTGGGGACTCCCAGCTCCCTAGATCCTTTCAAGGGCACACAAGGTCAAAACTACTCTTGTTACTTGCCTTTTCCTCGCCTTCTTCCGCAAGTGTACCGTGGAGTTTTCTAGATGGCTGTGATGTGTGATGATAGCCTCACTCTGACACCAGTGACTCGTGTGTGTGTGTGTTCCTGTGCTTTGCAGACTCCTCAGCTTTCATGTCTAACACAGACAATACTGAGAGATACAACACACACACACACACACACACACACACACACACACACACACACACAAGCTCTCCATAGTCCCCAATTTTAAGAGACTGAAACTTTGAGAAATGTTTGCACTAAGGCTTCTTCTGGTCTCAGAGCTGAGAACTTTTCATTGTCAAGGGCAAGGCTGTTTGTCCACTCTGAGATCCTGTGTGTGGCCCCAGGGGCAGCTCAGACAGGACACTGGCATCTGGCATCTGGGGATCAGATATCCCACTGAGAGGGGCATGCAAGCACCAGCTCCAGTGCCTGGGCTGGCATCTTCCCTGCCCAGTCTCCAAAGCCATGTGTCCTGGGCTAGCCCACCTGGCACAGGGATTTCCTGCAGGACTCCACGTGGCCAGGGGATCAGTGGTGGGAAATGGGAGAAGCCAAACTCAGGCTCCATTGGTTAATTCTCTTAAATAAGTCTAATTTGACTTTATGTCTGATTTCAAAATACTCTTCCAGATCCCTTTCTCAGTAACTGCTCATGTCAAAACCTCTGACTGGGCACAGCAGCTCACACCTATAATCCCAGTATGTTGGGAGCACCAGACAGGAGGATTTCTTGAGGCCAGGAATTCAAGACCAGTCTAGGCAACATAGGGAGACTCCTGCTCTATAAAAAAAAAATTATAAAAAAATTACCCAGGCACGGCGGCAAGCGCCTATAGTCCAGCTACTCAGGAGGGTGAGGTGGGAGGATTGCTTGAGCACAGGAGGTTGAGGCTGCAGTGAGCCATGATCATGCCACTGCCCTCCAGCCTGGGTGACAAAGCAAACTTTATCTCAAAAATAAACAAATCTCTAGTTACATTTCAGAACTTTGAAAATACAGCTGTAATTTATTGAGGTATCTATACATCAATAGATTTGGAATTTGTCAAGGAGAGGAACCACATGTTACACATATTATATTTTATTTATTTTTATTTTTTATTTTCCTGAGATAGAGTCTCACTCTGTTGCCCAGGCTGGAGTGCAATGGTGAGATCTTGGCTCACTGCAACCTCCATCTCCCCAGCTCAAACAATTCTCGTGCCTCGGCCTCTGAGTAGCTGGGATTACAGGTGTGTGCCATGACACCTGGCTAATTTTTGTATTTTTTAGAAGAGACAGGGTTTCTCCATGTTGGCCCGGCTAGTCTCAAACTCCTGACCTCAGGTGATCCACCCATCTTGGCCTACCAAAGTGCTGGGATTACAGGCATGAGCCACTGTGCCTGCCCCATGTATTATGTTTTAATTTATTCAAAAACCATTTGAGCGTTTACTATGAGCAGTGAATGAGACAGTCACAGTCCCTGCCCTCAGAGAGCTATGTCTTAGCGAGAGTGGTGAGGTCTCCATTTCTAGGAGACACTTAAGGAGATGTACTTTTCTCCATTCTATTCCTGGGGCCATGGATGGTGCTAGGTTCAGGGCAGACCCTCAGTGAATACTTGCAGATTGAATGAATGAATAAAGAGATTCTCTTCCCAGACTCATCACCAAGCTAACTTCTTTTTTCTTTTTTTTGAGATGGAGTCTCCCCTTGTTGCCCAGGCTGGAGTGCAGTGGAGTGATCTTGGCTCACTGAAAATTCTGCCTCCTGTGTTCAAGTGATTCTCCTGCCTCAGCCTCTGGAGTAGCTAGGATTACAGGCACCCACAACCCTGCCCAGCTAATTTTTGTATTTTCAGTAGATGGGGTTTCACCATGTTAGCCAGGCTGGTCTCGAACTCCTGACCTCAGGTGATCCACCTACCTCGGCCTCCCAAAGTGCTGGGATTACAGGCGTGAGCTACCACACCCAGCCCAAGCTATATTTTTATGGACACTGCTGCAAAGGGGACTCCTGTGCTAGACAGGGATGGATCCCAAAGGCACCATTTCAGCCCAGGACTCTCTGAAACCAACCAGGAGGTGTGACTCTGACTTTTGCCACTGTGTCATTTATTCCAGATCTTAGGCCCTACTAACATTTAGACAAATGGGCTATTTAAAATCAGAATGCAGATGAATCCTTCCTCTTCATACTTTCAGGAGTCTATCCATAAGAATAATCAGAGATGTAGGCAGAGATTTATTCACAAGAATGTTCAGCATGTGTTTAGAACAGAGAAATCTAGAAACAATGTGGATTCTGACACCATGGGAGTACTTATTAGAGAATTCTACTAAAGCAATACAATCACATATTAGGTAGTCAATATAATTATTTTCTTTTTAAGAAACAAGGTCTTGCTCTGTCATCCAGGCTGGAGTGCAATGGCGTGATCATAGCTCACTGTAGCCTGGAGTCAGTATGATTACTTTTCGAAGAATAGCAAAGACTTGGAATGACGCATATGACTTCCATTTATTCGACAGATGTTTGTTGAGTGGCTATTTTGGGCCTTCTGGCCCTGTTTCAGGGGCTCTTTCAATCATGAGCAGAGACCACAGGCTGCTGTGCCTCCTGGGCTTCTGTTGAGTGGTGGGTGAGACATGAGTCAAATCACCACTACACTTACCTGTGGCCGGTGTTGCAGAAGGGGCACATGGTGTGAAGGGAGTTTAAGAGGCAGACCTGGCCGGTCACAGGGGCACGAGCTTGTAATCCCAGCACTTTGGGAGGCTGAGGTGGGAGGATTGCTTGAGCTCTGGAGCTTGACACCAGCCTGGGCAATATAGCAAGACCCCATCTCTATTAAAAATCAAACAAATTAGCTGGGTGTGGTGACACGTGCCTGTAGTCCCAGCTACTTGGGAGGCTAAGGGAGGATCGCTTGAGCCTGGGAGGTAGAGACCAGCCTGGGCAACACAGCAAGATCCCATCTCTACAAAAAATTTTTAAAAAGTAGCCAGGGCCGGGCGCGGTGGCTCACGCCTGTAATCCCAGCACTTTGGTTGGCCAAGGTGTGTGGATCACCAGGTCAGGAGATCGAGACAACAGTGAAACCCCATCTCTACTAAAAATACAAAAAAATTAGCTGGGCATGGTGGCGGGCACCTGTAGTCCCAGCTACTCAGGAGGCTGAGGCAGGAGAATGGCGTGAACCCGGGAAGCAGAGCTTACAGTGAGCCGAGATCACACCACTGCACTCCAGCCTGGGCGACAGAGCAAGACTCTGTCTCAAAAAAAAAAAAAAAAAAAAAAAATTAGCCAGGTATGGTGGCATGTGCCTATAATCCCAGCTACTTGGGAGTCTGAGGTGGGAGGACTGCTTGAGCCTGGGGGGTCAAGGCTGCAGAGAGTTGTGATCATGTCACTGCACTCCAGCCTGGTGACAGAGTGAGACCCTGCTTCCAAAAAAAGAAAGAGAAAGAAATAAAGAGGCAGACCTGTCCCTAAACAGCAGAGAAGCCTCCTTTGGGGAAGGGGCACCTGAGCTCAGATCCTATAAATGTCCCTCACATGCAGTGACATGTCGCTATGCACACAGACACACAATAAGTTAAATATGCACACACACATACAAACAAGTAACTGACGATGTCATCTCTACTACCTTCCTTCCCTTTCTGGGAAGATACAAGTGTGTATATCACCTGTTTGTTGCCTGATATAGAGGAGATGCCTGATCATGAATTCCATGATACAGTTTTAAGAGATGCTATGTATGGTTCACTCAGTGAATCTCACTTTCTTACGTAAGCACATGTGCAAGTCATTTTTTTCTTTTTTTTTGAGAAGGAGTCTTCTTGCTCTGTCGCCCAGGCTGGAGTACAGTGGCATGATCTTGGGTCACTGCAACCTCCACCTCCGGGTTCAAGTGATTCTCCTGCTTCAGCCTCCTGAGTAGCTGGGGCTACAGGCATGTACCACCATGCCCGGCTAATTTTTTGTATTTTTAGTAGAGAAGGGTTTTCACCATGTTGGCCAGGCTGGTCTCGAACTCCTGACCTCAGGTGATCTGTCCACCCCAGCCTCCCAAAGTGCTGGGATTACAGGTGTGAGCCACCGCATCCAGCTGCACCTTGCTGTTTCATATCACAGAATCTAGCACTGGCAGCAAGGGAGGCTGCCCACCTCACTCTTTCTTTTTTAAGAAGTCCACTGTTCTGAGAGGTCAGAGCAACCTTTCATTTGCAAGCTCCCCATGTGTCCTGGAGAGGCTGTCTTTATATTTTAACATATACCAACCAGAGATTAAGAAGTGACGCATGCCAGTCATGAAGGCTTACTGAAATTATGCCTGCTAATATTTTAAATGGCAGGAACGTTAGGCAGCACAAAAGGAATGTTAGTATTTCCAAAGCTTTTACCCAACTGAGGAGGTTTAAATTTACAGGAACATGTGCTAGAGATAAAGAAGTCCAAGGCAGTTGGCCAAGCTGTCTGCCACCCTGGTGTGCAGAAGGACAGGAGATCCTGTAATGAGAGAGAAGGAGTGGAAGCTGGAAGATGGACAGAGTGCCAGGGTTTGAGACCTGGCATGGGCCTGAACTCACTTGAATCATTTTACTTGTAGAAAGAGGCTACAGGTTGGGTGCAGTGGCTCATGCCTGGAATCTCAGCACTTTGGGTGGCCAAGGTGGGAGGATCACTTGAGGTCAGGAGTTTGAGAACAGTCTGAGCAACATAGCAAGATCCCACCTCTAAAAGAGAGGCTGGGCTCCCTGGTCTGGACTGAGCAATTTCTTTGGCGTTCTTAGAAATGAGCTACTTTGCAGCCCCATGCAGCCTTTCTTCAGTGCATACATTAGGGTGCTGTGCGGCCCAGGTGAGGGGTGTCACCTGGCTACATCCGTGGAGGGATCCTAACACCATCATTTGTGCGTCCAGTGTCACGACAGCCACTTCACTGTGCTTGTTTCTAGATGCTTCCAAACAGCCCTTCATGTATGGAATCATCCCTGTCGTGTAAATAGGAAATCTGGAACTCCCAGAGGTTGTACATTGCACCTGATGCCATTTGGCTACAATCCAAACTCTGGGAGCAGCTGGCACCAAAGCTACTATGCCACACTGCCTTCTAAGCTGCATTTCATCTGGAACCGCCATGGCTGGTGGGCCGAGCCTCTGAATGCTGCAATTCAGGTTAATCACACAGACCTGCTGGAGCATGTGGGGCTGAGGGTTCCCTGCACCTCCCTTCTCTCCCCTGCTGTCTGGATCTCTCACCTCGCTCCTGGTGGGCCTGAATTTGCCATGAGTGATCAAGAACCTGAGAGGCCTCTGATCTGCTCCACGCACATCTGTGCCAACCGGGAAAAACAAAAATCCTGATGAAAGACCTGAGGTGCGAGTCAGGATTCACCATAACCGTACTGTGATCTCACCTTCTGAAAAGCTATTTTGTTCACCATAAGTAGGCAGTTTGACAATTGCTCAATGTTTGGGTTCTACCCTGTATCCTGTACTAGTCAATGTCAGGGAAGGAAAGGTGCCTCGTCTCCAGGCATGTGGGCCCACAGCAGAGCAGAACAGGCTGGGGACTTGGGGTTCTTGGGCTCTTTCCGATGGGGGCTGAACACTGGTCATATTCTGACCTCTAGAGAGGGCAGAGGTGAACAGGCATGCACTCCGCACCTCAAGGCTTACATGAGGAGAATGAAGACACACACACAACTGAAATACCAGGCAGGAAATGAAATGTGCTGAAAGACAGGCACAGCTAGCCTACGATGGGAGCCTAAGGAATGAAAATCCCTCCTGGCTGGGTTGGGGGCACCTGAACTGGGTGATGTTTGCACACAGAGGGGTGAGTAGAGGTAAGGGGCTTTCCAGAAAGAGACAAGACACAAACAGAAAGAAAAAAGAGGAGATCCAGAGATATAAACAAGGTGAAGCTGATGGAGTAAGCCACGTGGGAGAGGGAGCCAGCTCGGCCAGGCTCCTGGACCACCGAGGCCCCTGGAGGAACACAGCCACAGCCTGAGAGGGGGTTGGATGGCCACCAACTATGCAAAAGGTGTACAGAGACCGGACCAGGGTCTGCTTTAGGAAGGTCATGCCTTATATTTTATATATTTATATTATATATATATTATATATTTATATTTTATATATATTATATATATATATAATATTTATAGTTTGTAGAGACAGGGGTCTCACTATGTTGCCCAGGGTTGTTCTGAACCCCTGGCCTCAAGTGATCCTCCCACCTTGGCCTCCCAAAGTGCAGGGATTACAGGCCCAGCCTAGAACTAAACATCTTGTAACATGAAGCGAACTGCTGACTGGGAGTATTCAAGGAGACGGTAATACTTAATATCCCACATCATGCTAAAACTGGGGTTGCAATGTAAGTTTCATGTAAGTGACATCTTGGCTGCCTTACTGCCTCACAAACACATCTCATTCAATGCCCATAGAAGCCCACGAGGCTGCAAACATGCCATCCCGGGGATGAGAAATCTGAGGCTGAAACTGCCTGGGGTGACCTAATGAAGTGGTGGGGCTGCACCAGAGCCCAGGCCCCTAACCCCGGGGAGAGCCCGAGTTCTATCCAAGGTGCAGGAGCCCCTTCCTACCTCCAGCTCAGACTCGAATCTGAGATCCCCTCTAATTCCAAGTGGCCTTGCAATAAAGCAAACAGTGAATGCCAGGCTGGCTCTCCAGCCCTGCTCTGGTCACCTTCTGAGCAGCTCCCTTTACTGAGTAACCTCCCTTTATTGTCATATTGTTTATGTACAAGAAAACAACACATTCTGACAACAGAACAGTGGGGTGGGTTGGGGGGGTGGTCAGCACCAGGTGCTGGGCCTGGTGGGATGGGCTGTGCCTTGCCAGAGACCCCTGCCCCTTGTGGGATCAAGGAGCCTCTCTCCAAGAGTCCCTCTGGGCCAGGCACGGTGACTCACACCTGTAATCCCAGCACTTTGGGAGGCTGAGGCAGGCAGATCACCTGAGGTCATGAGTTTGAGATCAGCCTGGCCAACATGGTGAAACCGTGTCTCTACCAAAAATATAAAAATGAGCCGGGTGTGGTGGTGGGTGCCTGTAGTCCCAGCTACTCAGGTGGCAGAGGCAGGAGAATCACTTAAACCTAGGAGGCGGAGGTTGCAGTGAGCCAAGATCACGCTACTGCACTCCAGCCTGGGTGACAGAATAAGACTCCATCTCAAAAAAAAAAAAATCCCACAAAGAGATCCTCTGCAGACAGAAGCAGCTAAGATTCTCATTCCAAGGACTGGAAGGCTTCCACCCAAGGGGGAGGTCACAGCTTTAATCACACAGATACGGTGCTAGGGGTGGAGGTGGCGGGGCGGACCAGCACCGCTCGCAGATCTGCAGAGAGCACTCACTGCCGGGGTGGCCTAGAATTCCGCTGTGATGCTCTGACGTCAAAGGACTCTGATCTGTAACTCCCAAGTGGGACCTTGCTTCAGACTTGAGCAAACAGGGGAGCTGGACTCTTGGAGTATTGTGGTCCAACAGCAAGGCAGCCTTGTACCAATGCCGGGGCAGGAAAGGGACTTGCCACTTGGAACTCTCGCTAGTAAGTTCCATATGGGACCTGAGAGCCCCAATCTCTACATAAAGCTCTAGTGGGGCAAAACCTATGAGAAAATACAGGGTGAAAAGTACTGTGGAGCAAAAAACCCACCCAAGTCCCAAAGCCATCCATGCAAGAAGTGACCAACCTCAGTTCCTCTCCCCTTGCCCAGAACTCCAGGTGATGTGCAAAAGTTGCAACCACACACTATATATTTTTTGTTTCTTTCTGAGACAGGGTCTCACTCTGATGCCCAGGCTGGAGTGCAGTGGTGCAACCACAGCTCACTGCAACCCCCACCTCCCAGGCTGAAGAGATCCTCCTGCCTCAGCCTCCCAAGTAGCTGGGACTACAGGCATGCACCACTATACTCAGCTTTTTTTTTTTTTTTTAAATATTTTTGTAGAGATGGGGTCTCATTATGTTGCCCAGGCTTGTCCAGAACTCCTGAGCTCAAGCAACCTACCCGCCTCGGCTGGGATTACCAGCTTGAGCCACCACGCCCAGCTTACTGTCTTGCTTTACATAGAACAGTTCTCTAAACACCTTTTTAGTCACAGTTGTAAATCATTCATATTTTTCCAATGCTATGGCTAAAGGATGAACACTGATGTCTCCAATTTCAGTATCTTTGTGAAAACAGCTAATTAGCAACTAAGCACTTTTGAGCTGGGGCAAGCTCTTGCTGCTTTGAGTACACCTGTGATGAATGTGGCCAGAAGGAAGAAGTGAGTTTTGCTCAGCACACACTTATCAAGTGCCTGTTGTGTGTCCTGCACGTGCATGGCCAGAAGGAACATCCTCACCACCTGGTGCTGAAATTCTGCAAAAGAATAAGTGCAAATAATGGTAATAGGGCATTAAAAATGCCAAACAGGGCCGGGCGTGTTGGCTCATGCCTGTAATCCCAGCACTTTGGGAGGCTGAGGCGAGTGGATCACCTGGGGTCAGGAGTTCGAGACCAGCCTGGCCAACATGGTGTAACCCCGTGTCTACTAAAAATACAAAAAATTAGCTTGGTGTGGTGGCAGGCTCCTGTAGCACCAGCTGTTCTAGAGGCAGAGGCAGGAGAATCGCTGGAATCCAGGAGGCGGAGGTTGCAGTCAGCCAAGATCATGCCACTGCACTCCACCCTGGGCAACAGAGCGAGAGTCTGTCTCAAAAAAATAAAATTAAATTAAATAACAAATAAACAAGAGCTTTTCAGTTAAAAGACAAGGAACACAAAAATTCAACATAATTTTGGTTAAGAGAGGGAGGAATTGTAAGTCAGCCTGGGTTAACTAGGGCTATTGGGAATACCCAAGGATGCTCGTGGCAGGCCCTCCAGCCCATGTCTAGAAGGCAGATAGGTGGGCTTGGTTATTTTTAGAACACCAGGAGTGATCTAGGGTCTTTAATAAATGCAGGACACTAGTCAGAAGCAAATCAGGCCAGGCATGGTGACTCATGCCTGTAATCCTAATGCTTTGGGAGGCCAAGGTGAGATGATTACTTGAGGCCCATGAGTTCAAGACCAGCCTGGGCAACAAAGCAAGACCCCACCTCTACAAAAATAAAAATAAAAAGTATTAGCTGGACATGGTGATGTGCACCCACTGTAGTCCCATCTAATCAGGGAGGGTGAGGTGAGAGCGTCCCCTGAGCCCAAGAATTTGAGGCTGCAGTGAGCTATGATTGCACCACTGCACTTCAGCCTAGGTGACAAAGTGAGATCCTAACTCTTAAAAACAAAACAAAACAAAAGAAAACAAAACAGGCCTTCCCTTAAATACTAACACTCACCCAACCCACCAGCATTCTTGCACATAAAACCCAACCAAATGAACATTTTACTGAGGGACCAACAATAGCATGAAGGCAAAAACCAGATGAGGTACACATTAAGCAATTCTGCACAATGGGCTGCAGCCTCAAGGTGCCCACAGGATCTGGTTATTTCTGGAGAAATCTAAAGCTGGGCCAGAGTGATTGATTAGACAAGAATGTTTTCCAATGTCAATGGACATAAAATATACACGTTGGTCTGCAAGTATGAAATTGTTTAAAAATCTTTAGAACTCAAGATGCAATCTTCCTTCCACAGGAGGTGGGTGAGAAAGAAGCCTGGGTCAGACACATGCACTTGGGAAAACATTTGGAAGTGGTTTTGTGGACAAGTTGCCTGTGAGAGGCATGCAGAGTCTGATTGCTATTTTAGTGCTAGCATCCAGAAACAAGCCTAATGCAGGGCAGTTGCTTTCCAAAAGAGCTAAACTAGGGTCTCTCTCTCTCTCTTTTTTTTTTTTGAGACAGAGTTTCACTCTTGTCAGCCAGGCTGGAGTGCAATGGTGCAATCTCGGCTCACTGCAACCTCTGCCTCCCAGGTTCAAGCGATTCTCCTGCCTCAGCCTTCCAAGTAGCTGGAATTACAGTTGCCTGCTACCACACCCAGCTAATTTTTGTATTTTTAGTAGACACAGGGTTTCACCATGTTGGCCAGGCTGGCCTTGAGCTCCTGACCTCAGGTGATCCTCCTGCCTCAGCCTCCCAAAATGCTGGGATTACAGATGTGAGCCATGGTGTCCGGCCACTAGGGTCTCTTTAGAACACACACACACACACACACACACACACACACACACGTGCACGCACCACTGACAAAACCAGGCCCTGGTTTGGGACAAAGGATTTCATTTTCTTCCTGAGCCCTCAAACTTTAAAACCTATATATTTTTAAATGAGATCCAATTCAGTACCTTCATCTGTAATCTTAAACCAGTGGCCCAACTGTGTACCGGGCAGTGCAGACCGCTTTGGAAAGGTTTAATCTTGGAAGCAATTGGGCTGCAAGTGGCCCTGCTGCAGACGAGCCCATCATCCTCTGACAGGGGGTCTTTTCAGGCAATTTGTCAACAGCCTCAGCAGAGCAGAAGCAGCACTCAGACACTCTAATCATAGGGTGCTTCAAGGAGTGGTGGCAATCCTGCTTTCTAGATGCAGCCAACATCAATCAAAGAAAAGTCCACTTAACCAAGCTAGTGTATTTGCCAGAGGACTCAGACTGCAAAGGAGTCTTTCCAAGCTCACAGTCTATCAAGTTCAAAGGGCTATGCTTAGGCACAGCCTGCAGGCTCAGCTCATATGAAAAGGCTGGTAGGAAAGATAAAATTCAGCCAGGTGTACTGGCTCATGCCTGCAATCCCATCACTTTGGGAGGCTGAGGCAGGAGAATCGCTTGAGCCTAGGAATTTGAGACCAGCCTGCGCAACATAGCAAGACCCTGTCTTAAAAAAGAAGGTTAAAAAAAAGTTTTTAAAAGAAAGACAAAAATCCCTAGAGAGAGGCGGCAAGAGCTGCTGCTTCTAAAAGCACAGCCCAGCCACAGCCATGTGGACTCCAGAGCTGGCCCCTCCTGCTCCAGTGATCAGATTGCTTCCCCTCCCCTCCTGCTGGCCTTGGGACAGGATCTGGTGGCATGGGGGAGGCCAGCATTCTTCCTGCTGTCTGTCCTCTGCAAGCCAGGCTCCTGCCCAAGGAGGGAAATGCTGCAGAGGCACCCTACAGAAGTGTAGCCTGAGGGCCAAGAGGAAACTCCTGCTTCAAAGCCCGGCCATGAACCTGAGCACTCAGGGGCCTGTTTCTTGCCTGCCCTTGGCATAACAGCTCCTACTTGACAAAGGGAGGAAGAGAGAACTGGACACCTATGTTTGGAGGGAGGAAGCGACTTCCCGCCCAACACAGCATAGCATCCTCTCCAGGATCCTCTGCCCCAGCCAGAGCCTGCTCTGGCACTGGAGGCCAAGGCCGCTTTCTTGGTCCAAAAAAAAAAAAACACCATTTTTTTCACCAGTGACAGGTTCACCTTCAGAAAGGAAACCAGAAAACCCAAAAGCCCCTCTTTCTCTTCTTCCTCAAATGCTATCAGCCTGAGTGGGGTGTGGAAATACTACTTCTCCCCAAAACAGGCTGTGATGCTGGTGGACGAACATGACAGATGCCCTGCTGGCAGTCCTGCTGAAAAGCGATGGCTTGGAGAATCGCCCAGGCTGGGGAAGATGCCCAGGGTCTTAGATGGTTACCCCTGCCCAACCCTCAGGCAGGACAGGAACTGGCTGTCTCCTCTCTGAGTCTTGAAATCTACACTGCACACACCTGGCAAATGTGCACCTGCAGCTCAGGCACAGCCCTGCAATCCACACTGCACACACCTGGTAAATGTGCACCTGCAGCCCAGGCACAGCCCTGCCATCCACACTGCACACACCTGGTAAATGTGTACTGGCAGCCCAGGCACAGCCCTGCCATCCACACTGCGCACACCCAGTACATGTGCAGCTGCGGCCCATGACAGCCCTGCCATTCACACTGCACGCACCTGGTAAATGTGTACCTGCAGCCTGGGCACAGTCCTGCCACCCACACTGCACAGACCTGGTAAATGTGTACCTGCAGCCCAGGCACAGCCCTGCAATCTGCACTGCACACACCCAGCAAATGTGCGCCTGCAGCCCAGGCACAGTCCTGCCATCTGCACTGCGATGCCTACAGCAGTCTTTATGGAGGCTTATGATGGCACAGTACCCAGCTCTGTGCTAGATCCTGGGCTGTGGCAGGAGGGTACATAGCTCCACACTGGACTTTTGCTGAAGGTGCCCAGTTTAAGATACAGGCACTGAACCAAGTGACTGACACTTGGGGAGCTCATTCTCTGATGGCACAGGAACCCCTGAGACTCAGGAATATGAGTCAGGCCAGCAAGGACTGCTCTGTCGGTGCCCACAGGGCCCAGCAACACTGGGGTGGAGTCTGGAGTCAGCCTCTGATCCAACAGTGAAAGCTCTCTGAGATCACAATCATGAGAAGACAGGATCCCAAGAGCTGTCGCGAAGACCCTGTCCCAGATGTTGTGCTCTGCACCTCATGGTTGGGTGGCTTCCAGCAGCTTCCTGAACCTGAGCCTGCTCTGCCATCTGTACAATGGGCACAACATCAGCCTCACATGGCTGAGATGAGGCCATGGGACACAAGTAGGTATTAGTGTTTATAAACTGAAAAGTTAGCTGGGCGCTGTGGCTCATGCCTGTAATCCCAGCACTTTGGGAGGCTGAGGCAGGAGGATAATTTGAGTTCAGGAGTTTGAGACCAGGCTCACCAACCTGGTGAAACCCCGTCTGTACTAAAAATACAAAAATTAGCCAGGCTTGGTGGTGGGCACCTGTAATCCTAGCTACTCGAGAGGCTGGGGCAGGAGAATCTCTTGAACCCGGGAGGTGGAGGTTGCAGGGAGCCATGATTGTGCCACTGCACTCCAGCCTGGGTGACAGGGCAAGGCTCCATCTCAGAGAAAAAAAAAAAAAGAAAAGTTATGGAAATGTCCATAGAGACATGCAGCAGACTCCGTGCCCGTACTCATTACACTGTCGTGGGGACCCCAGGGAGGCCCACACTACTGCTTTCCCCACTCTGGGGATGGGGAGAACCTGATTTGTCTTTGGTCCACAGGTAGTGAGCACAAGGGCCCAATTCAGGTCCAGATCGGGGTGCTGACAAGGACTGTGTTTGGGGCTGCTCCCATGCAGACACAGCCCCATGGACAGGCCCTGATAGGTGGTCAGAGGACACGAGACAAAAGCCAGGAAAGCAGCTCTAAGGGCTGGGATGGAGTGCACACGAGCACCAGGGAGCAATTCCCAGAAGGGCTGCCCTGCTAGGAGACTGCACAGGAATCTCCTAACAGAGGCCACGGTGCGCAGGAATACTGGAAGGGATGCGAGATTTCTATGGGCAGACACAGGGTGGAAGGGCATGTGTGTGGCCAGAGCAGAGGAGAAAGAGAAGACAGTCTGGAGCTGTATTTGACAAAGTCGCAAAATGAAAGAAGGTCAATAAAGGGTGGGAGGAAGAGAGGAAGGAAGGGAGGGAGGGAAGGAAAAGAGGGAGGGAAGGAAACGTGGGAAGGATGGATGGAGGGAGGGAGAGAGAGAAATGAGGGAGGGAGGGGAGTCAAGCATAATTAAGGTTTTGCATTTTAGATCATGAATTCATTTTCTCCCTTGGAAACAACTGTGCGCCTGCCTCTGCCTCAGTACCACCACCCCCAGGTCTGTTCAGTGTCCCCTCCATGGTCACACCATGTTGGGCACAGACAAACCAGAAAAACACAACTTGCTATAACATGCCTGCACAGGGGGCCCGGCCACCTGGAGACGTGGGCTGTTGTCCACTCCCAAAGACCAGTGGGATGGGGGTTGCAGGATAGCCAGCTGGGTTTGAGACAGGATCAGACTCTGGGGAGCCTTCTGGCCTGTGCCTGTGACCAGTACCCACCTGGAGCAAAGGATAGCAACACAGGAAGTATCTGCAGTCACTCTCCTGCCATCCACATGTGCACGCCTTTCTGGGTCCGTGGGGGTGGGGTAAGACATTCTCTTGTAACGAAAGTAACATATGTAACATATCTCTTCTCCCAGAAGGACCCTTTCTGGGTCCGTGGGGGTGGGGTAAGACATTCTCTTGTAACAAATGTAACATATGTAACATATCTCTTCTCCCAGAAGGTCAGATATTATCACCAAAATGTACCATATGCAGATGGTCCTGCATCTCTTTTTTTGTTTGTTTTTAGATGGAGTTTCACTCTTTGTTGCCCAGGCTGGAGTGCAGTTGGTGTGATCTCAGCTCACTGCAACCTCCGCCGCCCGGGTTCAAGCGATTCTCCTGCCTTAGCCTCCTGAGTAGCTGGAACTACAGGTGTGCACCATCATGCCTGGCTAATTTTTGTATTTTTACTAGAGATGGAGTTTCACAATTTTGGTCAGGATGGTCTCGAACTCCTGACCTTGTGATCTGCCCACCTCAGCCTCCCAAAGTGCTGGGATGACTATCGTGAGCCACCACGGCCAGTTCTGCATCTCTTTGGTAAATATTAATAAGCATTGGTAAGCTTCCTGCAAACTGCCTACCACTCTGCTTAGTCCCCATACACACAACTCTCTGCTCACCAGGGTGCTGTGCTGATGCCCCTGTGGGACATGGGCCAGCCAATGTTTGGACGCTTCCAAACACCAACAACAGTTTTGGGCGAGGAACTCTAATCCTTGACAACTACCATCTAAAAGATATGTTATAATGGTCTGTGGGATTATTTGTTGCATTTGTTTCTCTATTTAGTGACCAAAATTTATTTCCCAAGTACATTGCTAAGTGAAGTTCCGACAATGTTTATTGTAAATGGCCCTTGCCTTGTAGACATTTGATGAAGGCCATTGAATCCAAAGGCATAAGTAAGACCAGAATTCAAGCCACGCAGTGTGAGAGGGTACTGTTTTATAAGAAGGAGAGATAGAGACACATTCATTTTTTTAAATGACAGAAAGAACAGGATGCACCTGGCATGCTTTGTGACTGGGAACAGTTTCTGTGGGTTTCTACCGAGAATCCTTTATGGAGTTCACGTGGCAGGGATAAGTGAGCCATGACTGCCTGGAGGGGACTCTCAGGAGAGTATGAGGAGGGTTCCTAAGGCAGCCAGGCAAAATGGCTGGAGTGGGGGGTGTGCCTGAGAGCCCATCAGCAGCAGTTCCCCACAATCACCCCCAGCCAGGTTTCCAAGCTGCCATGTTTCTGTTTCTCTCTCCCTTTTTAAATTTTGAGACAGGATCTTGTTCTGTTGCCCAGGCTGGAGTGCAGTGGCACTATCACAGCTCACTGCACTTGACTTCCTGGGCTCAAATGATCCTCCCATCTCAGCCTTCTAAATAGCTGAGACTACAGGCATGTGCCACCATGCCTGGCTAATTTTTTTTTTTTTGAGATGAGATCTTGCTATGTTGTCCAAGCTGGTCTTGAACTCCTGGGCTCAAGTGATCCTCCTGCCTCAGCCTTCCAAAGTACTGAAATTACAGGTTTGAGCCACTGTGCCTGGCCTTAATATTTCTCTTCTAGACATGTGAGATGACTCTGAGTTCTTGAATGCCCTCCAGAAGATAAACCAAGACCTTCTGGAACATTCTTAGGAGGGAAGTAACAAGCAGGTTCCTGAAGGTGACGCCAGAGAGAGTAGAAGCCTTCAGCCCAGGTCGAGAGGCACGGATCTGAGAAGGGAGCTCAAATCTTCTTTTTTGTTGTTGTTGTTTGAGATGGAGTCTCACTCTGTCACCCAGGGTGGAGTGTGGTAGTGTGATCTTGGCTCACGGCAGCCTCTGCCTCCCAGGTTCAATTCTCTTGCCTCAGCCTCCCGAGTAGGTGGGATTACAGGTGTGTGCTACCCCACCTGGCTAATTTTTGTATTTTTAGTAGAGACGAGGTTTTACCATGTTGCCCAGGTAGGTCTCAAACTCCTAACCTCAGGGGATCTGCCTGCCTTGGCCTCCCAAAGTGTTGGGATTAGAGGCATAAGCCACCATGCCTGGTCTCAAATCTTAGTCTAGTTAAACGTGTGCAAAGCTGGCCAGGAGGTTCCAATGAAATGACTGTCCAAGTAACACCAGCTGAGGTCTAGGAGAGAAATAAAGGTGGCAACTGTGGTATGATGGGGAGAGAATGATGGAAGGTGAGGTCCTCAGGAGATGAAATTGGCAAGATGTGGTAATGTGTGAATGAGGAAGGGGAGATGGAGGAAGGGCTCCCATGTGGCTACTCTTGGGCTTGGCTGGGGTGGCCCAGTGGGCACTGCGGCCACCACCAGGAGTAGGAGGTAGGATGCCTGAGTGAGTGGAGACAGATGGGCTCTGAGAGTGCTACATCTGCAGCATGAATGGCAGCTGGGCAGGTGGATACACAGCTGGACGGGTTTGGGGTTGGGAGGACAGAGAGAGTAACAGGAGCTCTGGGAACAGCCCAGGAGCACCATGATGGGGAGAGGGGAGCTGAGGATGCCAGGGAAAAGCACAGAGGATGAAGGGGTGGCTCAAACACAGCCTGAGAATGTCCCAGTCTGCATCGGGAGGTGTAGTGTAGGAACAAGGGCTGATATTAAATGGAAGAGGCTGGGACAGAAGTCAGAGTTAGGGAAAGGAAAAAGCAGCCCTGTCAAACCTGCTCAGAGAGGCTAAAAACCCATGGATGCCACCTGGCTAGTTTGTGGAGGCCCTTTTGTTAATCTGCCATGCATGCGTAAAGGAAGAACGAATACATGAATGAATGAAAAAACGGCAGTCGCGTGGAGTGGCAGGCACTTTGCTTTATTCCTGCATCAGCAGTTCTGACATACTAGGAAATAAAAAGGTAAGTGCTCCCCTGGGAGGCCTGAGCCACCCCCAGAGGATCCTGCACACACCCACCTCCCTATCAGAGCAGCTGCAGCTCTCTCTGACTCCATTTCCCTGATGGCGCGGCTGCCACAGGCCTGTGGCCATCTCCAGCACACCTTGTTATCTTATTTATTTATTTGTTTATTTATGAGATGGAGTCTCACTCTGTTGCCCAGGCTAGAGTGCGGTGGTGCAATCTCGGCTCACTGCAACCTCTGCCTCCCAGGTTCAAGCAATTCTCCTGCCTCAGCCTCCCGAGTAGCTCGGATTACAGGAACCCACCACACGCCCAGCTAATTTTTGTATTTTTTAGTAAAGACGGGGTTTTGCTATGTTGGTAAGGCTGGTCTTGAACTCCCGACCTCAGGTGATCCGCCTTCCTTGGCCTCCCAAAGTGCTGGGATTACAGGCATGAGCCACCATGCCTCGCCCAAGCCCTTCTTTTTATAAAGACAAAGAGTGGACCTCCCACCCAGGCCACCTAGCCAGCCACCCGGAGCTGGACATGACCAGCAGCAGGATGACCGGGCCCCCTCGGGGTGGCCAGAGGTTCCCCAGGTCTAGAGGCTGTGTCACAGACATATTATTCCCTATTGCAAATGGAACTAGATTGTTGTCTAATCATAGGTAATTACCATGAACAACAACAAAACAACTCCAAATAATACAAGTGTGGCAGGGGGAATCAAAGCTCTGGTGGTCTCACACCCCAAATTGCACCCCTGCTAATAGTATAGCACGTTATCTTCCAGAATCCACCACAATGGCCAGACTTCTGCTCACTGGCACCTGAGCCTCTGTAGCCAAGCTGAAATAAGATCTAAATCAATATCGCCCTCTGGGTAATATGGCTGATTGGGAAGCATGTTTTTCTTTATCTTACAAACATGTACTGACCACACCCCCCTCCACTTGCTGGGCATGGGGCACATAGGGTGTGGCCCAGGCCTTGGGAGCTCCACCAGCCATGGGCAGGCATCTGTGGTGAGGTTACAGTTTCATTAGGTGACACTTCCCTTCTGTGCACACCAGTCTCCCAAATCAAAAAAGAAACAGAGTGGAGTTTAAGTTGGCCGCTTTCAATCTTTTTTTGTAGTTTTAATTGCAGAAGGCCATTTTCAAATAAAATTTTACATGGATGCACGATACTGCTGAGCAGATACAAATGGGGTTGCTCTGGTTGAAGATGGGAGGGGGTGGGATTTAGGTCGCCCCCCAACCCTGTCCCACTTTCCCCTGAGCTTTAAGGAGCTCAGTAGGAAAGCTCTGGCTAGAAGTGTGCCCCTCTCCAAGCCTCTTTCTACCCTGACCTTCTGTGACTGTAGCCACACTTATCTGATTACACAGTCCACAACTCTAAGATGTGACTTTGGTTGCTTGGCCCATGTGACAACATCTGGATTAACCTACTGATACATATTTTTGAAATGGAATCTCACTATGTCGCCCAGGTTTGCCTTGAACTCCTAGGCTCAAGAAATCCTCCTGCCACCCGAGGATCTGGGACTACAGACATGTGCCACCATGCCCTGCTAATTTTTTATTTTTTGTAGAGATGAGGGCTTGCTATGTTGCCCAGGCTGGTCTTGAACTCCTGAACTCAAGTGATCCTCCAGCCTCCCAAGTGGCTGGGACTACAGGTATATGCCATGGTGCTTGGCTACTGATTGATTTTTTAAATTATTATTATTATTTTTTATTTGGACTCTCACTCTGCCACCCAGGCTAGAGTGCAGAAGCACGATCTCAGCTCACTGCAGCCTCTGGCTCCCAGTTCAAGTGATTCTCCTGCCTCAGCCTCCCAAGTAGCTGGGATTACAGGCACACACCACCATGCCCAGCTAATTTTTATATTTTTAGTAGACAGGGTTTGGCCATGTTGGCCAGGTTGGTCTTGAACTCCTGACCTCAAGTGATCCACCCACCTTGGCCCCAACTGATATTTTTAAAAGATGCAGACGTCACAGAAATAAAAATCCAATACATAGGCTAGATGGCTATGAATTCTAGCAGAAGTTGGTCAACAAAACAGAGAAACACACGTCTGCCATGAGCCCTGGTTTCTCTTGCACACATTTTAGCTGGTGTCCCAGAACCCATCTGCTATGCTGCCCATGATGGTGGTAGTGCAGGGGGACCTACAAAGCTTCGTTTCAAACACTGCTTGTGTTTTGACAGCCTTTTTCTTTTGTACGGTGTTTTTAAAGAAGTGAAACTAGAAGTACTGGGTCTCATAAGCCGCCTGAGGGAAGGGTTTCCCTTCTGAACCTGTGGGTCGGGGGCTAGGGAGAGATGCTGCCTCAGTAGCAGCCCCTGGCTGACCTGACAAGACTTCTGTGTCTATGGGCGCTGGTTCAAATCCCAGGGTAGGTTTAAAAAGCATTTACGAGGCTCCGTAAAGATGCAGAAATACATACTCGAGAGGAAAAGAGAATTTCAGAACTCTCCTGTGGCTTTTATCTTATCAGACTACAACTGGCCAACATCTGCCACTGCACTTTACCCCCAGCGATTTGAGCGGCGCTGTGAGGTGCAGATGCAAAGGGCTCAGAGCCAGGGGAGAATCACAGAAGACACACAGCCCAGTGGTCCTCCCTGACCATGGAAGGGGATGTAGGAGAATCCTGGGCTCATAGTACTGACATTTAGCAGCCACTGTAGGTTTTGGTCTTGTCTCACAAGTGTTTTCCCCATTTACCTCAGGTACTTTTTTGTTTTAAAGAGTTGGAGTCTGGGTCGGGCGCAGTGGCTCATGCCTGCAATCCCAGCACTTTGGGAGGCCAAGGTGAGTGCGTCACTTGAGGTCAGGAGTTCATGACCAGCCTGGCCAACATGGTGAAACCCCGTCTCTACTAAAAATACAGACATTAGCCAGGCGTGGTGGTGGGCACTTGTAATCCAAGCTACTCCAGAGGGTGAGGCAGGAGAATTGCTTGAACCTGGGAGAAGGAGGTTGCAGTGAACCTGGATCTCACCACTGCACTCCACCTGGGGGATGAGCGAGATTCCATCTCCAAAAAAAGAGATGGAGATGGGGTCTGGCTCTGTTGCCCAGGCTGGAATGCAGTGGCACAATCATAGCTCACTACTGCCTTCAACTCCTGGGCTCAAGCAATCCTCTCGCCTCAGCTTCCTGAGTAGCTTCCTCTACAGGGACTACCATGCCCTGCTAATTTAAACATTTTTTTTGTTTTGTTTTTTAGAGATGGGGTCTTACCATGTCATCCAGGCTGGTCTCAAACTCGTGGGCTCAAGCGATCCTCTTGCCTCTGCCTCTCAAGTAGCTGGGATTACAGGTGTGAGCCATTGCACCCGCCCATTGCCTGTCATTTGCATGCAGATGCTATTCTAACATGAAACCTTTTACTCAAATATTTATCTACAATGGAGTCTCTCCGGAGTCAAGCCATGTCTCCACCGTGGTGAGGCCATCAATTCATTTAAAGTGGTTTCCCAGAGCAAAAGCTGCACCTATGTGCAAGTGATGCCCACACTGAGTGTGTATGGACAGACTTCAGGTGTCTTCTATCAGGTGGGTTCCTGCTCCAGGCCCACCTTGTCCATGAGGCTAACAGGGGTGACCTTAGCATGTGCCCACCCCTCTGTACACCTAGAATCCAAGGGGTGGGATGGACAGGTGTAGGAGCAGGAAACAAGTGTGTGGTCCAGCTGGAGGAGACGGTCTTGGGGTCAGAACATCTGTACCACCTTCAGAATTCTCCCCAACTCCCTGCAAAAGTCCCGGTGAGAACCTCACCAGTCTCAGCTTCCATCCAATGTCAGGGCTGAGCTCTCCACCTCCGTGGTGACTTCGAGCTCTTAAATGCCAGGACCTTAGGTTAAAATTCACACCAGATCACAGTGAAGCAGAGGAACGTTCCACTTGGGTTTGAATTTGGGCTCTGGGACCTTCCATGGGGGCTTAGAGACTTTCCTAACATTTTCCATCTGTGAAATCCAGGGATTATTAAGCTACCCCAGCGGGATGCTAGAGGCTGAGCTGAAATCATAGCTGACCAGTGCTGCGTACTGAGCCTCAGCACATGGTCAGGCATGCCTGCTATTTTGATTGCTAGCACTGGTCAGTGCAGACAACGTCCCAGGCGAGGTGCCAGTGGGGACACATGGAACCAGATACCACCAGAGCTCTCTGGTTCTGCAGTCATGTGGAAGATGGAGGCCCTGCACGCTACATAGTTGGGCAGGACGAGGTGACACCAGTGCTGCGAAAACAGGAAGGAAGGGGGCTGAGGGCTGGGAAGTTTCTTGGAGAGGCAGGCCCCTTAGCCGAGCCTTGGAGGATGAGCAGAATATGATGGAATGAGGAAGCCTTGCTTCCAGTAGGGGGTTTGAGTGTCCTTCCCCCACAGTTTTATTATTATTTTTTCTTTTTTTGAGACAGAATCTCACCCTGTCTCCCAGGCTGGAATGGCGCAATTATAGCTCACTGCAGCCTCAACCTCCAGGACTCAAGCAATCCTCGCCTTTGCCTTCCGAGTAGCTGGGACCACAGGTGCACGCTACCACACTTGGCTAAATTTTATTTTTTACAGAGATGGAATCTCATTATGCTGCCGAGGCTGGCTCGAACTCCTGGCCTCAGGCAATCCTCCTGCCTCCAAGTTGGCGTGCAGTGGTATGATCTTGACTCACTACAGTCTCTGCCTCCTAGGCTCAAGTGATCCTCTCACCTCAGCCTCCCTAGTAGGAGGGACAACAGGTGTGTGCGACCACATCTGGCTAACCATCTCTATCAAAAAAAAAAAAAAAATAGCGGCGCAGCACAGTGGTTCACACCTGTAATCTCAGCACTTTGGGAGGCTGAGGCAGGAGGATAACCTGAGGTCAGGAGTTCCAGACTAGCCTAGACAACATGGTGAAACTCCGTCTCCAATAAAAATACAAAAATTAGACGTCTGTGGTGGTAGGCACCGGTAGTCGCAGCTACTCGGGAGGCTGAGGCAGGAGAATCGCTTGAACCCAGGAGGTGGAGGTTGCAGTGAGCGGAGATCATGCCACTGCACTGCAGCCTGGGTGACAAGAGTGAGACTTTCTCTCAAAAAAAAAAAAAAAAGCCCTAAACTAGGAGTCATAAGGCCTGAGAGCAGGCCTGTTAGTCATCAGCTCTGGGCAAATCACCTGTCTTTGCCTGTATTGATTCATCCACCATCCCCAAAAGCACAGAGGAAGATGGGGGAAAGTGTAAACCTTGTGGCAGCTCGCCGGCGCATGCGCGCTCCAGGAAGACCCAGCAGCCCCACCTCGAGTTCCAATTGGCTGCGCGTGGCGGTCGGTCCGATGTGACGCCATAGGGGCGCGCCCTCTGTGACGTGTTAGGGCGCGACTTCGGTGACGTCTTAGGGCGCGACTTCGGTGACGTCTCAGAGGCGCGCCTTCGGCAACGTCATACACGCTGGCCTTCCGCGACGCCACAGACGCGCGCTTTCAGCGACGTCACAGGGGCGATATAGTACCTGGAGCTGGTCAGTCTCCTCAGAGTCGAGCCTGGTAACCGCGACCTCCTCTCCAGGTCCTGTGTATTCCTGGCTGGAGAAGGGTAGTTGACAAACTCCCACCCAGCACAGTGTGTATGTCCGTCAAAAATAGGAAACTGTGTCCGGTGGCGGCGGACGCGAGAGGATCCTTTCGGGCCAAGAGCAGCCTGTTAACCTGGCGCGACCCCATCTCTTTAGTCCCACCTCAGCTTCTCAGCTACTTGAACCCCGCAAGGTTCAAGGCTCCAATGAGCTATGATCCCACCACAACACTCCAGTCTGCGAGACTGAGGTAACCCCTGTCTAAAAAAGTAAAAAAGGAAACTATCCAAGTGTGCAACAGGGAGGGACTGCTTAAAGAAAACATGAGGCTAGTTGGGCCCACTTATCCCAGCACTTTGGGAGGCCGAGGCAGGAGGATGGCTTGGGCTCCGGCGTTCGAGACCAGCCTGGGCAACATGACAAAACCCCGTCTCTACAAAAGGTACAAAAATTAGCTGGGGGCGGTGCACACCTGGCCTGATTTTTGTATTTTTTTGTAGCGATGGGGGTCTTGCTGTGTTGCCCAGGGCGGTCTCAAACTGCTGGGTTACTGATATTCTCACCTTGGCCTTTAGACTTGTAGGGATTACAGGCGTGAGCCACTGTGCCCTGCCTGGGTTATGCTATTTAATAGAATAAGAACGTGTTCGGCCCGGCGTGGTGGCTCACGCCTGTAATCCCAGCACTTTGGGAAGCCGAGGTGGGTGGATCAGCTGAGGTCAGGAGCTCGAGACCAGCCTGACCAACATGGAGAAACCCTGTCTCTACTAAAAATGCAAAATTAGCCAGGTGTGGTGGTGCATGCCTGTAATCCCAGCTACTTGGGCCTGGTAATTGAACCCCTGAGACCTGAGGATGAGAAAGCTTGCCTCAGTTCTTCCCCAGGTGATCAGCCCAGGGGTAAGGAAGAAGAGGCTGGAAAAGAGGACCCATGAGAAGGGCCCCCTCCTGGAGTTTGAGGCCCACTCCCTCCTGCCCCAGCCTCTCCTCTGTCCCACTCCCTGCTCTGCCCCACTCCTGTAGCCATGGCAATGGGGGGCTGCATTTGAGTACAGGCCCCAGCAGCAGCCCTAAGCCAAAAGTGGGCAGGCTCACCTGCAGGGGATCAGAGTAACATGGCAGGAAGTAAGGGTGAAAGCCGCCCTGGAACCGTGCCTCTCTGCCCCATCACATCACTCGTGTGCACTCCTCCCTCACCTTACTCAGGCAGCAGCATCATGAGTTCAATGGGAGTGATGTCCTGCTCCCTCTGCTGCCTCTTTTTAGTTTTGGGCTACCATAACACTTTCCCTTCCCCAGCCCTGCCAACCTGGTGGGCCATTGGGCTTCCCTCTCCCAGGGTCCTGGGGACAGACCTGTCCTGTATCATACTCACAGAGAGACCCTTTTTTTTTTCCAGGGCTTGAGGATCATCCAGGTTTCATGAGTTAAATGCAGATCTGAATCATACCAAGCTGAGATTGGGGTACACACTCTCCTCTACTGAAAAGTAGTGAGGGATTCCAACTTCGTGAGAGGGAGAGTGGGGCAGAACCAGGTGGAGTTTTTGTTGTTGTTGTTGAGATAGAGCCTCACTCTGTCACCTAGGCTGGGGTGCAGTGGCACAATCTTGGCTCACTGCAAACTCCGCCCCACCCTGGGTTCAAACAGTTCCCATGTCTCAGCCTCCTGAGTAGCTGAGATTATAGGCATGTGCCACCACCCCCAGCTAATTTTTGTATTTTTTTTAGAGACGGGGTTTTACCATGTTGGCAAGGCTGGTCTCCAATTCCTGACCTCAAGTGATCCACCCACCTGGGCCTCACAAAGTGCTGGGATTACGGGCATGACCACCATGCCCAGCCCCTTCAAGTGGGTGTTGAGGCTTCAGTACAATACTAGTTTCCGTGGCTACTGCAACAAATTACCACACAGTAACTGTCAGTGCTTTTTATAAGGTGAAACAGATTATCTTGTGGGGCTTTTGTTGTGATGGTGATTTGTTAGATTAGTTTAAAGACAGTAATGTGCAGGTGTTGAAAATTATAAAAACAATCTTCACATTTTCATATTTTTTTTGAGACAAAGTTTTGCACTTGTTCAGGCTGGAGTTGCAATCTCAGCTCACCACAACGTCCGCCTCCCAGATTCAAGAGATTCTCCTGCCTCAGCCTCCCAAGTTGCTGGGACTACAGGGGTGCGTCCCACGCCCAGGTAATTTTTGTACTTCAGTAGAGACGGGGTTTCACCATGTTGGCCAGGATGGTCTTAATCTCTTGACATTGTGATCTGCCTGCCTCGGACTCCCAAAGTGCTGGGATTACAGGTGTGAGCCACCCCTCAGCCCACATTGTATAACTTTAAAGCAGTATTAATGGTAATTGCCTTAGGGAAAGATACTTTTGTTGTGATATATAAGTATTATATTCAAGTATATTGTACAGCAAAGGATGTTAAACCTAAGTCAGCATTAATGTATTATATGGTACACTTAAAACTTTAGTACAAATATTCGTGTTTAGCAAATTGACCTTAACACATAATGATAGCAAAAAAATGGAGCTATTCTGATGATAGACCATTGGTTATGTCTGAATTTAATACTCTCCATGCTCTTGACTGTTTCATTTTTTTCATTGAAACAGAGTCTTGCTCTGTCACCCAGGCTGGAGTGCAGTGGTGCAATCATAGCTCACTGCAACCTTCACCACTCAGGTTCAAGTGATCCTCCCATCACAGCCTCCCTAGTGGCTGGGACTACAAGTGATTACCACCATGCGTGGCTAATTTTTGTATTTTTAGTAGAGATGGGGTTTTACCATGTTGGCCAGGCTGGTCTCAAACTCCTGACCTCAGGTGATTCACCTGCCTCGGCCTCCCAAAGTGTTTGGATTACAGGCATGAGCCACTGCGCCTGGGTGCCTCTTGACTTTTTATAGCTGTTATATTATTTTAATTTTAAGTAAATGTTAGCTGAAATGATACAGTTCAGGAGAATCTTCTTCTGTTACTGAAAAAAATCATATTTATAAGTCTAATAAGGTTATACACTAATGTATATGTTTGGAAAATATTACCTTTTCTGGCCAGGCATGGTGGCTCATGCCTGTAATCCCAGCACTTTGGGAGGCTGAGGTGGATGGATCACCAGAGGTCAGAAGTTCAAGACCAGCCTGACCAATATGGTGAAACCCCGTCTCTACAAAAATACAAATATTAGTTGGGCATGGTGGCTGGTGCCTGTAGTCCCAGCTACTTGGGAGGCTGAGACGGGAGAATTGCTTGGACCTGGCAGGTCGAGGTTGCAGTGAGCCAAGATCCTGCCACTGCATTCCATCCTGGGTGATAGGGTGAGGCTCCATCTCAAAAAAAAAAAAAAATTAAAAGAAAATATTACCTCTTCCATTTAGTGCTATATGTATTAAATAATATTAGCTGGTATGTTTTTCTGGCTTTATAATGTGGTTCAGATTTCTGTAGAAATTCTGGCTGTATCTACATTGCCTTAAAGTAATGGGATATTTCTTTTGTTTTTTTTCTTCAGCTGGAGTTTTGCTCTTGTTGCCCATGCTGGAGTGCAATGGTGTGATCCTGGCTCACTGCAATCTCTGCCTCCCAGGTTCCAGCGATTCTCCTAGCTCAGCCTCCTGAGTAGCTGGGATGACAGGCACCTGCCACAACACCTGGCTAATTTTTGTATGTTTAGTAGAGACAGGGTTTCACCATATTGGCCAGGCTGGTCTTGAACTCCTGACTTCATGATCTGTCTGCCTCAGCCTTCCAAAGTGTTGGGATTACAGGAGTGAGCCACTGCACCTGGCACCTGTGACCAATATTATTTCTAAGATCTAGAATGCATTTATTACTGAAACAATGCTGACATACACTGCACCTAAAAAGGAAGAACTAGACATTCATTAAAGCTAGGAAAAAGCAGAATTCAGTGTGCTCAAGAACTGCTCCCATGGACAGGTACAATGGCTCATGCCTGTACTCCCAGCACTTTGGGAGGCTGAGGCGGGAGTATTCCTTGAGGCTGAGTTCAAGATCAGCCTGGGCAACACAGCAAGACCCCATATCTTTTTTATTTTTTAGACATGGTCTCACCTTGTCATCCAGGTTGGCGTGCAGTGGTATGATCTTGACTCACTACAGTCTGCAGGCCTCCTAGGCTCAAGTGATCCTCCCACCTCAGCCTCCCTAGTAGGAGGGACAACAGGTGTGTGTCACCACATCTTGCTAACCATCTCTATTAAAAAAAAAAGTGGCCAAGCACAGTGGTTCACACCTGTAATCCCAGCACTTTCGGAGGCTGAGGTGGGAGGACCGCCTGAGGTCGAGAGTTTGAGACTAGCCTGGCTAACATGGTAAAACCCCGTCTCCAGTAAAAATACAAAAATTAGATGTGTGTGGTGGCAGGCGCCTGTAGTCTCAGCTACTCGGGAGGCTGAGGCAGGAGAATCACTTGAACACAGGAGGTGGAGGTTGCATGAGCCGAGATCGTGCCACCGCACTGCAGCCTCGGCAACAGAGTGAGACTTTCTCTCCAAAAATGACTAAACTAGGAGTCACACAGCCTGAGAGCAGGCTTCTACTGATCAGCTCTGGGCAAATCACCTATCTGTGCCTGTATTTATTCATCCACAATCCCCAAAAGCTCAGAGGAAGTTGAGGGAAAGTGTAAATCTCTAGATAAGGGCAGGACATGTCTGCTGCAGCCTTGAATCTGGGACTCCCCGTGGGGTGAGGGGCCCCCTGAGGCCATCTGTCCTTTGCACTCCCAGGGGCATTAGCAGTATGGTCAGGTGCTGCATCCACAAGCCCACGAGCCAGGAGCATGCTGTGAAGGTCATCGACGTCACCAGTGGAAGCAGCTTCACCCCCGAGGAGGTGCAGGAGCTGCAAGAAGCCACACTGAAGGAGGTTGACATCCTGCACAAGGTCTCAGGGCACCTCAACATCAGTGAGTGAGGGTCCCAAGCTCCACGGTGGGGTGACCCCTGTGATTCTGCCCTGACATGACAGCCCAAGCCAGGGAATGTGGCCCCACCACACAGCCAGTTAGAACCACCCAGGCTCAAGGCTCCCAGCTGTAGCCTCACTGCTTTGACAGAAGGGGTCCCAGGCAGGGATGGTTGCAGGTGAGGGGATGGGGGTTTGATGTCCCTGGGCTGAATGAGCCAGGCGTGCTGGTGCATGCCTGTAATCCCAGCCACTCAGAAGGCTGAGGCAGGAGCATCACTGGAGCCCAGTAGTTTGAGGCTGCAGTGAGCTATGATTGCACTATTGCACTCCAGTGTGGGTGAGACCGTGAGACCTTGTCTCTAAAAATAATAACAATAATAATAATAAAGTTGCTTGAGGCTGAGTTCAAGATCAGCCTGGGCAACATAGTGAGACCCCATATCTTTTTTATTTTTTAGACACGGTCTCACCCTGTCATCCATGTCAGCATGCAGTGGTATGATCTTGACTCACTACACTCTCTGCCTCCTAGGCTCAAGTGATCTTCCCACCTCAGCCTCCCTAGTAGGAGGGACAACAGGTGTGTGCCACCACATCTTGCTAACCATCTCTACTAAAAAAAAAAAAAAAGTGGCCAAGCACAGTGGCTCACACCTGTAATCCTGGGCCTGCCCACACCCCGGGTTGACATCCTTTGAGCACCCTCCTGATTCCCGTGTCAGCTTTTGAAGTTAGCTGACAGCAGCCTCGGTCCCTGACCCCCGTGCCCCAGCTGCCCCTGCCCGGGCTCCCCTGCCACTTGAGATGAGCTAGCCATTTCCATTTCAGTACAGCTGAGGGACACTTATGAGACCAACAGTTTCTTCTTCCTGGGAGACTGAGGTGGGCAGATCACCTGAGGTCAGGAGTTCAACACCAGCCTGGCCAACATGGCGAAACCCTGTCTTTACTAAAAATACAAAAAATTAGCTGGGCATGGTTGCAGGCGCCTATAATTCCAGCTACTTGGGAGACTGAGGCAGGAGAATCGCTTGAACCTGGGAGGTGGAGGTTGCAGAGAGCCGAGATTGCACCACTGCACTCAAGCCTGGGGCATACTTTAGTCCCAGCTACTCGGGAGGGTAGTGTGTGAGGATAGCTTGAGCCCAGGAGGTTGAGGCAGCAGTAGCGGCAGTAAGCTATGATTGTTGCACTGCACTGCAGCCTGGGTAACAGAGCAAGACCCCGATCTCTACAAAGAAGCCTTTTTTTTTTTTTTTATGAGCTGGAGTCTTGCCATGTCTCCCAGGTTGGAGTGCAGTGACGCGATCTCTGCTCACTGCAACCTCTGCCTTCCAGGTTCAAGCAAATCTGCCTCAGCCTCTGAAGCAGCTGGGACTACAAGCATGTGCCAGCCACCATGTCCAGCTAATTTTTGTATTTTTAGTAGAGATAGGGTTTCACCATGTTGGCCAGGCTGGGCTCAAAATCCTGGCCTCAAGTGATCTGTCTGCCTCAGCCTCCCACAGTGCTGGGATTATAGGTGTGAGGCACCATGCCTGGCCTCAATTCACAAACGTTTATTTGGAACATTCACTGTAGGCCAGTGTGGTGCCAGGAGATGTAAGGGTGAGTAAGAAACAGTTCCAGGCCCCAAGAACAACCCCTGGGTCAGGAGGGCTGACAGCTTCTTTGTGTTCCACTCTCAGAGCCACCCAGAGTTCCCTTGCTGAGGATCTGAGCATGACCCGGGATGAGGCACTGCCGGACTCTCATTCCGCACAGGACTTCCATGACAATTATTAGCCCAACGAGATCCTGGGCAGGTAAGGCCCAAGCTTTCCCCATGAAGTGCTGTCCTAGGCTCTAGCAGGCCCTGTAGGCTATAGCCACCTCTGCAGCACACCAAGTACTGACCCCACTTTCATTCCCAAAGTGCTGTCCACTTGAAGAAACCCTTGGTTTGGGGTCCTGCCCTCCTGAAGCCAGGACAGATAAGAGAAACCACTCCCAGCAAAAAGTTCCCAGGGGTAGGTGCAACAGCTCATGCCGGTACTCCCAGCACTTTGGGAGGCTGAGGCAGGAGGATTGCTTGAGGCTGAGTTCAAGATCAGCCTAGGCAACATAGCAAGACCCCATATCTTTTCTATTTTTTAAACAGGGTCTCACCCTGTCATCCAGGTTGACATGCATTGGTATGATCTTGACTCACTACAGTCTCTGCCTCCTAGGCTCAAGTGATCCTCCCACCTCAGCCTCCCTAGTAGGAGGGACAACAGGTTTGTGCCACCACATCTGGCTAAACATCTCTATTTTGAAAAAAAAAAAAAAAAAAAAAAAGCAGCCAAGCACAGTGGCTCACACCTGTAATCCCAGCACTTGGGAGGCTGAGGCAGGAGGACCACCTGAGGTCAAGAGTTTGAGACCAGCCTGGCTAACATAGTGAAACCCCATCTCCAATAAAAATACAAAAATTAGATGTCTGTGATGGCAGGCACCTGTAGCCCCAGCTATTTGGGAGGCTGAGGCAGGAGAATCAGTTGAACCCAGGAGGTGGAGGTTGCAGTGAGCCGAGATTGTGAGACTTTCTCTCCAAAAAAAAAAAGAGTACTAATCTAGGAGTCACACGGCCTGAGAGCAGGCTTGTTACTCATCAGCTCTGGGTAGATCACCTGTCTGTGCCTCTATTTATTCATCCATCATCCCCAAAGCTCAGAGGACGATGGGGTAAATTGTAATTCTTATGGCCGCTGGCCCATGTATGCGCACTCCAGGAAGACCCAGAAGCCCCGCCTTCACTTCCGATTGGCTGCGTATGAGAGTCGGTCCTCTGTGACGCCATAGGGGCGCGCCTTCATTGACGTCTCAGAGGCGCCCATTCGAAAAGTCCTATGAGCTGGTCTTTCGCGACGTCACAGGGGCGGTATAGTGCCTGGAGATGGTCAGTCTTCTGACAGTGGAGCCTGGTAACCGCCACCTCCTCTCCAGGTCCTCTGTATTGCTGGCAGCAGAAAGGTAGTTGATAAACTCCCACCCAGCACAGTGTGTATGTCCATCAAAAATAGGAAACTGTGTCCGGTGGCGGCCGAAGCCGGAGGATCCTTTCAGGCCAAGGGCAGCCTGTTAACCTGGCGCGACCCCATCTCTTTAGTCTCACCTCAGCTTCCCAGCTACTTGAACTCCCAAGGTTCAAGGCTCCAATGAGCTGTGATCCCACCACAGCACTCCAGCCTTCGAGACTGAGGTAACCCCTGTCTAAAAAAGTAAAAAAGGAAACTACCCAAGTGTGCAACAGGGAGGGACTGCTTAAGGAAAACATGAGGCTGGTTGGGCCCAGTTATCCCAGCACTTTGGGAGGCCGAGGCGGGAGGATGGCTTGGGCTCGGGAGTTCGAGACCCGCCTGGGCAGCAGGATGAAACCCCGTCCCTACAAAAGGTACAAAAATTAGCTGGGCGTGGTGCACGCCTAGCCTAATTTTTGTATTTTTTGTAGAGATGGGGGTCTTGCTATGTTGCCCAGGCCGGTTTCAAACTCCTGGGTTCACTGATATTCTCACTTTGGCCTTCAGACTTGCAGGGATTACAGGCATGAGCCACCGTGCCCCACCTGGGTTATGCTATTTAATAAAGTAAGAAAGTGTTTGGCCCTGCATGGTGGCTCACGCCTGTAATCTCAGCACAGTGGGAGGCCAAGGTGGGTGGATCACCTGAGGTCAGGAGTTCGAGACTAGCCTGGCCAACATGGAGAAACTCAGTCTCTACAAAAAATAACAAAAATTAGCCGGGTGTGGTGGCACATGCCTGTAGTCCCAGGTGCTCGGGAGGCTGATACTGGAGAATCACTTGAACTGGGAAGTGGAGGTTGCCGTGAGCCGAGATCACACCAAGCACCCCAGCCTGGGTGACACATCGAGACTCTAAAGTTTGAGACCAGCCCAGGCAATGTAGTGAAACCCTTTCTGTACAAAAAACAAAACAAAACAAAACAAAAAGCCATGTGTAACTGTTCACCTGTGGCCGCAGCTACTTAGGAGGCTAAGGCAGGAGGATCACTTGCGGCCAGGAGCTCAAGGCTGCAGTGAGCTATAATCATCCTGCTGCTCTCCATCCTGAGCAATAGAATGAAACCATTTCTCTAGATAGCTAGCTAGCTAGATAATTGATACGTAGTTTTCTTTTCTTTTTTTTTTTTTTTTTGAGACAGAGTCTTGTTCTGTCACATAGGATGGGATGCAGTCGTGCGATCTTGGCTCACCTGCTCACTGCAACCTCTGCCTTCTGGGTTCAAGCAATTCTCCTGCCTGTCTGAGTAGCCGGGAATTACAGGCACACGCCACCATGCCTGGCTAATTTTTTATATTTTTAGTAGAGATGGGGTTTCACTGTGTTGGTCAGGCTGGTCTTGAACTCCTGACCTCGTCATCCACCCGCCTCAGCCTCCCAAAGTGCTGGGATTACAGGCGTGAGCCACGGCGCCCAGCTGATTATGTAGTTTTCTATCAAATTTTTTTCCTAGATTTGAACATGTTTTTCTAAAGTAGCATTCAACACATCAGCATTTTACAGTGTTATTAGTTGTTAATATGATTTTGTTTTTCTGAAATACAGTATCCTTTACAAAAAGTTTTGTCTTTCAAAGCACATAGATAGGTCCTCAAATGAATTTGTCTGATGTTGATTACCTTGGTACCATTTTGTCCACTTGATTGAAACAGTTAGTTGGTAATTTCAGGTCACTATTGGCCTTAGAGGAAGAGCCCAAAGGCAACAAGCAAGGGCACTGGTGTCCAGTTGCCTTCTAGAAGCATTTTCACCTTCCCTTAAGGTTTCCCTTGATGAATATAGAAGTACTGTATGTAGAATTGACCCAGTGCTGCCCTGGCAACTTTGTAGATTAGGCCAAATTTACATTTCTTACCTTTATGAGAGGCACCCTGGTAGGCTAGTGGAGTTACACACGAAGTCTGATCTCAGCCGCACCGTCCAGAAATGCAACATGGTCGAATTGAATAACATTCTCTGAGCCAGTTTCTTTAGCTGTAAAATAAGAATAACAAGTATACTCATCTAAAAAGACAGCTTATTGTATCTGAGTGGTCTTCTATTTTCTACGAAACTGTCTTTAACACAGTAATTATTTTCATTGCCATACCACATTTTTTGTTTTATTTATTTATTTTGAGATGGAATCTGGTTTTGTTTTTGTTTTTGTTTGTGACGGAGTCTCACTGTTGTCACTTAGGCTGGAGTGCAGTAGCATGATCTCGGCTCATTGCAACCACTGCCTCCCAGGTTCAGGTGATTCTCCTGTCTCAGCCTCCTGAGATGCTGGGATTACAGGTGGCCACCATCACACCTGGCTAATTTATTTATTTATTTATTTATTTTAGTAGAGATGGGATTACATCATGTTGCCCGGGCTGGTCTCAAACTCCTGACCTCAAGTGATCCACCCACCTCGGCCTCCCAAAGTGCTGGGATTATAGGCATGAGCCACTGAGCCCAGCTCATTTTTAGAAAAGGATTGCTTGGCCAGTCTCAGTGGCTCGCACCTGTAATCCCAGCACTTTGGAAGGCAGAGGTGGGTGGATCAGCTGAGGTCAGGAGCTCCAGACCAGCCTGACCAACATGGAGAAACCCTGACTCTACTAAAAATGCAAAATTAGCCAGGTGTGGTGGTGCATGCCTGTAATCCCAGCTACTTGGGCCCAGTAATTGAACCCCTCAGACCTGAGGATGAGAAAGCTTGCCTCAGTTCTTCCCCAGGTGATCAGCCCAGGGGTAAGGAAGAAGAGGCCGGAAAAGAGGACCTATGAGAAGGGCCCCCTCCTGGAGTTTGAGGCCCACTCCCTCCTGCCCCAGCCTCTCCTCTGTCTAGGACTCCTCCCTGCTCTGCCCCACTCATGGAGCCATGGCCATGGGGGGGCTGCGTTTGAGTACAGGCCCCAGCAGCAGCCCTAAGCCAAAAGTGGGCAGGCTCACCTGCAGGGGATCAGAGTAACATGGCAGGAAGTAAGGGTGAAAGCCACCCTGGAACCGTGCCTCTCTGCCCCCTCATGTCACTCGGGTGCACTCCTCCCTCACCTCACTTAGGCAGCGGCATGAGTTCAATGGGAGTGATGTCCTGCTCCCTCTGCTGCCTCTTTTTAGTCTTGGGGCTACCATAACACTTTCCCTTCCCCAGCCCTGCCAACCTGGTGGGCCATTGGGCTTCCCTCTCCCAGGGTCCTGGGGACAGACCTGTCCTGTATCATACTCACAGAGAGACCCTTTTTTTTCTCCAGGGCTTGAGGATCAGCCAGATGTCATGAGTTAAATGCAGATCTGAATCATACCAAGCTGAGATTGGGGTACACACTCTCCTCTACTGAAAAGTAGTGACGGATTCCAACTTGGTGAGAGGGAGAGTGGGGCAGAACCAGACCAGACAAGGAGTGGTCACCTGGAAAAAGCCTGCCATCAAAGGCCTTGGTGAGTGCTGGGTGCGGTGGCTCACTCCTCAGCAGTTTGGGAGGCTGAGATAGGTGGATCACTTGAGGTGAGGAGGTTGAGTCCAGCCTGGGCAACATGGCAAAACCCCATCTCTGCTACAAATACAAAAATCAGCTAGACATGCTGTGCTCCTGTAATCCCAGCTACTCGGGAGGCTGAGGCAGGAGAATTGCTTGAACTGGGGAGGCAGAGGTCGAAGCGAGCTGAGATTGTGCCACTGCATTGCAGTCTGGGAGACGGAGTGAAACTGTGTCCCTCCATCAGAAAAAAAAAAAAAAGAAAATGGCCTTGGCAGAAGGACCGGCCTGGCAGTGCCTTCCCTTGAGTTTCTCCTGGGTAGGCCTCTGCCATGAGGAGGTGCTTCCTTCTTCCTCTCCATGGCCCACAGCAAAAGACTGTGTGCTTCTAAGGGGTTGGGTGGGGGACTATTGAAAGAACTGGAAACCTTCAGGTGGGGTTTTGTGTTGTTTTGTTTTGTTTTGTTTTCTTATTGTCGACATGGAGCCCCACTCTATCACCCAGGCTGGGGTGCAGTGGCACAATCTTGGCTCACTGCAACCTCCGCCCCACCCTGGGTTCAAACAGTTCCCATGTCTCAGCCTCCTATGTAGCTGAGATTATAGGCATGTGTTACCACCCCCAGCTAATTTTTGTAATTTTTAGAGACGAGGTTTCACCATGTTGGAAGGCTGGTCTTGAATTTCTGACCTCAAGTGATCCACCCACCTGAGCCTCACAAAGTGCTGGGATTACAGGCATGAGCCACCATGCCCAGCCCCTTCAGGTGGGTGTTGAGGCTTCAGTACAATACTAGTTTCCCGTGGCTACTGCAACAAATTACCACACACTAAATGTCAGTGCTTTTTATAAGGTGAAACAAATTATCTTGTGGGGCTTTTGTTGTGATGGTGATTTATTAGATTTTTTAGTTTAAAGACAGTAATGCTCAGGTGTTGTAAAATTATAAAAGCAATTCTCACATTTTATAAATTTTTTTTGAGACAAAGTTTCACACTTGTTGTTCAGGCTGGAGTTGCAATCTCAGCTCACCACAACCTCTGCCTCCTGGATTCAAGAAATTCTCCTGCCTCAGCCTCCCAAGTAGCTGGGACTACAGGGGTGCGTCACCACACCCAGGTAATTTTTGTACTTTAGTAGAGATGGGGTTTCACCATGTTGGCCAGGATGGTCTTAATCTCTTGACATTGTGATCTGCTGCCTTGGACTCCCAAAGTGCTGGGATTACAGCCACCCCTCAGCCCACATTTTATAACTTTAAAGCAGTATTAATGGTAATTGCCTTAGGGAAAGATGCTTTTGTTGTGATATATAAGTAAGATATTCAGGTATATTGTACGGCAAAGGACATTAAACCTAAGTCAGCAATAATGTGTTATATGGTACACTTAAAACTTTAGTACAAATATTCGTGTTTAGCAAATTGACCTTAACACATAATGATAGCAAAAAAATGGAGCTGTTCTGATGATAGACCATTGGTTTTGTCTGAATTTAATACTCTCCATGCTCTTGACTTTTTCTTTTTTTTTCTTTGAAACAGAGTCTTGCTCTGTCACCCAGGCTGGAGTGCAGTGGTGTGATCATAGCTCACTGCAGCCTCCACCACTCAGGTTCAAGTGATCCTCCCGTCACAGCCTCCCTAGTAGCTGGGACTACAGATGATTACCACCATGCCTGGCTAATTTTTGTATTTTTAGTAGAGATGGGGTTTCAACATTTTGGCCAGGCTGGTCTCAAACTCCTGACCTAAGGTGATTCACCTGCCTTGGTCTCTCAAAGTATTTGGGTTACAGGCATGAGCCACTGTGCCTGGCTACCTCTTGACTTTCTATAGCTGTTCTGTTATTTTAATCTTAAGTAAATAAATGTTAGCTGAAATGATACAGTTCAGGAGAATCTTCTGCTTCTGTTACTAAAAAAAATCATATTTATAAGTCTAACAAGGTTACACTAATGTATATGTTTGGAAAATATTACCTTTTCCGCAAGGCATGGTGGCTCATGCCTGTAATCCCAGCACTTTGGGAGGCTGAGGTGGACGGAGCTCCTGAGGTCAGGAGTTCAGGACCAGCCTGACCAATACGATGAAACCCCGTCTCTACAAAAATACATAAATTAGGTAGGCATGGTGTCAGGTGCCTATAGTCCCAGCTAGTCGGGAGGCTGAGACAGGAGAATTGCTTGGACCCGAGAGGCGGAGGTTGCAGTGAGCCGAGATCCTGCCACTGCACTCCATCCTGGGTGATAGAGCGAGACTCCGTCTCAAAAAAAAAAAAAAAAAAAAGTAAAAGAAAATATTACCTCTTTCATTTAGTGCTATATGTATTAAATAATATTAGCTGGTATGTTTTTCTGGCTTTATAATGTGGTTCAGACTTCTGTTGAAATTCTGGCTGTATCTACATTGCCTTAGAGTAATGGGATATTTCTTTCTTTTTTTTTTTTTCTCAGCTGGAGTTTCACTGTTGTCGCCCATGCTGGAGTGCAATGGTGTGTCCTGGCTCACTGCAATCTCTGCCTCTCAGGTTCAAGTGATTCTCCTAGGTCAGCCTCCTGAGTAGCTGGGATGACAGGCACCTGCCACAATGCCTGGATAATTTTTGTATGCTTAGTAGAGACGGGGTTTCACCTTGTTGGCCAGGCTGGTCTTGAATTCCTGACTTCCTGATCTGTCTGCCTCAGCCTTCCAAAGTGTTGGATTACAGGCATGAGCCACCATGACCAGCCTGTCTTTTTTTTTTTTCAAAGCCACCCTTGGTTATGAAATGTAAAATATGCACCAGTGAATATTACTTTGCTGAATATTGCCTAGTGAATATTAAGTATTTATTCTCACCTTTCAAACATGAACTTGCGAATTCAACATGTGAAGACTTACAACTTGATAAACCAGCTTCAGGTGGTAGGTCTTCAGTCTTAAGTCAGATTAGAAGATTATGTGAAATAATTATTTAATGCTTAACAATGATTTTTTTAACGGTACCTTTCACATGAAATAATATTCCTCTTACTTTTAATTATGTTCCAGGACAGGAGAATTCATGTTGTCAAAATTCTAATACTCTCTAGAACAATAAACTCATTTTCTTTTTATTAACCCATTATAAATACATGTAAGTATTGGGTTTATGGGTAGACAGAACTAAAAGAACAATATTTGTCCTACTTTTCAGATACAACATTTGTCTGACATTATGCACTGAACAGTTTATTATTGAAGTCTACACTAGCCAACTGAACAAGCATTCATCAAATGTCCACGATACCCAGGACATAAGAAAGTTCCTTTTAGAGCATGGAGCCATGCATATCATCTCTTAATTGTTAGATGTGTTTTGAAAGAAATAGAAATATAATTGATTTTCTGGTTTTGGCTCTAGAGTGGAGTGCAGACAAAAAAGAATGGAATCACACTGTTTAGATTTACTAAAATGGAAGGATTGCCAGCAAGATCATATCCCTAGTCTCCCCATAGCAAATGGCACCTGCTAGCTGTTTGCTGTTCTCTTTTTTTTTTTTTTTTTTTTTTTTTTTTGAGGTGGAGTTTTCCTCTGTTGCCCATACTGGAGTGCAGTGGTGTGATCTCAGCTCATGCAAGCTCTACCTCCTGGGTTCCAGCAATTCTGTCTGCCTCAGCCTCCCAAGTAGCTGGGATTACAGGCACCTGCCACCACGCCAGCCTAATTTTTTATTTGCAGTAGAGTTTGGGTTTCACCATGTTGGCCAGGCTGGTCTGGAACTCCTGACCTCAGGTGATCTGCCCACCTCAGCCTCCCAAAGTACTGGCATTACAGGCATGAGACAACCTGTCCTGCCTGCTAGTGGTTCTTGAGCACACTGAGTTCTGCTTTTTCCTAGCTTTAATGAATGTCTGGTTCTTCCTTTTTTTGTGCAGTGTATGTCAGCCTTGTTTCAGTAATAAATACATTCTGGATCTTAGAAATAATATTAGTTACAGGTGCCAGGTGCGGTGGCTCATGCTTGTAATCCCAGCACTTTGGGACGATGAGGCGGGTGGAGCACGAGGTCAGGAGATCAAGACCATCCTGGCTAACACGGTGAAACACTGTCTCTACTAAAAATACAAAAAATTAGCCGGGCGTGGTGGCGGTCGCCTGTAGTCCCAGCTACTCAGGAGGCTGAGGCCGGAGAATGGCATGAACCTGGGAGGCGGAGCTTGCAGTGAGCCGAGATCATGCCACTGCACTCCAGTGTGTGCTACAGAGCGAGACTCCATCTCAAAAAAAAAAATAGTCACAGGAAAGAAAAATACTGCCTATTTTATAATAATATTTAATAACCCAAGTTATTAAATTCATTAGATTGAGAAAACTTGTATTCCTGTGATTTTGATGGGGAAGGAAGTATGGTATGCCAGAATCACTGAATTGTGGAAAATGATGGATCAGCTTTTTTGCAAAAAAATTTGATAAGTCTGTTTTTTCCCCTTCAACTAAATTATATTACTGAGTAGTGTTTTTTATAATGTTGTTTTATTTAGGAAAGTAAATACAATGAGTGGGACTCAGCTTCAGTTTTCTCTTACTGTTCTGTTTTTGAGACAGAGTTTCGCTCATGTTATGCAGGCTGGAGTGCAGTGGTGCGGTCTCAGATCACTGAAACCTCCACCTCCCAGGTTCAAGCGATTGTCCTGCTTCAGCCTCCCAAGTCGGTGGGATTACTGGCACCTGCCACTATGTCCAGCTAATTTTTGTATTTTTAGTAGAGATGGGGTTTCACCATGTTGATCAGGCTGGTCTCGAACTCCTGACCTCAGGTGATCCACCCACCTCAGCCTCCCAACATGCTTGGATTGTAGGCATGAACCACAATACCCAACCTCTCATACTGTGTTGCTGTTTTTTGTTTTTTTTTGAGATGGAGTCCAGGCTGGAGTGCAGTGGTGTGATCTTGGCTCACTGCAACCTCTGCCTCCTGGGTTCAAGCGATTCTCCTTCCTCAGCCTCCTGAATAGCTGGGATCACAGGCATGTACCACCACACCCAACTAATTTTTTTTGTATTTCTTGTAGAGACGGGGTTTCACCTTGTTGGCTGGGCTAGTCTTAAACTCCTGACCTCAGGTGATCCACCCACCTTGGCCTCCCAGAGTGCTGAGATTATAGGTGAGAGCCACTGCACATGGCCGGGAGTGGATTAATTTTATGGTTCACCTTTTAGACCATACAGAACAACTTTCTGACATTGCCATGGCATTTGTAAACTGCCAAGGAGTTGATGGGTGTATTGCAGTGAGGATGAGCAGAGGTCACTCTCGTCATTATCTTGGTTTTGGCTGGCTTTTTTACTGCAGCCCATTTTATCAGCAAGGTCTTTATGACCTGTATATTGTGCTGACCTCCCTCACCCTGTGACTTAGCCTTAACCATCTGGGAATGCAGCTCAGTAAGTCTTAGCCTCATTTTACCCAGCTCCTACTTAAGATCGAGTTGCTCTCTTTCAAATGCTTCTGACAGTATTGCTGCTTTCTTTAAGGTTCCTGAAAGAGAGAGAGGAAATCTTGGATTTTTCATGGCTGTGAACCACTGCAAGTATTGAGGAAATGTTTACTACTTTCAGCCTCATAATCCTGCAGTCATTTGGCACCTGTGAGTCAGGTGCAGGGGAACTGCCCCATACAGTCTGGAGCATTCAATCTGGTGGGGAAATGTGTAGTAAGTAGGAGATATTTACAGTGTAAGGTGTTAAGGTCTGGGGTAGAATTAAGTAGAATAAGGGGTTGAGGAGGCAGAGGGTGTGATTGGGGCAGCCTTGATGATATGTGATGAGCACATTCTGCAGTTGGCCTCACCTCTTTCTAAAACTTCCACTTTTTTCACTCTCACCTTCAACAATTGGTTCTTTTTTATTTTATAGAAAATTTGTTAGAATTAGGTTTATATATTTTCTTGAATTAACAGAATAATTTAACATCACTCTCTAGTGTGACTAAAAGCCTCTAATCCTTTACTGTTTTTTGTTTATGGGCATATTTGTTTTTACAGCTATAATAATTATTTCATTTTGTGTGGTTTCTCAAAAACACATGTTTCTTATATCAAAGAGTCTCTATACTAGAGTCCTTCAGATTTGGTGCTAATAACATTAAGAATTTAAGACAGGTCTTGAGATGTTAGAGGAAAGCCAGTCTAAGAACACAGAAATTAATTGTTAATTTATTTTGAGTTGACATTTAAGTTGAGGTGTGGAGGTGGAGGAGACAGTTGGATAAATGAGTTTGGAAGTAAGGAGAAAGATCTGGGAATAGATACAATTTTGGATTTTATAGTTGCGTTTTCATAGCAATTGTTGTTACTGCCAAAATAATTCATCAGTGAGCTCCCTGACAGCTCCCCAACCTTTCTTTTTAAAGAAACAGGATTGGCAGGGTGTGGTGGCCCATGTCTGTAATCCCAGCATTTTGGAAGGCAGATCACCTGAGGTCGGGAGTTCAAGACCAGCCTGACCAGCATGGAGAAACCCCATCTCTACTAAAAATACAAAATTAGCTGGGTGTGGTGGTGTGTGACTGTAATCTCAGCTACTTGGGAGGCTGAGGCAGGAGAATAACTTGAACCCGGGAGACAGAGGTTGCAGTGAGCTGAGATCCCACCATTGCACTCCAGCCTGGGTAACAAGAGTCAAACTCCATCTCAAAAAAAACCAGGGTCTTGTTATGTTGTCTGGGCTGGACTAGAACTCCTGTGCTCAAGTTATCCTCCTGCCTCAGTCTCCTAAGTAGCTGGGGCTACAGGCACATGCCAGCATGTCCAGCTTTGAGCCACTCCCACCCATCATGTTGTAAAATATTTAAATGTTACAGAGGTGTGAGGGAGATGTGTATATAAACAGCACAGTAAATTGCTTGAATCTTTTTTTAGAGTTCTGTTTGGATGTGGCTTCAGAGCAGGGATTAATCAATTTATTTATACTTTTTTCTTTTCTTTTTTTTTTTTTTTGAGGTGGATTCTCACTCTGTCACCCAGGTTGTAGTGCAGTGGCGAAGTCTCAGCTCACTTCAGCCTCTGCTTCCTGGATTCAAGTGATTCTCTTGCCTCAGCCTCCTGAGTAGCTGGGACTACAGGTACCTGCCACCATACCTGGCTGACTTTTTTTTGTTTTTTGTATTTTTGGTAGAGACAGGCTTTCACCATGTTGACCAGGCTGGTCTCGAACTCCTGACTCATGTGATCCACCTGTCTCAACCTCCCAAAGTGCTGGGATTACAGGTATGAGTCACTGCGCCTGGCTGTTTTATTTTACATTTTTAAATTACAATTTTTATACCTATTCAGAAGTAGAGAAAATAGTACAATGACCGCTAAAATACCCATTCCTCAATTTCTGTGATCTTTAAGATTGTCCCACGTTTTGTTCTTCTGTTCTTTTACCTCCCTTTGCAGGAATATTGTAAAGCAAATCAGTCATCACATCATTTTATCTGTTCAGTGTGCATCCCCGAACAGCATTTATGTATTCCTACACAGCCACTATCTCATCACATCTGACAAAATGAACAATGATTTTTTTGGTATCAGCTCATATGCAGCCCTTAGCTGAGTCTCCTCACTCTTTTCTTTCTTTCTTTCTTTTTTTTTTTTTTTTTTTTGAGACAGAGTCTTGCACTGTCGCCCAGGCTGCAGTGCAATGGTCTAATCTCGGCTCACTGCAGCCTCTGCCCCCTGTGCTCCAACAATTCTCCTGCCTCAGCCTCCTGAGGAGCTGGGATTACAGGCGCATGCCACCACACCCGGCTAATTTTTGTATTTTTAGTAGAGACGGGGTTTCGCCATATTGGCCAGGCTGGTCTTGAACTCCTGACCTCAGGTGATCCTCCCACCTCGGCCTCCCAGAGTGCTGGGATTACAGGTGTGAGCCACTGCACCTAGCCAAGTTTCCTCACTCTTACCTGAACAGTATCTCATTTTCTCATTATCTGAAAAATTTTGCTTTAAATCTGGATCCAAACAATCTTCATGTGCTAACTTTGGTTGTTATGCCTCTTGTAATCTAAACAGGCCTCTGCTTACTTTTTAAATTTCCCATTCCATTAATTCTTTGTGCAAAGTTTTTTATTTTTATTTATTTTTTTAATAGCATGCTCACAAGGTTGAAGGGGTAGTAAAGAAGATCTTGTTGTTTCCGTGTAGATGAAAGTTTAGCCTGAAATGTGCCAGTTTGCAGCAACCAAAGGAGGAGGGTTATTACGGTCTTGAGCAGTTAGTAGCAAAGGGCTGCTTCCAAATAGTATTTGCAGGCCAGGTGCAGTGGCTCACACCTATAATCCCAGCACTTTGGGAGGCTGAGGTGGGTGGATCACCTGAGGTAAGGAGTTCGAGACCAGCCTGGCCAACATGGTGAAACCCCATCTCTACTAAAAATACAAAAAATTAGCCAGGCATGGTGGCTGGCACCTGTAATCCCAGCTACTCGGGAGGCTGAAGCAGGAGAATCACTTGAAGCTGGGAGGCAGAGGCTGCTATGAACTGAGATCACAGCACTGCACTCCAGCCTGGGCAACAGAGTGAAACTCTGCAACAACAACAACAACAACAGTAAAAAAGTAAGTTCTATTTGCCACTGAAGTCATTTCTGGAATTAAAACAATAAAATGACATTTCTACTAAAATGTTTTTCTAGCTAGAGGTGACAAGTGTGGCCATAAGTCCTTCATGGAAAAGCCTGGCTCTGAGCTGCAGTCCTGGCACTTTCCATTGCCCCTGAAGCCCCCAATCCTGTACACAGCCATCTTCATCAGTGCAAGAATAGTGACCACTGCCTCCATGGTGTTTAGAGGCACCATGGTGGCTCACAGTACACCTAAGTACTTGAATGAAGTCTAATTTGCTGGATTTTATCTGCTCTGTTATTCCTGGGTCAGTCTTAAGAGTGACTAAATATTGATGATTGAGTTTCTTTTCTTTTCTTTTCTTTTCTTTTTTTTTTGAGGCAGAGTTTTACTCTCGTTGCCCAGGCTAGAGTCCAGTGGTGTGATCTCCACTCACTGCAACCTCCACCTCCTGGGTTCAGGTGAGTCTCCTGCCTCAGCCTCCTGAGTAGCTGGGATTACAGAAATGCGCCACCATACCTGGCTAATTTTTGTGTTTTTAGCAGAGATGGGGTTTCACCAAGTTGGTCAGGCTGGTCTTGAACTCCTGAACTCAGGTGACCCACCCGCCTTGGCCTTTCAATGTGCTGGAATGACAGGCATGAGCCACCATACCCGGCCTGATGTGATGATTGAGTTTCTTACTATATCTGTGTTCCTGCAGAATTTTAGTGGCTGAAGAAAATACACTAGTGTTGATTTTCTTTTTCATGAAAGAAGTAATTTATTCTTCATATAATTACTTGCCAGTCATGGGAAGGAAATGTCAGGGTTTTTGTACACAATGATAGGAATTATTGTTACATTACAGGGTGACTCTGCGAACTCCTTTTGAAAAAACTCTCATCATATCAGGACTGTTTTACTAGCTGTTAGACCACCATTGTACTGGCTACTATAACATTTCTTGGTATTCTTTCTTGACTTGAACTAATTATTTCCTACTTGCCACACTAAAGGTAAGAGATTACATGTACTTCCTGTTATATTTCACTGCATTAAGACATTCTTTATCAGCATTTCTTAAAATCATAGAGAGTCATTGGCCAATATCTTTGTGGGACTTGCAGTTGGTTTCTTAGCTTTTTAAGTTATGTTATTTAATGGACCTCTTTTTCTTTTTTCTTTTTTTTTTTTTTAAATTTCACTGGAAATGTCACATTTGCAATCCTACTTTATGCATGTTTCCATGGCTTTTTTGAGCCGCCTGTAGAGGACTACACTACAAGTTTAATTCTGCAGGTTTCTTCGCAAAGAGTCAAACTGTATGAATTTTAATACTCTACTCTTATAAAACATCTCCTTTTGTATTTTTTTCCTACAACATACTAAAGTAATTCTGTGCTTATTTTACAACTTTCAGTCCCCAAAAAGACCATGAAGGCCTGAGAGTAATGAAAATCTTCCTGAAATTGAGGTCACTGTGGAAGGTAAGGGCCAGTCATTGGCATGTTTCTGTTGATTCTTCAGTTTAATAGTTATGCTAATTCACTAGCTATGTGTTTATGCAGATGAAGTTAACCAAACTAGTTTTACATGTGAACAGCTGCCTTTGATAAAGCTAAATTTCTGAAAGTTTTTAATTCAAATTTTGAAAATCATTAGCAGAAAATAAATAACTTTGATCACATCATAAACTGCATTCAGGAAAATCTCCACAATGCTTTTCCTTTATTACAACAAATAAGAATGGAGAGGGGCACGTGGAATGTTTCTTGATCTTTTGTCCTCTTTGTTTTTTCTGTTCTTTTAAGGAAAGAAAGTTTAGGGGTAGTTTAAACAGCAGTGCCTGGAATGAAAATATTTCCTACAACACCCTCTAATGTACTTCCTTTTCTCCATGCCCACGGGGTCTCCAGGATTCTCATCTTTTCATGTTTACAATATTAAAATACTTCATACAGTGCCAAAGACAGTTCCCAGCCAACCATCAAATATGGGTATTTCTTCCATCTCCTCATGAATGCAAAAGGAAATAACTGCATTAGGATTTTTTTTTTTTTTTGAGACAGATTAGGGCTGTAGGAATAGTGTTACCAGGAATAACTTGTGGATTGTTTACTACTGCAGTCAGCTGTGATTTTCCAAATAGGGAGATGCCTGTTTTTCTCACATAAGAGTAATTGTGCTGGTAGGCTCAGGCTGACATTGGTTCAGTTGCTCAAACATGGTAAGACTGGCTTCCCTGTGCTTCTCTTCACTTTTCTTTCTGGTGCACGGTGATGGAGGGAGCTCCTGTCATCATGTCTCCATCCAAGCAGGACATAAATAAGTAAAGAAAATGCAGCATGAGCCCTGCCTGTAACCATGATCAGGAAAAGCAAGAGGCGTTTTTTGAATCCTAGCACAATTTTGCATAAGTCTCTTGGTTTTAAAAAAGATGAATTTTAAAATAGTAAAATAATATAAAGCACAAATTCTGAGGCCAAAGTGATAGGATTTAAATCTGTGCTCTGCCACTTAGGAAAATTACTTAAATTCTCTGTTATTTAGGTTGCACCCTGTAAAATGGGAGGAGGAAAATAATATTTGACTCATAGTTTTTAAAAATCGAGATTTTTTTTTTTTTTTTTATTTCTGAGGTGGAGTTTTGCTCTTATTACTCAGGCTGGAGTGCAGTGGTGTGATCTCGGCTCACTGCAACCTCCGCCTCCCAGGTTCAAGTGATTCTCCTGCCTCAGCCTCTCGAGTAGCTGGGATTAAGGTGCCCACCACCATACCCAGCTAAGTTTTTGTATTTTGAGTAGAGATGGGGGTTTCACCATGTTGGCCAGGCTGTTCTCCAACTCCTGACCTCAGGTGGTCTGCCGACCTCAGGTGGTCTGCCCACCTCAGTCTCCCAAAGTGCTGGGATTACAGGCATGAGCCACCGCACCTGGCTGAGATATTTCTTTAATAAACAACTGCTGTCATTTCAGACCACTTGCTATTTAGGCACTTAGGAATTTTTTACTAGAAGGCATGTAAAGAAAGATGATGGGCATTTGTAATGGATTCAGCATTCATCATTTGACTGCATGACTGACCCCCAGAGATATGATTTTATTAAAGAATTTTTCAGAAGCCACTTAGCTAGTAACTGAGCCTAACCAGACACCCACCCTCACCATTCAGTGCTCTTTTGTTCTTCTCTGTTTCTCCTCAAACTTTATTACTCTCACAAAGTGATAAAAACTTGCATTTCTTTTCTTTCCTTTGTAGAGACAGGGTCTTGCTCTGTTACTCAGGCTGCAGTGCAGTGGTGTGATCATGGCTTGCTGTAGCGTCATATTCCTGGGATCAAGTAATACTCCCACCTCAGCTTCCCAAGGAGCTGGGACTATAGACGTACAACAGCATGCAAAGCTAAATTTTTTATTTTTTATTTTATTTATTTATTTTTATTTGTTTTTGAGATGGAGGTTTTTGTTTTTGTTTTTGTTTTTGTTTTGTTTTGTTTTGTTTTAAAGACAGGGCCTCACTGTGCTTCCCAGGCTGGTCTCAAACTCCTGGCCTCAAGCAATCCTCCTGCCTTGGCTTCTGAAATTGCTGGAATTATAAGCAGGGGGTACAATACCTGGCCTCCTATGTTCTCTAGCCTTCTCTTTGCTTTTTGGTAGCCAATCTCTCATTATGCTGTTGCCTTGTTATAATTAATACTTTTTTGTTTTGAATTTTACCACTTTAAATTTTCGAGTGGTTTGTGTCTCCTGATTGGACTCCTACAAATAAAGAATTGATGCTAGGAAGGGTACCAGGAGATGGACCCACACAGATGGGATTTGGGCATAGGTTTGGTTATCCAAGGGGCAGCGCTGAGCTCCTTGCCAATGGGATATGGGATGCTGGTCATTTCCAGGAAGTGACCTCACAATGACTCAAACTACCACTTACTGTTGATTGTGATGAATTGCCAGCTGAGGCACATACCTTGGGAGCTAAGTAGTTGCTGCACTTGACCACTATGAAGATTGGTGTGGGAAGGGTCCTTTTGGATGCACTTGAGCAGGGGCCCCTAATCCCTGGGTCACAGGCCTGTATTGGGCCACACAGCAGGAGGTGAGCAGCGGGTGGGTGAGTGAAGCTTCATCTGTATTTACAGCCACTCCCCACATTACTGCCTGATCTCGGGCTCCTGTCAGATCAGCGGCAGCTTTAGATTCTCATAGGAGCACGAATCCTATTGTGAACTGTGCATGTGAGGGATCTACCTTGCTCTGTTCTTATGAGAATCTAATGCCTGATAATCT